>NC_000008.11:33799496-34102526 GCF_000001405.40 Homo sapiens
AGGAAGCCACCTCCAAAGAACAGTGCCCTTCAGGCTGGGGGCAGAACCAGCCTAAAGGAGCAGAGGGAAGGAGCCAGGACAAGCAAACACCTTCATTGCTCCATTGCTCTGATTTTTTGCCTGGCTTCATCCCTCTTTCCCTATGAACCCAGGAGCCCAATCAGGAAGCTACCATCTTGGGAAATGGATGAAACCATCCAGGTCAGGCTATCAGGATAAGAACCTGGAAGAGAATGGAAGAGTCTGGATCTGGAGAGGCAGACAGAAAGTGACCCAAGAGGGAACAGCAAAATGCGAATGATGTATTTTGTTAGGGAAAGGCTTGCTGCTTGACTCTAAGGCAGGGCGACAATAAATGTTGGAGAGAGATGTGGTAGGTTGAGACCCTGGGCTTCCCTGTTTGTTGCCTCCCCATGGTACTACACACTTTCCTTGAGGCAACTGTCTCTCAGGAACTTCTCTCCTTCTGCAGGCAGCAGTGCCTGTCTACATCCTTCTAGAGCTGCGTCCCTAGAACCACTTCAGCCTCCTTAGTAGCTGGGACTACAGGTATGCACCACCAGGCCTGACTAATTTTGTATTTTTTTGTAGAGACAGGGTTTTATCATGTTGCCCAGGCTGGTCTCGAACTCCTGAGCTCAAGTGATCCACCTGCGTTGGCCTCCCAAAGTGCTGATAGACTCTTCCTCCTTCCTTGCCTGTGGTTTTAAGAGCTGCCCTGATAACTGCAGCCTCGTTGGATTTTCTAGAAAGAAAGAGAGCTAGATTTAAAGCTGCTCCCTGAACCATAATCTCTGAGCTGTCATAGAGCCAGGCCATGTAATGCTTTGTTGCGGAAAAAAAGCTAATGTGACTCATTACAGCCTGATGCAGAGATTCCCTCTGACAGACACATGCGGTAATGGCTTGGAATGAACACACTCCTACGAACAATTGGAAAAGAGACTTCGCATTGTTCTTTTAGCCCATAATTGGTTAGCTGTAAAAAAGGACTGCATTGGTCGTACTACACATTTCCACTCTGAACAATGCCTTTATTGGATCAACTTAAATATATGAGGAATGAAGCAACCCAATGTCTGTATGTAGGTTTGAAAAACCAAGGTGTCCCTACAGCCAAGCCTTTAGGGGGTGCTGCTCTATTGCCTAACAGTTGTGTTTATGTTTCTCTTGCCATATTGAGCTTGACTCTCTCTTTCTACATAATGTTTTGGGGGGTAAAGGACTGTAGGGCTTGGGGACAAGCAGAAAATTACCCATTAGCAACTATCTCCATGAACAGATGCATTTGCCCCCTTCCCCGCCCTTACAGACAGAGCTTGAGAGGAAGATACCCACCAAGGGAAAGTTCTGAATTACATCTGTCTTGAAGTTTTAATTCTTTTTTCTTCCAGGTGCTAGTTCTGAGCCATTAAGCCCCAAATCAAGGGTGGTACTGCTTCCTTAGAGAAACAATGACATGGCAAGACATTATATTTCTTTCTAGAAAGTCATGCATTCATGCTCCTCTTATCCAAATTGTAGGCCACTGAGAAAGCTGGCTAATTGCAAAGGGGCTGGATTTCAGGGTGGGAAGAGTGAATGGGCCTTATTTTCTGATGAACACAGATGAAGTTGCAATTTGCCATCTTCAATCAACATCATCGGGAGGCATCAGCAAAGGCCACCCACTAACTGTGTTTTTGTAACAGAAATCTGAGATCCCTTCATATGACAGTTCTCAAGGTCAGCTTTCTGTGTTTTTCCATAGTGTCCTGCACTTATAGGATGATCTCAGATGAATTTGAATTGGTCTTCAATTTTGCTTTTGGATGCATATAAAATAATTCCTTTTGAAACAATACCCTCATGATTAAAAAACCACTGCAGCTAAAAATATTTAAATCAGGAAGAATCCCAAATAAAGAACTTGGCAAAACACATAAGATATGACAAAATTTTTGCTGGCAGAATATAAAATAGATATCAAAAGACTAAACTACACATACGGCACCATGAAGTGCTAGAGTTTTGCTTGGTATCGTTTTGCCCAAGATGTTTATACATCTCTATGTAACTGCAGCTAATCATATAAATTCTTTGTTTCAGTTTGAAATCTGCTCAGGTTGACACCTCCACTTTTGTGTTGATTTTCTCCCATCTTCTGATCTGTCTGCCTTTTTTATTTCTAAAGAATAAATTATTGGCAGAGCATGGGCTTGAGAAGCAGAGTTTTGATTCTCTTTAATTTTTTTCTTCTTTTCCTCATCTTCCTGTGCTTATCTCTGGCAACCCCTGATCTTAAACTCCAGACTTAACTCACATTATCTCAATAAACCCTTCTTGTTTTAATTCCCTGTCAGACTGATCTTTTCCTTTCCTCCCTCCTTCTTTTCCTCTCTATTTTTTATTTCTTTCCCTAGATGTCCTCCATTTTATGGGTCAACTATAAATTATAAACTGACACATATCATGGGTGGATTGTTCTGCTTGGTGGGCAAGGTGGTCACAACAGATTTCATGACATCAGCTTTTCCACTTAAAAGGGAAAGGCTTATCCTAAAACTAGGACCATTCTTTTCTTTTTGTTAAGACTTTCTCTGCCCAATTTCACTTTGGGCAAAGGAAAGTGTAAACAGTGATCATGGCTGTTATCCTCTCTCTACCCAAAACAGGGAAGCTTCACTCATGTTTTTGTTTGTTTATTTGCTTGTTTTTTAGAGATAGGGTCTCAAAAGAAAACTTCAGCCCAGCTTGAAGTCCACTAGTGCAATCACGGCTCACTGCAGCCTCGATATCCTGGACTCAAGCCATCCTCCCACTTCAGCCTCCCTAGTAGCTGGGACTACAGGCATGCACCACCAGGCCTGGCCAATTTTGTATTTTTTGTGGAGACAGGGTTTTGCCATGTTACCCAGGATGGCCTCAAACTCCTGAACTCAAGTGATCTGCCTGCATTGGCCTCCCAAAGTGGTGAGAATATAGGCTTGAGCCACCATGCCTAGCTTCACCAATGGGTTTTGAGGCTTTTGGGTAGACAGAGGTGATCCATGACAGCATTGGGAGTTTCTATAGGAAGCATTGTTTGGGAGACCAGAGGCCAGGAGCATGAGGATGCCAGGGTGTGGCAAGGGGTTCATCTCACTGTCTTTATTCCATTCAGCACCGGCGTCCCCCAGAGTAATAAGAGCTGTGAGCATCTCCAGGGCATCTGTCCAGGGAGAGCTCTCCTTCCTCTCTCAGACCTCACCACCCTCTGACTCTCTACTTCCTGGCAGCTTCTGTATCGTTCTTAATGTGGATGTGATCCCATGGTTGAGGTTTAGGGGTTTTTAGATCCCTAGATCTCACAGGGGCTGCTGTCACCTAGGAGCAGCAACATTTTCGAATATTTTCCCTTTAGCAAAAATTATTCAGTATCCTCCCCCTATTTTTTCTTTCCTAGGGAAATAACTCTAATGTTAAAACAATAGATCATTGGTTTCCATCTAGACCTGACTAGATTCCTCCTTCCTGTGATTTCATATCTCACTTTTTCTGAGTGTTCAGCCCACAGTGATTTTTCTATTTCCAACTCCCATAGAGGATACTAGGTCTCCCTGAGGGTGGGCACTGCTTCTTATTCTTTGTGAATCCCCAGAAGTGAGCAGAGGGCATGCCACTTGACTGGAACTCCATAGTACCTTCTGGAATTCACCATGCACTGATAGTGCAACTATTTTTTTTTCACATAAATATGTTTTGCTTTTCAGCTAGATTTCAACTCCCCGAGATTACTGCACCATGTAACCACCGCAGAGTGTGCTGTTCTTTGGATGGAGTTAGGTGCTCATTATAGACTTGTTTTGATAATCATGACTAAACATCACAAATGTTTTACTGAAATCTTTCACTGTGTCAGAAGTGTGATGGGCACATAGGATAAAACATGAAAAAACTTCCTGTTTTTTAGGAAGTCAAGTTATAGCATCATAATAATAACAATCTAGTTTTACTTACTAGATCCATGAGGTCTGGCAGAGATACTAATCTTAGCAAATACCCATTGATTTAATCACCATTATGTAGACCTGATTTTGGAAGCACAGTACCGTATTGTCATCTGATCGCCTGGCATGTTCATGTAAGGCTGGGATTGAATTGTTTTTGAACTGCCATGAGTCATGCCAATGAGCTGCATGCACTATTTCTCATTTAGTGTCTTGCCCATCTAAATTCAAACCAACTGTCAACACAGGCTCTGTGCTGGGCACTGGACAAAGAGAGAGCATATGTATTTGACACATTACTAATTCTCAAGGGCTCACAACTGGGACTTACATCAACACTGCTTACCCCTACTAGGAGGCAGACTGCTAAATTCAAGAATAGAGATAAAAACGTAGCATTACTGGAGTGATTAATTTTGACTGCAGTGATTCTGGCAGACTTCACAAATAAATTGACATTTGAGTTGGCCCTTGATATTGGATTTTGACAGGCAGAGATGGAAGGAAAGAGCAACCCAGGCAGGTGAAACAGAATGAAAAAAGGCACGAAAATGTGAAAGTTTCTTCCCTAAGTAAGCAGTGGAGGCAGAATACTTGGGCATGGTTTGAATATAGATTTTCTAGGGCTGCGAATGACCCAAATCAGGGGCTGCCGTGGCATTTTCCAGGTCAAATTAGGCCACTGGCCAAGATTTATTTGGCCTAGCACAAGGTTTTCCATTTTTCTGACTTGCTGCCAACATTTAAAAATCAGGAGTTTTCACAGACACATTTGGATTCTGGCTGCTCTTGAAGAAAATCTAACAATAGAGGGTCTGCATTTCCTCAAGGCAGCAACTGGCTGGCACTGAGTAATGGCTGTTCTTTTTAAACAGGCAAGAGCTCTTCAGCTTGTGACCATCCTAACTGGCCTCAATCAAATGACACAGGCAGGTGTTTGAGTTTGTGCCCTCTGACCTAAAAGCTTTACTGACTCCTGCATGCTGGGAGAGGTGGTGTCGATTGCAGGGAGCTTTATGCAGTGGTTGATTAAACACACATCTGGAAGACTCTTGGGAATTGGCAGACTCTTCAAGGAAGAGAAAGTATCAGGAAGTCATCCCAGCTGCTGCTCTGAGGAATCTTGCTTGTCTAATTAGATCTTAGGCTGGCACACCTGGTGGATTTTTCGAGGCAGGGAATAATGACCCTCACAGTTTAAAAGATCTCTTTCCATGGCAACCCACAATGCTTTAGTCAATTTGAGAGCTTGTTAGCATCACGTCTCTAGTTTATCTTTCCCTTATAAGTGAGTTTTCTTTCTTTCTGAATTGCATACTGGTGGCATGCCAACAAGAATCAAAATCCACTTTCAGAACAAAGGAGGAAATATATATGTGTTTTTTCTCTTTAATTTCCTTTGTTCAGCTCTTATGCCAGTCCGATATTCCTACTTCTTGGACCTTTGTGAGCCAACCTTTTATTTCCCTTTTTCTTATGGAAAAGTGCACTTTGATTGCACTGGTGCTTATGAACCAATGCAGGAATTTTTTTTTTTTTTTTTTTTTTTTAGACAGAGTCTTGCTCTGTTGCTCAGGCTGGAGTGCTGGAGTGCAGTGGCTTAATCTCAGCACATTGCAGCATCTGCCTCCCAGGTTCAAGCGATTCTCCTGCCTCAGCCTCCTGAGTAGCTGGGACTACAGGCACGTGCCACCACCCTACCCGGCTACTTTTTGTATTTTTAGTGGAGATGGGGTTTTGTCTTGTTGGCCAGGCTGGTCTTGAACTCCTGACCCTAAGTGATCCATCTGCTTCGGCCTCCCAAAGTGCTGGGATTACAGGCATGAGCCACAGTGCCTGGCCAATGCAGGACTTTTTAATACAAATGCATGTGAAGGCCCTCAAATGCAAACACACAGAAACATACGTAACAAAATGCACTTGTTTATGTACTGTGTACACACAGAGACCTGTGAGCTCTTGCTCATATACAAACTTGCTCTGTGCCTGATGCCTATTAGGAGTGAGAGGTTCCTAACTGACATAACCTTCTTTTCAGAAGAATAAAATAGAAGGTTACTGAGTCTACGAGCTAATCTGTCTAATTAGATGCCTCTGAGCAAAATGCATAAAATTTGCATGAATTATCTTAACATGCAAAGAATAGGATACTGGGAGGAAAACCCAAGAAAATTTGCATTTTGATGGGGGTGGGGGAAGTTTGAGGGCTATCATATAGAAGATCCTTTCTTTTATGTTTTGGGACTCAGTTCAAGAGGAGCTGCAGTGGGCTGACTAACATCAGCAAAGACAGCCCGTATATCCTTGGGCTCTGCAAGCAGTTACTCCAAGTCTTGTCTGCAGACTGTACAGTGGAACAGCCATCCAACCCCAACTGGGGAAACTTCATTAAGGCAGTGCAAAGTAATCAGTTTCAGTCCTGGCCTCTGGCTGGCTTGAAGGACAATCCCTTCTCAGCTGTAGGTGGCACTGTTGTATCTATTGTAAGAAGCGCTGTACTTCGGCTAGCTACATCACTGCTATTTAAAATGGAGGAAAAAGAGAAAAAAAATAAAATCCAACTCCCTCTTCCTCCTTGTCCCACTCCATCTCCTAACATGCACTGTACACCCTACCTGGGCAAACCTCCTCCATGCCACCCAGCGGACATTATATGTTGTTTAAGCTTATATGTTTTGTTTAAAATCAGTGGTTCTCTTAGGCCCTTTGCAGTGTATGTGCAATTTAGCTCTGGGATGTTTCATCTGAAGCTCAACTGCCTGAGATGATACTTGCTTCTCCCCATTCTCCTCCCCTCTACCCTCCCTATTTTTCCTTTCCCTGCTATAACTCACATTCACATAGTGATGGGTGGTATTGGAAGACAGACTGGGGAATAGTCTGTGTCTTGGACTCTGGAAGAGGCACTGGTTAGTAATAGAAATAAAAACCGCAGGAGCTGAGTGGCAGTGTGTGCTGGGGAGATGGCAACTTGACCGAAATGGGAGCGTGGGAAGAGAGCCAACTCTTGCTTCTCCCATTTCATTCTTTCTGGCAGTTCAGAAAACTGGTTTCCCCTGGGTTGACAGGCTTGGGCCAAATATGAGAATTAAATTCTGACATCTAGTTAGAGGTAGTGAGGTTGAGGTGGTGGAAGAAGAACCACTCCTTAGGAGTGCCTCAGCTTCCCCAGTGCTGAGATGGAACGTTGTACTGACCCATTAGGCAAAGCCTTATGGACAATATTAAAATGATGTGTATGGGAAAAAAAAGTGATAGGTTTAGGAGATGGGAGCTAATTCTCAAAACATTGTAGTATATAATGAAAAGACAGAAAAAATACAAGAAAAATAGGTAATATTTGGATAGCAACTTAAACTTTGCAAAGTTCTCCCACCCTCAATATGAAGCATCTTCTTTCCTCTCTCAGCATTGGTATCCCTGTTTCACATAGGAAGGCACTGGGTCCATTCAGTGACTTGCTCAAGGTCATGGAGGGAGAAGTAGAGCCAGTTCCTAAAACCAGGTTGTCTAACTCCAAGTTCTGCCATCTCTAGGTATTTGTTTCATTTTTTATTCCCAAATAAATACTGCAGTTGAGAAGCAATACCCAAGTCTAAAGAATCAACGTTTGATTCTTGCCACCCAAGAATCAAATCAAGATATTATGCTTAAAGCAATAAAAAGAGGTATCCAGTCTTTTTTTATTTGTTTGTTTTTAATGAAAATTCTGACTTTACATTGACTTCAGAAGCAATAACCTTAGGGTATCCTCTCTGTTCCTTTGTTAATTTTGCTGTTTTTTCTTTAGCTTATAATTTTATCTCTTTGAGCCTCAATGGTATCCTCTGTAAAACAGGTTGAATAAACTGTTTCTAAGCTTTGGGCATCTAGGGAAAACAAATTAATGCTTTATATGTCACTCAGGGTTCTTTGAATGAAAAATTCAAGATGAGCATTAGTTTTTATCATTGTTTTAATAGCAGTTTATTAAGCCAAAACCTTAGGGAATCATGTAAGAATATATGATTTCCTCTGCCTGATTACATCTTTATCTGTGAGTTTTGTAAAAGTTTACAATGGATGAAATAGTACTTAACAGCTTCATAAACCAAACTGTTATGCACAATTAAATGGTCTTCACTCTTATTATCTTAACTAATGAATTTTGCCAGGCATCTCCGTTATAGCTGTATGATTTATAAAGATTATATTTACTTTTTCTCCTTATAAGAACCTAATGAGACCAAATTGGTTGCATGTAATCAGACACTGGCCTTTTTCATCTCTTCGGGTTTTATTTACGAAACCTTATTAGAGCAAACGTACTGAGTAATATGCAGCGATAGCTAGGTTTTGCTTAATGATCCAAACAGCCAACATGGAATGCAGATAATGAAATGACAGGCTGATTACAAATGCGAGGAGAAAAGTAAATGTGCTCAGAGCCCATTTCTACAATCCTTACCTAGGCAGAACACCCATTAACATGTTTCAACCTAAGAACACATACTTCTACAGAGGCCTAAGATAAGACTGTAACACATATCTCAGAAACTGAGGGTTGAGTTGTTTTCCAGCAGTGTAGGATTGGGCCGAAGTATTATGTACAAGTGGTTTGTGTGGGATGATTATGCAGTGGCACCAAAGGTTTGATGAGCCCCAGTTCATGAAGGCAAACTGCAGGAGATAGTTCATGGAGCTTGCATTCAACAGCCACTACTAAAATAAATAATAATTTGGACTAACACGAGTGTTTTCCCTCTTAGAATCTCTTTTAGTGCTAAAACCTAATACAATCTGGATTGATATTATCCAAGTTAGTATTAATCACATGACAATCCTCTCTCAAAGATAGAAGCAGACTACATTAAGACATTGCTGGACTGTCTTAGTCCATTTTGTGTTGCTATAACAGAATACCTGAGGCTGGGTAATTTATAAAGAAAGGAGGTTTATTTAGCTCATGGTTCTGCAGGCTGGGAAAGTACAAGAAGCATGGTGCTAGCATCTGCTTGGCTTCTGATGAGGGCTTTTGTGTTGCTCCATAACATGGGGGAGAAGGTCAAATGAGAAGCAGACATGTGCAAAGAAGCAAAATCATAGGGGGATTCTGCTTTTATAACAACCTACGTTTGAAGGAACACTCCGGCAGGAACTAATCCAGTCTTGTGAGAGCAAGAACTCACTCAACTACTGCAAGAATGGCTCGAAGCCATTCATGAGGGATCTGCCTCCATGACCCAAACATGTCCCAGCAGGCCTTGCCTCTCAACAGTGCCATATTGGAAATCAAATTTCAACATGGGTGTGGATGGGGACAAACTCAAACCACAGCATAAACCAAGTGCCTAACATCAGTGCTTTTATCATGGCTGTACGTGTTGGAAGCTCTTAATCCACAATCTCTTCTTCCTTTCCTTACTGTGATGTTCCCTTATTTTAACAAAGCAAAGATTTACTGTACTTTTAGCAGTAGAACATGGAGCTGATTTTTTCTGATTTGACTTAGAAGGCCCTGAAGGAAGAGGGACAGCCTTATTGTTTTCCCAGATGTCACTCTTAAATATTTCCATTCTTCTGTAATATTTGACTTTGTAATGACTTGGCCATTCATAAAACTTTCCCAAGCAATGTTTGAACCCATTTATACATTTATATCCTCTCTGTACCAACTGCTGGTATAATGCATTTGGTAAGTTTATTACCCTTTGGGTGAACAACTTCCTCTATAAAGTTTCAAAGGGCGTCCTCTCATACTAGTATTTTGAGATTTGGTGAATAAATCAAAACAGAATAAATCAAAATCTTATTCATGTTATTGAAGCTTTTGTAGTTTAAGACGATATTCCCAATCTGGTCTTGACATTTACAGGCAACTGATACCTCCAGACCTTGGACTTCTGGTTGTTTTGTGTAACATTCGCTGCAGAATATCCCACTAGGAGAATGCTATTTGGGGATTTTCTTATCCAGGCCCTGTTCTTTATGTTTGTTTCCTTCACCTGACTAGACTACACTAGTCTAGAATAACCTAAAGTCAATGGGGAAAACAGTTATGGGATTAGATAATGCTACAGGCCACTGTTATTGTAGAATGAAGAAAGTCAAGCTCAAAGAAGTAAAGTGACTTGCCCAAGGTCACAGTGCTAGTTAAAAAGAGATCTGGATTGGAACTGGACTCTCAGATAAATATTCTTTCCAAGGACTTGCTAAAGGTCAAACTGCTAACTATTTTTTTGTTATCCTCATGTGGTCGAAAGTTCCCATGATCAAAAAGTATTGAGATTAGAATCTCGAAGTAGGCTGTTCTTTCTCCAATGCTCCCTCATTCCCCATCATGTCTTTCATTCTGGTGAATGTGTTCTTGGTCACTCTTGCCAGAGACCCAGTGTCTTGGTGCTACTTCCTACCTGCCTATGGCTTACCGTGTCCACCATGGTGACCTTTATGATCTGTGCTTCTGGCAGTCCCCATTTGACTTCTCTGCTACTTGCTCCTCTTCTCAATTCCATTAACCCACCATATGGCCCCTGCATCAAGACCTCCTACTCTGGTTTTACTACCATGGCCTTGATACCCTAAGGACAACAGTCAAACTGGATATACCATTCCCAGTGGAGATCCCCAGGATTTCAAATTCTTAAATGCTTTTATCCGCTCTCCTTTTCTTATTAAAATCAAACAAAGAGTAAATGTAAGGGCTGCATGTGGTGGCTCACTCCTGTAATCTCAGCACTTTGGGAGGCTGAGGTGGGAGGATCGCTCAAGGCCAGGAGTTTGAGACCAGCCTGGGCAACATAACATAGTGAGACCCCATCTCTACAAAAATATATACATATATATTAGCCAGGTGTGGTGGCGTGTGCCTGTAGTCCCAGCTACTCAGGAGGCTGAGGTAGGAGCATTGCTGGAGAATTGCTTGAACCCAGGAATTTGAAGCTATAGTGAGCTATGGTCACACCACTGCATTCCAGCCTCAGGCAACAGAGCAAGATCCTTTCTCTCAAAAAAAAAAAAAAAAAAAAGAAAAAAGGGTGAATGTTGAAAATGTTGTAGATCTCCAGGAATCATGATCAGTCTAGGAGGAAGATTAGATCTTTTCTTTTCACTATCCATTGCTTTCTGGTGTTGGCCTGCTCTGTAGCTGATCCTTTATACTTGACTCTGGACTTATCTTTTGCATAGAGGAGACAGTGCCATCATTTTGATGGTGTCCTTTCCTCCCAGAGGAATGCATGGGGTTTGAAAATGACCATCCACATGACAAGACAAGAGCACTCAAGGAAGGGGAATGCAGAAAACAGAGAAAAGGAAAGGACTATAGAAGGCTGGCTTTTCCTGGTACCACCTTGTATTTCTCCTCCCAGTTTTGTCTCATTTTGTTCTGTTTTATGGCTTTTAAATCTCCTTTCTGTGTCTCTCCCTTTCTTCTTACTGTAATACCCTCCTAGGCACATTTCTTCTTGAGCCGAAACACAATTTTTCTGGGTTACACTGTCCCAGAGAAGTTTCTCCTGGTGAACCCCCTCCAATTCTCCACCAATTTTAGCTGTCTTGATATGTTCTTCCCATTTGCCTGTTCTGTTTGGGATTTTGAATTTGAGGCAAACATTTACACCTTTTGCATTTAGAGTATATAAGATGTTATTTCAGGGCTTGGTGTCCTGTTATTTTCATCTGAAGCATTTGAGCCTAAAAGAATTTATTCTCCAAACTTCTTTATCCACATTTATGAGCATCTTGCAATAACAATGGTAGATGTTATCATTTTTAGTTACTTTGTAGATTGCAAAATGCATCTCCAGGCTTGCTTCATGTAGCTGCTTGACTTGCCTGCTCTGTGTAAAGGTTCCATGTATCTGTCTGATGGTTCTATCTCTCTTCTTTTGTAAGCTCATGGCTAGAGATGCCATTAATTCCTTCCACCCTGTTGTCTAGAAATACTCTGCACACAATGGACCCTTGATTTTCTGAATAGGTTTGTAAGTCTCAGTTGTTATTTCAAATGTCCCCACTACAGATTTATTCTAATTTAAGAAAACCCAACACAAACCACTAGAATTTACAGACACATATATTATTTGTATTACACAATGACTTATCACTGGACTTTCTCTAATAGCAAACTTCTTTAGCGTATTAAAGCTATTTTTATTTTAGAAGGCAATTTAATTTGTATGGAAAAATGCATGAACTGGAGTCAGTCACATTGATTGGATGTAATAAGAACACTTGATTCTTAGAGACAAATGGCCTGGTAGTATGTCTTTTGATCATATAGTTATGTCATACATGAAGGTGACTTTGACATTATTATGAATGGTAAGTTCTCAATTTACAGAAATGAAAAGTATGTAAGGATGGATAGTATAGAAGGAAGGAACAGTGTTCTCCTGGGTTTCAGTCCAGAGCCTAAAATCTAGAATCTATCCTAAAATGGATACATTGGAAAAGAACTGCCGACACACACACACACACATACACACACACACACACACACACACACACACACACACACAGAGACTATTCTACCCTCCTCTCCTCTACCCCCACTTTTTCAGGTAGGAAGAGGGCAGCCCCAGAATCGTGTTGACTTAGCTTGAGGACTTTGCTCAACCTTGCTAGGATCACTTCCTAGGCTTTGTGAGATTTGCCCCAGTGAGTTTCACTTTTGCTGTGACCAAGGCACACCTGTTCCCCAGGGCTGGACAAGAAAGCTATCAGGCCTTCCTGAGCCGGTCCAGCTCCTGGTTCAGCTCAGCCATGTGGAACCCTCCACGACTCACTTTCCTCTAACTGAAACAGCCAACCTCTCAGTCCCCTCATTCTCTCTCTCCCACTCTTGAAAGCCAATTTCCTGCTTCAATCTTATTCTTATGAATAGAAACACAGAGCTTGCATGGAGAATGAGAAACTACTGTATCATAGGAAGCAATCACACAGAACACAAAAAGCCATTCAAAGTAATTAAACTACTCCCATCCCCTTTTCTATATTTCTTTTCAGCTCAGCACTGATGGGCTGTTTATCTTTGCCACCACAACTGTGGCAGCGGCAGAGGAAACAGCAAGCCATTTTCTGCAAGGGCACATGCCGAGAGGGCAGAATTAAGACAAATGCTCTCATTCTTGGCTGCCAAAGCATTTTAGCTTCTGAAAAGCAAGGGAAGCAATGCCATCACCCTGTGAAGAAATAAATAAATAAAGGCCCGGTGGCAAGAGAAGCTTCTGGGTGATTTTCCACTTGTCAGAGGAAAAGGGGGATGGGGCCAGTGAAGATGGGGGTGAGAGGGAGGGGGGAGCTCATTATCTTCCAGCCCCTGAAGCTTTTGTTCTCTTCAGCTGTGCTAAGGAGGCTGCAGCTCTGCTCCCAGCTGTGCAGAATCTTGCAAGCGAACTAAGAAGAGTCTGAGACCAGCAATATGACTCCAGCAGGCATCGCTGCAGGGAGATGACAGCTGGGCAAGAAAGTGGAGCCCCCAGATTCCCAGTTAGCAAGACTGAGCTAACAGGGCTCTCCATGTTAATACCTGCATGGATGCTTTTCCAGTACAGCTGCAGAAAGAGACTGCTGAGAGGTTTGCCTGAGGGCTGTTTGCAATTTTTTCCCTTTTGTCCTGGCCCCAGACTGTCCATAGCAGCTGCTGCACCTTGGCGAGCATCATGGGGGAGTTTAAAGTTGGAGAAAAAGGGAGGATCTTAGAGTGGTTCAATCGCATCTACTGCTCAATATCACAAACGCATCTTGAATGTGTTTGTTCTGTTGTGAAAATCAATGCTTCTTCAGAATAGCTGGTGTTGGGACTTCAGTAAGAGAGCTCGAGGAAGTTTGCCTAAAGAAGGGCTTCTGGGCTGTCAGTAAGTCAGGCAGTCAGTCCACAGCTCTTTCTAGGTGGAAACTGAGAGGTGTTACAAAGGACCTACATGAAAAACCTAACAACCGGTTCTCTGTGGAGAAGCCTGGACTGCTTAGAAACATATGCCCCTTAGGGGTGTACTCTCACCTGCTACTACTGCAGTCTACCAGACCTGCTGCTACCTTTTTTGGGGTTTCAAGCAACTTTCCATCTAATAGACAACCTAACCCAGCTTGAAGATTTTTGCAGAGGATGGTCCATAAAATGCCAAATCAAGCTACATGGACCATCTCAGGTTTATTTGAGGACTAAGTAGCTTGCATTCCACTCCTGGGCGCTGCCCCACTCTCCACTGCACCCATAGATTTACCATGGTAGATTTAACTTCCCGGTTGAGGAAAACACCAATTTCAGAGTAGCCCCAGAAGCCCTGCCTCCTCTCCCTCCCAAGTCCCTGTGGCCTTGCAGGGAGCTGCCTGTTTGGTTTAATCTGGGGAGCTGGCACCTCTCCCATTCCCTACTGTCAGGCCTGCACTGTTCAGCATTCTTGTTTTTGCATCTGTCATTATCTTTTGTATGCAAAGAGGTTTAATGTGCAATAAATGTAAATGGCCAGTATATAGTCTGTGTTTTATTAACTTCCATTTGAGCCTGTTGTCAGTGACTACTCTGCCTTGCCAGGATTCATTAGCAAGACCCCCAGCCCTTGGTTTCTGCAACCGCCCAGTGGGTTCCTCTTGCCCACTTCCCAGACAGAATAGATTTTTCAAGACAGGGGAATTGCAATAGAGAAAGAGTTTTACACATGTAGAGCTGGCTAAATGGAGGACTGGAGTTTTATTATTACTCAAATCAGCTTCCTCCAAAATTTGGAGGCTAGAGTTTTTCAAAGATAGCTTGGGGCGAGGGTTGGCTAGGGAATCGGTGCTGCTGATTGGTTGGAGGTGCAATCATGGGGATGTGGAAAATGGTATGGTTCTTTTGCACTGAATCTGCTTCTGGGTGGGGCCACAAGACAGGTCGGTGGGTCCTGGTGGAGCCATTCATCATCAGAAATGCAAAACCCCAGAAAGACATTTCAAGTGGCCAGTCATAGGTTCTGCAATTGTGAGGTTATCTGCAGGAGTAACTGGGGAAGCTGCAAACCTTGTGGCCTCCAGAGTAATGACTGGTAATTGTTTAAATCTACACCTTAGCAGAATTCAGGCTCCTCATCCTCCTAACCTGGTGGTCTCTCATTAGCTTTATAAACATGGTTTAGTTTTGGGGAAGGGCTATTATTTAAACTATAAACTAAATGTCTCCCAAAGTTAACTTGGTCCAAGTCCAGGAATGAGGGCAGTTCAGAGGTTAAAGACAAGATGGGGGTAGATTAGATCAGATCTGTTTCACTGTCATAATTTTCTTACTACTATAATTTTTGCAAAGCTGGTTTCATTTTCTTTGCTTGCCCTGTCTCATTTCCAAAAGCTTCTTTGCCCAACTTCTATTTCTGCAGAGCCCACTGTGCCCTCCTCTAGCTTTCAGGGTGAAGGGTACACACAAACTTTCCATGGCAAAGTCTTTCTGGGATGGTTTACTTCAACCATTACCCAGACTTGACCTATCTTATGTGTGACTGTGACAGCAGGTGGAGAACTACTGAAACTATTTCCTAAATTTAGGTAAAATCAAATGTTGCTACCTAGTCATGACCATCAATCTTTTCTCCCCTACTTAAATATTTTTCAAAGATCCAGTCTTGTAATAATTTCACCTGCTTTGCGAAAGTGTTCAATATGCTAAATAAAAATGATAATTCAATTTATTCTCTCAGTAGGAATCCTTGTAAGGTACAGGGGAGATGGGGTAATGCCTACCGAAAAAGAAATTGAGTCTGTGGGGGTAATGGCAAAAAATCTCGGGATTCTTGACTCTCAGGGCAAGTGCATCGACATTCAAATGTCATTGAGTTTAATGTGCCTCCTTAAGTACTTACCTGACTACTTAGGATTGATTCAAGTAATGTGGAGACATTTTAATTCTGACTTTTGGGTGAAAATTCAAAGTAGCACATTCACGGAAAATGTGTTTTTATAATATCTCCTAAGAGGCTTACCCAGTAAACATTTCTAATTTGAGAACCAGAGAACAGTTGCAAGTCAGATACTGGGGTGGATGGGGGAAGCACTGTACTGAAACAGTGCAGCCATCACAATCATGGAAGGTTGGGGATGGCTATGACTGCTCCAAGGCTGCCGGTATACACTAGGGGACACAGAGAATTCACTGCCACAGAGTGCAAATGTCTTCCTTCCCAGACCTGGCAATGGCTTCAAGTAAGGGATTTCAAGTATTCCTGGATGGATTCTTTTATCTGCTATTGTATAAATGATTCTAAACTTTTCTGAGTGAATGTTAAGGAGGGAAAATGGGTTAGAGATATCAGAAGTGTATGCAGTGCTACAAACTTCCACAAATGCTGCCTCAAAAATACTGCAGCCCTCACTGTGGTACTTCTCCAACTCACAATGGAGTTCCTGCTTCAGAGTTGACAAAAACAAACAAACAAACAAAAACCCCAAAAAGCCACATTTCATATTGAGATATAAATCACATGGTGTATTAGTCTGTTCTTATGCTGCTAATAAAGACATACCCAAGACTGGGTAATTTGTAAAGGGAAGAGGTTTAATGGAATCACAGTTCCACGTGGCTGGGGAGGCCTCACAATCATGGTGGATGGCAAGGAGAAGGAAACTCATGTCTTACATGGATGGTGGCAGGGAAGAGAAGAGAACTTGTACAGGGGAACTCCCCTTTATAAAACCATCAGCTCTTATGAGACTTATTCACTATCATAAGAACAGCGTGGGAAGGACTTGCCTCCATGATTCAGTTACCTCTCACTGGGTCCCTCCCATGACCCGTGGGAATTGTGGGAGCTACAATTGAAGATGAGATTTAGGTGAGGACACAGCCAAACCATATCACATAGCATACACTGCAACCATTTGAAGTATACAATTAGTTGGTTTTTAGTAACTCACAGAGTTGGGCAACCATTATCCAGCAATTCTAGAACATTTTCATTTGCTACTTGTATCTGGTAGCAGTAACTCCTCAGCCCTTGGCAACTGCTAATCTATTTTCTGTCTCTATAGATTTGCCTATTCTAGACATTTCATATAAATAGAAAAATTTAATATGCAGTCTTTTCTGACTGATTTCTTTTACTTAGCATAATGTTTTCAGGGTTCATTCATGCTGTAGCACATATTGATACTTCATTCTTTTTATTGCCAAATAATATTCTATATAATGGATAAACATTTTATTTATTCATTTATCAGTTGGTGGACACTTCGGTTGTTTACACTTTTTGGCTATCATAAAAATGCTACTATGGGGCAGTCATGGTGGGTCACACCTGTAATCTCAGCACTTTGGGAGCTTGAGGTAGGAGGATTGCTTGAGACCAGAAGTTTGAGACCAGCCTGGGTAACATAGCAATACCCCTGTTTCTATAAAAAAAAATAATAATACAAAGTAAAAATAAAAGTATAATGATTCTATAAATATTTATGTACAAGTTTTTGTAGGGACATGTGTTTCCGTATCTATTGGGTATATGCCTAGGAGTGAAATTACTGGTTCATATAGTAACTCTATGTTTAGCATTTTGAGAACTGCCAAACTGTTTATCAAAGTAACTGTACTGCATTACATTTTTACCAGTAATTCATGAGGGTTCCAGTTTCTTCACATCCCACCAATGGTTTTTTTTTGTTTTGTTTTTTTCTTTTTTGAGATGGAGTCTCACTCTGTCACCCAGGCTGGAGTGTAGTGGCGCAATCTCGGCTCACTGTAACCTCCTCCTGCTGGGTTCAAGCGATTCTTATGCCTCAGCCTCCCGAGTAGCTGGTGTGCACTACCACGTCTGGCTAATTTTTGTTTTTTAGCAGAGATGGGGTTTCACCATGCTGGCCAGGGTGGTCTCGAACTCCTGACCTCAAGTGATGCGCCTGCCTCAGCCTCCCAAAGTGCTGGGATTACAGGTGTGAGCCACGGCACCCGGCCTAATGCTTGTTACTGTCTGTCTTCTTTGTCCTAGCCATTTTTGTGGGCATCAAGTGACACTGCTCTGTGGTTTTCATTTACATTCCTCTAATGGCTAATGATGCCAAGCATCTTTTCATGTGCTTGTTCGTTTGTGTATCTGCTTTTGAGAAATGTTTGTTTAGATTCTTTGTCTATTTTAAAATTGGATTATGTTTTTATTGCTGAGTTGTAAGAGTTCTTTACATGTTCTGGATAAAATTCCTTATGTAAAAGATTTGCAAATATTTTCTCCCATTCTGAGGTTGGATTTTGCACTTTCTTAAGGATATTATTTGTAGCATAAGGCTTTTAAATTTTGAAAAAAGATAAAAAGTTTTCTTTGTTTCTTGTGCTTTGGGTGATGTATTCCAGAGATAACATTACAGTATAAAAAACAAAGAGCTCTCAGGTATAGCAGGGATACACTGGCATACATTTGAGGCAAAAAGAAGGGAAAGGCTACATGCTAATTAAACTAATTCACTTTATCATGTAGATCTGTTTTTACTGATTTTATTTTTATTTATTTATTTATTTATTTTGAGACAGAGTTTCACTCTTGCCCAGGTTGAAGTGCAGTGGCGCAATCTTAGCTCACTGCAACCTCTGCCTCCCAGGTTCAAGCGATTCTCCTGCCTCAGCCTCCTGAGTAGCTGGGATTACAGATGTGCACCACCATGCCTGGCTAATTTTTGTATTTTTAGTAGAGAAGGGGTTTTCCCATGTTGGTCAGGCTGGTCTTGAACTCTGGACCTCAGGTGATCCACCCACCTTGACTCCCAAACTGCTGGAATTTTACAGGCATGAGCCACCCTGCCCAGACTACTGATTTTACTTTTAAAAGACTTCTATGGTTACACATATTTTAAATTTATGCAAATATTTTGTTTGTACATATTATATCTTCATTTGAGGAGAAAAAGAAGTGTTACCAATGCTGTTTTATAGATTTAAAAGCATGCTCTAAATTAACTGTGATTTAAACAGGGCTTCCCTGTATAGAACTTAAAGTCCTTCCCTCATTTTTGTTTTTGTTTCATAATATTCTTATACATGAGGATGATGATCTACCACTTGTCCAAACTGTCCTTGGTGGTAAGCTCACTGAGAAGGCTTAGCCCTATCACTTATAGATGACTATAAGTGCTCAACTTCTTCATGATTTGTAGAAGTGGATCAGACTAGGCAAGATCAAGACTTGTGCAAATTAAATGGGAAAATTAACATAAAAATTAGACTCTTAAACATTCAAGAGATTTGCTTTAATAAGATTGAGGGCTACCTATTTTGTTTGTGTCAATGATCCTGTGAGGCTAGGCAGCTGAATGAAGTTATTTCCAATTCTTTGTACTAGAGTACATATGTTACTCAGTAACAGCTATCAAGGCAAAAGTATTATTTTTTTCTGAATAAATAAGAAATCAAGGCTGGGAGTGGTGGCTCATGCCTGTAATCCCAGCACTTTGGGAGGCTGAGGTGGGCGGATCACTTGAGGCCAGGAGTTTGAGACCAGCCTGGCCAACATGATGACACCCTGACTCTACTAAAAATACAAAAATCAGCCAGGCGTGGTGGCGCACACCTGTAATCCCAGCTACTCAGGAGGCTGAGGCAGGAGAATTGCTTGGACCTGGGAGGCGGAGGTTGCAGTGAGCCAAGATCGTGCCACTGCACTCCAGCCTGAGTGACAGAGCCAGACCCTGTTTCAAAGAAAGAAATCAGTGTTTGTTTAGAGTTTGAAAGTTATGATCTCTTGTTGCTGAATGGACTTGTGAAATTCTGCACTATCAGAAATGGAGTCTGTATTCAAAAATAGTGGGGATAAGGGCTGTCGTCTCAGCTGTTTTCTGTTGCTTTAACAGAATATCACAGAATGGGTAATTTTTAATGAACATAAATGTATTTGGCTTACAGTTCTGGAGGCTGGAAGGTCCAAGAGCATGGCACTGGCATCTGGCAAGGGTCACCCCCCTGGCAGAAGGTGAGAGAGAGATAGAAGCAAGGACATGAGACATAGAGAAAATCAGGCTGAACTCATCACTTTGTCAGGAAATCACTCCCACAATAATGAACCTACTCCTGCAATAATGGCATTCATCCATTCATGAGAGTGGGGCCCTCATGACCTAATCACCTCTTAAAGGCCCCACCTCTTAGTACTGTTAAGTTGGCAATTAAATCTCCAACACATGAACTTTTGGGGGATGCATTCAAACAATAGCAGCTGTATTAGTCTGGGTTCTACAGAGAAAAAGAACCAATAGACAATATGTAAAATAGGGAATTGGTTCACATGGTTATAGAGGGCAGAGAATTCCCAAGATCTGCAGTTGGCAAGCTATACTTCCAGGGGAGCTGTTAGTATAGTTCCAGTCTGGGTCCAAGTGCCTGAAAACCAGGTGAGATGATGATGTTAGTTCCAGTCTGAGTCCAAGTCTGAAAGTAGGAGAAGACTGATAGCTTAGCTTGAAAACAGGCAGAGAGAAATAATTTTCTCTTATTTTGACTTTTTGTTTTATTTGGACTTTTATTAGATTGGAAGAGGCCCACCTGTATTGAGGAGGGCAGTCTACTTCACTTAGTCTATGAATTCAGATATTAACCTTATCCAGAAACACCCTCATAGACTCACCTAGAATAATGTTAACCAAGTATCAGGATACCTCATGGCACAGTCAAGTTGACACATGCAATTAACCATCACAAGGGTGTTGTAATGGCTTAGCTCCATGTGCCTACTTTGCAGTCTGTACTAAACTTCCTGGAAAATAATTTCTTAAAGCTATAACCTTAAGGTACACAGTGAGGTGATGTGATTCCCATAAATTGCAATCCCATAAAATTTATTACTTAGGATACAAAAATATTCTAAAGAAAGAACTGTTTCAAAGAGGCAGGATAAATTTTAATCAGCTCTTGCTTTCATACCTACTCTGCCAACCTCTCAGACCACTTCTTATTATAAATTCACATAATTGGAGAAGGTTGAAACAGTGCCCAGGATTCAGGATAGTATGTGAAGCTACTAATCCTTTCAGTGAGCAATTGGGCTTTCCTTCTGTACACATTTGGGAGACAAGGTTCTCATGGCAGCAAGTGCTAGTGGGCCTGAATTTAATTATTACGAACTCTTGCATTAGTAAGTGCAAATGCAGCTCCAGCAGGCCAAGAATACAGCCTTCAATCTGTGCTCATGCTTAAAAATCACCAGGACCTTCAGACATGAAGAACTCTTCATGTTATTAGTGTTGCCATTTTGGAAATGTCAATGATTGCTCAGAGTGTCCCATGGAAGGTTTTGGCTCAGGGATCTGAAGTGAGAAAAATGGCATTAGCTGTGTAAGCCCCCTTGTGTAGCTTGCATGCTCTTTCTGCCTTCATCTCCATATCTCTTAGGAATATTTTAAGCTCCTCTGGCAACTGAACATACCTTCTATTGACTGCAGGATATTAACAGGTTATGCAAACAGAGAACCAATGAAATTAATTGAAAGTAGAAAAGTTTAGTCAAACAATTATTTAGAGTCCAGGAGAGGGGGCTGGGAGGCAATGGACAATAGGGAACAGGCATCACAATATCAGATCATAAGTTTTAAAATTTATTCTCCTCAGAGAACTTATTGGATGTGTGAACAGGTTTCTATGAAACCAAAGCAGCCAACTGACATGGTCGATTCAGTCAATTAGCACTGGCTTCTTTTCAGGCTTGTTCTCTGAGGTGCATGTAAATTATGCAGGGTTCACTGCAGAATTTTGAGCAGGTAAAATCATTGCACAGAGCAGTCTCTGCCCACTTTGCAGAATTAGGATCTGCAAATCCTAAGACTATGTAGTCTTAATAATTGCAGAATAGTAAATAATTCCCAACTTTGTCATGGGAGGGTTGGAATAGAGATGAAATTCTTTCAGGTTTTGAAAACCCCAAACTGACACAATATGGAGCCAGAAGAGAATGGGCTCAATGATCATGAATCCAGTTGTTAGCCTCTTTCAGCCAGAGAGAAACCTAGAATATGAGTAAAAAGGCTGAAACACTTACACATTTTCTTGCATGTGTTTAAACCATGAGGTGATGATTTGTGACTATCCCCAGTCTTCTGCCTCCTTCAGTCACATGTCAACTCATTTGCCTTGGGATTCCCCTGTCATTTTGTGCTTATCATTATTATCTCTACTTTTTAAAGCAGACAGTGTAGTTATTTGAGCACTTGTCTTAATTCATTTTTCTTTTTGTATGCAAGAATGTTAATATTTATCTTCTTATATTTTCTATTCCCCATACAGTAAATTATGCATATATTTTGCAAAAAAAATGAATGAATGTATACCCAATTCCATTTGAACTATAGTAGCCTGCATGTAGAGCAAAAGGAATGACCACAGCTCATAGAGAAACAGTATACTCAAGAATGCTAGTAAATTTAAAAATAAAAAAATCATTAAATTTTTTATTTTAGGTTCAGGGCTACATGTGCAGGTTTGTTATATAGGTAATTAATTTCGTGTCACGTGCATTCATTGTACAGATTATTTTGTCATCCCAGTGCTAAGCCTAGTACCCAGTAGTTGTTTTTTTCTTCTCCTTTTACTCCTCCCACCCTCCCCCTACAGGTAGGATCCAGTGTCTTTTTTCCCTCTTTGTGTCCATGTGTTTTCATCATTTAGCTCCCACTTATAAGTGAGAACATATGGTATTTGGTTTTCTGTTCCTGTGTTAGCTTGCTAAGGATGATGGCCTCCAGCTCCATCCATTTTCCTGCAAAGGACACGATCTTATTCTTTTCTGTGGCTGCATAGTATTCCATGGTGTATATGTGCCACATTTTCTTTATCCAGTCTACCTTTCATGGGCATTTAGGTTGACTTCAAGTCATTGCTATTACGCACAGTGCTGCAATGAACATATGTGTGCATGTGTCTTTATGAGAATGAAACAATCATTTTTTTAAACAAAGACTTTCATCATGATACACAGAGGGACATAGTTATTCTTGGAAATATTGAACTAACAGTTCATTATGTGCAAGTTTATATGATGGGAAGAAAAATTCAAAAATTTAACACTTTTGTTCTAAATCAATTGGCTTGGCAAATATCTCCTTTATTGCATGTCTTAAATTTTGTCTTATGAAACATGCCATGTGAACAAAAGGGTATATAAACTGTATATGTCCAGTTTGAAGAATGATAATAAAATAAACATCCATATTCCCACCACCCTGGTTAAGATATAAATGATTACCATAGAAGCCTCTTTGTGCTTTCTCTTCAGACAACCCATCACGCACCCCTCTTCCCAGGCTCACAGACATTATTTCTACTTTTAACAAGGATACATCTATGAATAGGTAATAAATAAGGTATTGTTTAGTGTTTTCTAGATTGTATAGGATAATTTTTTTGGATGGAAAGATTTAATATTATAAAGATGTCAGTTATTTCCAGATTAAACTAGAGACTCAGTAAGTTTCAAAAACAGTCTCAAGTATTTTTATGGAGTTTGAAAATGTGATTATAAAATTTATATAGATAGAAAAGGGCCAGAAAGAGCCAAGACACTCTTGGAAAAGTGACATAAGATATGTATGGGTTGTGTGGGGAGCTTGCCCTACCAGATATCAAGACTTATTGTAAAGCTAGAGTAGTTAAGATCTTGTAGCACTGGGTGCAGACATGGACAAGACCCACAGGACAACAGAAACACAAACAGAGCCATAATTATATGACAACTTGATATATGACAGAAGCTGCATTGCAGACCACAAGGAAATCATTATTCATACAAACAAAAATGAAATTGCATCTCTACTTCAAACTATATATAATACTACATTCCTATTAAGGATAAATATGAAAGTTAAGAAAGTCAAAACCATAAACATTTCAGAAGAAAATACAGGAGAATATCTTTATGGGGTCTGGTTGTGAATGACTTTTTCCACAAGATTAATAAAAAAGGACAAATATAAAGGAAAAGGTTAATACATTCAACTGCATTAAAAAATAAGAACTTCTGTTCATTGGAAGACACCATAAAGAGAGTAAAAAGACAAACCATAAACTGAGAAAAGATATCTTTCAAAAAAATGTAATCAACAAAGATTTAGTAGCCTAAACATATAAAGACCTCCTATGAATCATTAGGCAAAAGTTAAACAACTAAATTTAAAGATGGTCAAAAAGCATGAATATAAATTTCAAAGAAGGAATCTATAACCCATAAACAGATGAAAAGATGCTTAGGCCAGGTGTGGTGGCTCATGCCTATAATCCCAGCACTTTGGGTGGCCGAGGCAGATGGATCACCTGAGGTCAGGAGTTTGAGACAAGCCTGGCAAACATGGTGAAACCTCGTCTCTACTAAAAATGCAAAACTTATCTGAGCATGGTGGCACGTGCCTGTAGTCCCAGCTACTCAGGAAGCTGAGGCAGGAGAGTTGCTTGAACCTGGGAGGTGGAGTTTGCAGTGAACCAAGATCGTGCCACTGCACTCCAGCCTGGGAGACAGAGCCAGGCCCTGTCTTAAAAAAAAAAAAAAAAAAAAAGAAAAGAAAAGATGCTCAACTTTGTTAGTATTCAGTGAAATGCAAATTGAAATCGCAATGAGACTGCATTTCATCTCTACCAGATTGGCAAAAGTTAATAGAAGGTTTCTCTCTACCAAGCTTTTGTAAAAATGTGGAGAAACAAAACAGGATCTCTCATCCACTTCTGGTAGAGTATAAACTGGTTCAAAACAATGTGACACTGCTTAATCAATTTAAAAGCACTATATTACTTTATTAATAGAAATAGATGGCAGGGAAGAGGGGAAGTCCTTGGAATTATCATTAGATGTTCATAGAAGTCAGACTGTACTGAGAAGGAAGAGAGGAAGATCACGGTTCATTCTTTGCTGGGAGAATTCTCAACAGCTTTTCTGAAGCTTGGCATTTTTGCATGGATCAATTTGTTTCTTAGGGAAACGTGAAACTTCGTCATATCTGAGAAATCTTTGGTGCTAACAGCTGATTTATAGAATTCAAGTAAACAACTTATTTTAAATGTTAAGTCTTCCACAGCATAGATCTGCACACCATTTGCAGGAGCTGTATTTGTGGTTTTAGGGTTGTATAAAGTTAGAAGCAGCAAGGATCTTATAGGTTGTGCTGTTGTGCTGTCTAAAAGCTCTGATCACTTGTCCCAGATGGGTGAGGAATTGCAGGCCTTGTCTAGTGGGTTATAGATACCTTTGGTTACCATGGTTTAGAGTCATCTCTTCAGTCACATTGCCTGAGTTACAATTTGAGCTCTTCCAAAAGACCTTAAAACAGCAGTTTGGATCTATATTTCTAGTAGCAAATGTAGGAACAAAAGAACCGCAAAAAAAAAGAAAAAATTCTTAAAGTGATCATCATACTCATATTATCCGCAATAGTTTTGGTACTGTCATTCTTGTGACTATTGTGTATAGAGTAGAGTAAATTAAAAAAGTGATTGTGTGATCGGCGGATTCTTTCCTTGCTGGTGTCATTGAGAACAAAAACCACTAAGGTTTTGTCAAAAGGTTTCAGGAGACAACTTGAGTTTGGCCAATTATATAACACGTGAACATCAATAAAGATAACTGTAATAAATTTAAATACACATATAATGAAATCCATGAATTTACCATGAAACTGTTTATAACAGTTCTGAGAAAACAAACACATCTGCTCACCACAGAAGAATGCTAATGAATTCACTCGTCACTTTGAAAACTGATACATAAAGGGAAAGGATCAATATTTATTTTGACGTTCCCATGAACTATATCATTGGATAATTGAATAATAGATATAGGGAAACAATCTTTATAGAAATATCTCTGCTAATAAAATAAGAATGATGCAATTAGACTATTATCGTATGGCCTCTCCTGATAAACTGCTGGATCTAGGCACTGAACATAATGCAGTTAACATTATAAAAAGAGAAATAACCAGCCATTACATACCACTAACTGAAGAGTGCACCACTGCTTCTAAAGTAGTCTTCCTAAAAAATCAAGCCTGAGTCTGATCAATTCCCTACAACTGCCTGGCAATACAGGAAATTCAAAAGATGAAGGAATATATTTAACAACAGCAAGGAGATGTAATCAGTGGAATCCAGTCTATTGGAAGTTGCACAAGGCAAGTGACCTAGTTTCCTTAAAAATAAATTACGAGAAAAAAAAAACAGAGAAAGAGGGCACTTATAAATTCAAGAGACATCAACCAATTGGAAAATGTGGACCTCATTTAGATCTTGATTCAAACAAGCAGGCTCTAAACGCCAAACAAAAGCACTAGCTTTCCTGTGGCTAATTAGACGCCTATTTAAAAATGTACATTTACTTATTCCCTCTAAGCCTCAGTTTCCTCATCTATATAGTGGAGACAATAAATATACCTTCTTTATAGGGCTTAATTGAAATGAATGAAATCATGTTTGTAAAACACAATGCCTAGTACATTGTAAGGACTCAATAAATACTATTATTATCACCAAAGTTGGTGTTAGAAGCTTGATAAGCAGTTTAGTATATGATTATCATATTTGAAAATTGAAAAATTAAAAAAAAAAGAGACAAGTTGGTAAGCCAAACAGGTTGGCAAGGGGGTAGCTGGTGTATAAGCAAGATAGATATAAGTTGTAAGAAAGTGAGAATGAGGAATACTTGTCCAGAGTTCTGGAATTATCCACAGCCTTCTAACCAAGTGCTCAGAGACTCTGGTGTGGGTTTGTCAAGAGTAGAGAACATGACTACCAAGGAGTGAACACACCCTGCAATGCGTTACTCACTAAGGCTGGGATTTGCTCAAGGCCTCACTTCCAGACTGTGGCAGAGCTGCGACTCAAATCCAGATTTCTTGACTGCTGAGTTCAGTGCTCTTTTTTCTCCACCACACCCCATCATCACATACATATTTTATTAAGGTCAAAATGACAAAGAAAGTAGAGGTTTGGGTGTGAAGAACAAATTCTGATTTGTTTGCAATATTGTTAGAAGTGCTCCTGGAATAGGAAAACATAGTAAAGGATGCAAAAAGAGGGAGTAGACAATTTTGCATTTTTCTCCTATGCTACTTTTATATCTTTTAAGATATAAAAGACCAGATGAAAGTTGCCAGATGAAACTCTATGTATGTAATTGATGCAATAGGAATAAAATCACATACAATATCCTGAAAATAGCCTTGTGAATATAATAATAATATTATTGTGATCATCTTTCAGTTGAGGAAACGGGATTAGCAAAGTTAAATATCAGTTGAAATCACACAAGCAGAAGGGGGCACAGCTAGGACTTAAACCTAGCCAGCTGTCCGTTCCACCTTCACTGAGGTAACACATAGCCTTATAAAAGGGAAAGAGTTCTGGTATTTTTATGAATAGAGAAGTAAAATATTACTCATCCTTAAAAGAAACTGGAGTTTTTTTTAAGTGTTTCTCCTTGATTTCCTTTGAGAGTATGATTTTTAAACCATGAAATAAAATATTCCTTAAGGGCAAAGTAATAGTTTCAATAAGATTTCAGTTATTCCTGCTTTAAGTGCTCTGTGCACCTATTATTTCTTTAAGGGCCTACCCATTAAATAAATCTCATTAAACACACTACCAGTATTACAATTACTTTTCTCATTATTTGCTGTTATTACCATTATGGAAATCATATATAAAAATTCTAGAAAATTGTCTTTTCTGGTTGTTAAAATAAAACATTGTATTTTAGGGATGTCATTTTGTGTTTGAAACTTGATTTTAAGCTACATGTGAGTTAAGAAACTAGAAGGGATGAAGTCTAGACTGACCAGTGTTCAGAAACACGGAAATAATTTTACCATGACTGCTAAGTCTTTGTCTCAAGATAAGTCATTTTATTCTCACTTGTGGTTAAAGAGAACTTTACAGAGAAAAACTGTAGACAGACTATAGATGTTACGTCTCTCAAGGCATTTCTTCTCATCGTCTTTTTCTTAGAAGACCATCAAATAGCAAAGTCATGAAATCAACCTAGGTACCCATCAACAGTGGATTGGATAAAGAAAATGGGGTGCATGCACAATGCAATGCTTTGTAGTCATAGAAAAGAATAGAAAAGAACGCAGCTGGAGGCCATTATCCTAAGTGAATTAACACAGGAACAGAAAACAAAATACTGTATGTCCTCACTTAAAAGCAGGAGCTAAACATTGGGTACTCATGAACATAAAGATGGCAACAACAGACACTGGGGACTCCTAATGGGAGGGAGGGAGGTGAGTATTAAAAAACAGTTGGGTAATATGCTCAGTACTTGGGTGACAGGATCATTTGTCCCCCAAACCTCAGCATCATGCAGTATACCCAGGTAACAAACCTGCACATGTACCCCCTAAATCTAAAATAAAAGTTGAAAAAAAAAAAAGACCATCAAAACTTTAAGAGACATTTTTTGGCTTTGCTTTTTTGCTTTGGCCTGATGATGTTACAGAATCCCCCAGGGTGCAAGAGAAAAACCTTAATTATAGAATGAGAATTAGAGAAGATTGTTTTGATTTATTTATTTATTTAGAGATGGAGTTTCGCTCTTGATGCCCAGGCTGGAGTGCAGTAGCACAATCTCGGCTCACTGCAACCTCCACCTCCCGAGTTCAAGCGATTCTCCTGCCTTAGCCTCCTGAGTAGCTGGGATTACAGGTGCCCGCTGCCACACCTGGCTAATTTTGTATTTTTAATAGAGACAGGGTTTCTCCATGCTGGTCATGCTGGTCTTGAACTCCTGATCTCAGGTGATCTGCCTGCCTCGGCCTCCCAAAGTGCTGGGATTACAGGCATGAGCCACCACGCCTGGCTGAGAAGATTGTTTACATGGGAGAGAAACTCTTCCAAGATTCTTTTTGATAGCTCATGGATCACTACTATTTACAAAAAAAAAATACTGTTTTTTTTTGTCTCTTACTTTTGTACATCTTCATGCTATCTAACAAGCCCTTTTTTGTTTTTTGAGATAAAGTTTCGTTCTTGTCCCCCAGGCTGGAGTGCAATGGCACAATCTTGGCTCACCGCAATCTCTGCCTCCCGGGTTCAAGCGATTCTCCTGTCTCAGCCTCCCGAGTAGCTGGGATTACAGGCATGTGCCACCATGCCTGGCTAATCTTTGTATTTTTAGTAGAGATGGGGTTTCACCATGTTGGTCAGGCTGGTCTCGAACTCCTGACCTCAAGTGATCCACCTGCCTTGGCCTCCCAAAGTGTTAGGATTACAGGCGGGAGCCACTGCGCCCAGCCAAACCATTTTTTGTGCTATATATTTCCAGGGATTGATGTAGACTGAATCCTCAAGTCTTGGCACCTCTGCACGATTGAGATTTGTCATGGATGGTTCAGAAATAATTTAAAAACATCAACCTATGTCATATTGGGATCAAGTTTACGAAAGGGATCTATGGATGTGAATGAAAAGTACTTTAATTCTATCATGATTAAATATCTTTAACTCCCAGATCATTGTCACTTCAGCCTAAAAAGTCAGTGTAGGACTTTTCACAAAATAACATTACTCACAGAATTCCAACTTGTCATAGGTATTACAAGTATCATTGAATCCTCTGGGTAATAAGACCTAGTGCCAGAGCCATTGGCACTGCAGCCTGTACCAGCTACAGACTTTCTTTAATTCTGGACTCCAGTGCAAAGTTTCATCCTTGATAAATGAATCAGAGCAACACACTCAAATATGCCGTCTGTTGATTTCAAAATTGGCTCACTCAAGTATCAGGCCTCTTCTGTATTAAATTTTTTAAAAAATGCTTTCATTTTTATAGATTCAGGGGGTACGTGTGCAGGTTTGTTATATGGATATATTGCATAGCAGGAGTGGGGTTTGGGCTTCTAGTGTATTCATCAACTGAATAGTGAACATTGTACCCAATAAGTAATTTTTCAACCCTCACCCTCCTCCCACCTTATCCCCTTTTGGAGTCCCCAGTGTCTATTATTTCCCTCTGTAGGTCCACGTGCACACATTGTTTAGCTCCCACTTACTAGTGAGAACATGCGATATTTGATTTTCTGTTTCTGAGTTATTTCACTTAGGATAATGGCCTCTGGTTCCCTCCATGTTGCTACAAAAGACATGATTAAATTTTTATGGCTGTGTCATGGTGTATTATGTATGATGTATTTTCTTTATCTAATCCACTGTTGATGGATACTTGGGTTGATTCCATGACTTTGTTATTGTGAATAGTGCTGTGATAAACATACAAGTGCAGGTGTCTTTTTGATATAACAGTTGATTTTCCTTTGGATAGTACCCAGTAGTGGGATTGCTGGATCAAATGGTAGCTCTATTGTTAGTTCTTTGAGAAATCTCTACACTGTTTTCCATATAGGTTATACTAATTTACATTAGCACCAGCAGTGTCTAAATGTTCCCTTTTCTTGCTAGTATCTGCTATTTTTTGTGTTTTTAATAATAGCCATTCTGACTGCTGTGAGATGGTATCTCATTTTGGTTTTATTTGCATTCCTCTGATTATTAGTGAGGTTGAGCATTTTTTCATATGTTTGTTGTGGGCCTCTTTTGTACTGATAGGGGGTATATGGTAGAGCAACTTGTCTTTCACTTTGGAGACGATATCCAGCCCAGACTACTGGACTTCCGGAAAGTTCACCGAGTTGAATCTTCTTGGAGTTTATTGCCCATCCTCTGTTACAACTATGTCTTGCCAAGGCATTTAGGCGGCCTGCTACTTCTTGCTCACCAGGTTCTATCAGTATTATGTAATTGGTGGAGCAGTCCAGCATGACATTCTATGAGATGGTAAGACAACCGAGGTCCCTGTGAACAAAATTATAGCCAAAGATTGGATAGCTGATGTGGCCCTGAAGCAAGAGAGTGAAATTATACTCCTGACTGAAAAGTGCAAGGAAACCACTTCTAAAAATTTCTGCTTCATACTTTAGAAAACAAAGCATTTTCGAGATGAGCACTGCATGCCAGGTGCTTCAGTATGTATTGGTTTGCTCTAGTAAAAAGACTACATCTGGCAAGTGCAGTGGTTCCTACCTGTAATCCCAGCACTTTGGGAGGCCAAGGTGGAAGGATCTCATGAGGCTAGGAGTTCAAGACCAGCCTGGGCAACGTAGCAAAACTCTCTCCATAAATAAAAAATTAGCTAAGTGTGGTGGCACATGTCTATAGTGCCAGCTACTTGGGAGGCTGGGGTAGGAGGATCACTTGAATCCAGCAGTTTGAGACTGCAGTGAGCCATAATCACACCACTGCTCCAGCCTGGGTGACAGAGTGAGACCCTATCTCAAAAATAACTAACTAACTAAATAAATAAATAAATAAATAAATATAAAAGAGACTACATCTGGAATAAAAGATTAATTTTCTGATTGAGTTTGTGATAATTTACCATTCTTCTTCAAGACCTTTCTGTCTTTTTATTATTTTTTATTTTTTTTGAGACGGAGTCTCGCTCTGTCACCCAGGCTGGAGTGCAGTGGTGCGATCTTGGCTCACTGCAACCTCCGCCTCCCAGGTTGAAGCGATTCCCCTGCCTTAGCCTCCCATGTAGCTGGGATTACAGGTGCCTGCCACCATGCCTGGCTAATTTTTGTTTTTTTAGTAGAGACAGGGTTTCACTATGCTGGCCAGGGTGGTCTTGAACTCCTGATCTTGAGTGATCCGCCTGCCTTGGGCTCCCAAAGTGCTGGGATTACAGGTGTGAGCCACTGTGTCCAGCCAAGACCTTTCTGTCTTTTGTGAAAGCCAATCCAAGAGTCAAATGGGGATGCTAAGAATGATCATTTCTGCATCTTTCAAGTTTTTGACATTAGCGGTAATTTCTGCAGCTCCCCAGGAATGTGGTTTTGGTTCCAGTTTACTATCGTCATAGGGATATGGGGCTCTACAGCCCTCCTTTAGGCTCTGCCTGCACACTAGTCATCATGCCATAGACCAGGAACCCATGTAGAAACCCATGTAGATGTTCCAGTGGTTGCTGAGCATGTATAGTTCAACTATCTATTCTTGGGGAAAATAACCACAGAAAGGATTTGCATATTAAGTGAGCCCTTTATGAAACAGACTGAGGCAAAAACTTATTATACAACCTACATAAGCACTGGTAGATATCAGGATATTCTTGGGGATAAAAAATAGCTCTGAACCAGTGTCCAATAATCCCTGAAAGGTCTGGTTGTATTACTGAGCAAAACAGGCTCACTGCTCGATGCTCTAGAAGCCTGTACTATGACACCACGGTTTTGAGAAAAGAAAAGCTTTTTATTGCAAGTCGACTCACAAGGAGACAGGAGTCAAGCTCAAATCTATCTCCCTGTGCTGGTTTCACAGCAGTAATTTTATTAGAAAAGGTTTAGGGGCTGGATTCTGGGATTAGCAGGTGATTGGTGGAAGGAAAGAGGTCTAGAAAGTCCTCAGGCATGTATAGCCATCTCTTCTTGCCTCCTTATTGGTCTCATGTGTAAATTTGGAGGGAGCTGGTATGAAGCATGGAAATTCAGGCTATGATGTCAGCAAGTTTGTTTTGTGCAAACTTATGCAGCTATAGTGGTTTCAACTGATTTCAGCCAGTTTTGTTATCTTACAAAGGAGAGAAGTTTCAGTGTTTCAGCAAGTTGTTTCTTTTCTTATCTGCCATCCTGCAAACTCAAGAATTTCTACTAGTTTTTTTTTTTTTTTTAACTTTGGGGCACAGTTTCAGTCATTCCCTTTTCTCCTGGGTACAGTCATTCCAGGAAGTGGTGGCACTTTCCTTTGGGGAAGAGCAGACAATTTACAAAACATAATATTGCATGGACCTTCCTCCATGGTGCAATCTTCTCTTTATTCATGTGCCTCTGGGAAATGATTAGTTCTGGAATTAGATGAAGGTCTCAAATCATCTATTTTCCTGGTTTACAGTTTCAGTTCAGTTATAGAAATCAATTAGGATGTTAGAGGATAGGCCATTTATTTGGATTCTAGGGACCTTGTAATCAGTTATCCACTGTCAAACCATTCTGATTACCATGAGCCTTGCTGCCTGGTATGGTGACTATGTCTGCTCTACTTCTGGCAGTTAGGTAGTGATATTTATCCTCTGCCTGGCCTCAATCCCATCATCTCCATGGAAATAAGAGAGCTCATTACAATGGCAGTATCTCTCAACCTTATCCATGGCCAATGGAGTGAAGCCAACATAGCACTTTTCAAGAATCGCAGGGCTTCCCAACTATGTATTTCTCAAAACTGAGGTGAATAGACAATTCTCAAAAGAAGATATACAAATGGCCAACAAACATATCAAAAAATGCTCAACATCACTAATGATCAGGGAAATGCAAATCAAAACCAGTGTGATACCACCTTACTCCTGCAAGGATGGCCATAATAAAAAAGTCAAAAAACAGTAGATGTTAGCATGGATGCAGTGATCAGGGAACACTTCTACACTGCTGGTGGGAATGTAAACTAATAAAGCCACTATAGAAAACAGTGTGGAGATTCTTAAAGAACTGAAAGTGGAGCTACCATTTGATCCAGCAATCCCAATATTGGGTATCTACCCAGAGGAAAAGAAGTCATTATACAAAAAAGATACATGCACACGCATGCTTATAGCAGCACAATTCACAACTGCAATAATTCTGAAAGGTCTGGTTGTATTACTGGGCAAAAGGGGCTCACTGCCCAATGCTCTAGAAGCATGGAACCCACCTAAATGCCCGTAAATCAACAAGTGGATAAAGAAACTCTGGTATATATATATATACACATACACACACACACACACACACACACACACACACACACACACACACACCATGGAATGCTATTCAGCCATAAAAAGGAATGAGTTAATGGCATTTGCAGTGACCTGGATGAGATTGGAGACTATTATTCTAAGTGAAGTAACTCAGGAATGGAAAACCAAACATTGTATATTCTCACTGATATGTGGGAGCTAAACTACAAGGATGCAAAGGTATGAGAATGATACAAGGGAATCCAGGGACTTGGCGTGAAGGGAGGGAGGAGGCGAGGGATAAAAGAATACAAATAGGGTGGAGTGGATACTGCTTGGGTGATTGGTGGACCAAAATCTCACAGATCACCACTAAAGAACTTACTCATGTAATCAAACACCACCTGTACCCCAATAACCTATGGAAAAAAAAAACTGTGATGAAAGGAGAGCCTGCTGACCCTACTAGGATGGGTAAGCAAGTCACTTGTGATAAATCCATTTCCGTACATTTCCTCCCTCTTTATCATGTCCAGGAATTTCTACTATCTTACTATTGTTTTGTGTAGACCACACTGAGTCTATGTTTCAGCCAACTGGAACATACATATGATAGAAGTGGAGAACAAGGAAGACTGCCATCCATTTGTTGGTAGCTGCCACAGGCAATGTTGTTTTAGGGTATTTGAGCAAGGCATGGCCAGACAGTTCTCCCACCAGACTGGGAGAACTCACATTTTCTACTGATAAGGGGGCTCATTAGTCTTTCGAATTTATAGAAAATGAAGTTATTAAATTCTGCCAAATATTGTCATTTAAATTATCGGGTGCCACACTTTTGCAGTCTTTCATGTAAGAAATGTGTTGAAACTGGAATTTAAGCCAAGAAATATCTAGCATCCTGTGGGATAAGTGTCAGTTTGATTTGAGCTTATGTAAAGCCCATAGCCAGAAGACATGAGATACATTTAGGGCATAGAAGCTATAGGTTTTTTGACCATGCTTTGAAAATGATACCCAGGAGGGCCTAGAATAACATCATTTTGTTCAATGTTCTGTCCAAAGTTGTATCATTATAATGTTGTTGAAAGAAAGTTGGTTACATTTTATGGTATTTTATTGCAAGTTCCAAGAACCTATTGATGACCACAAGTGAAGGCTTACTGTATATGTATATTACATTATTATTTTGCCCATTGCCCACCTCCAACCCACTAATGCGAGAATAAGAAATTGTTATCTCTTTTCTTCACACCTGTATACTCTGCTCAGAAAAGCACTTGGATCACAGTAGGTACTCAATAAATAGTTGGTGAAATAATGAATAAATAGTCCTTGTTTTTATGATGTTTATATCAAATGGAGGAGAAAGACATTAAACATTCATATATAATCTCTTAATTAAAATCTAAATTTGAATCTGTTCTAAGTTGTGTTGAATTGTTCTATTGTCAATTTGATTAACCTAGAAATTATTTTTTCCAGAATTCCTTTCTCTGTGGGTCGTGGACCCACAGAGGCAAGCTCCCCTTTGCTGTCACTTTAGCAGCTTAACATATTTGGTTTCTTGGATTTCCTTGGAGGCTCTTTCTCACCTATGCCATTGCTTAAGGAGAACTAATTAATAACTTTTTTTTTTCTTTTTTTAGACAGAGTCTCACTCTGTCGCCCAGGTTGTAGTGCAATGGTGCAATCTCGGCTCACTGCAACCTCCGTCTCCCAGGTTCAAGCGATTCTCCTGCCTCAGCCTCCTGAGTAGCTGGGATTATAGGCGCCTGCCACCACGCCTGGCTAATTTTTGTATTTTTAGGAGAGACAGGGTTTCATCATGTTGGCCAGGGTTTCATCATGTTGGCCAGGGTGGTTTCAAACTCCTGATGTCAAATGATCCTCCTGCCTTGGCCTCCCAAAGTGCTAGGATTACAGGCGTGAGCCACCATGCCTGGCCAATAACTCTTTTCTAATCCTCCAATTACCCACTTCCAGAATTCACATAAGTCCCACCTTTAATTATGTAATGTCTAATTCCTATTCTAAATGCTTTATCCCATAACACTCATAGCCAATTCTTTCGGGAGATAAACTAAGAAATCAGCAATCTTTCAAATCCTGTGTAGAAAATAGTCTGTGTTGAATTTTTTGAGAGTGGTATGTCTGTCTCAAGTACAGCAATTCCTGAAATATTTTCTTGGGTACTTTTGACTATTTGCCTCTTTTGCCTGACAGACTGATACTAGATATTCATCTCCATGCAAGAGGGAAAATGTGATGTAGCTGAGTGGGTGAGATCATTTATGAAAAAGAATATTGGGAGAAATGAGAGCCTCTATGACAAATCCTTGAGACACTCCAAAACTTCTTTACCAGACAATGAAGAATAAATTTGAAAAGCAGGCGCAGAGTGGCTAGAGAGGCTGAAGGAGAGGCAGGAAGGTGTTGTGTCTTGAAAGTCAAGGAAATGTTGTGAAGGGTGGTGTAGAAACTTATGCTTCAGTAACTTCGACATATTAGTTTTTTTTTGCAAGAGTATACCTTCAAATTAAAAAAGATAAGAGTTTTCATTAAGAAAGTTTTATTCCATAGTTGGACTGTCATAAAGTGAGGAAATCTTCAAGGTTCAAAGAAAAGAAAAAGAAGAAAACAATGTAAGCTTAAACTAAAATGGTGAACAAAGAACATATTTAAAGAGATCTCCCACAGGGCTTTTACACAATGTGCATAGCTTTTCTTTGTAAATATGTTTCCCTGAGAAATGTTAATATATCCTTAGGCTTATAGAAAAAGTGCTTCAGGCAAGTGACAAAATGAGGGAATGGAACTCAAGACTTCCAGATGTAACCCATGAAATTGGGAATGAACTGGAATGATCTCAGATAGGTAGAACCGTTGGCTTTAGGAGAAGCAAAACGAAATACTATCCAGAGAAATATATTCTCAATGGAGACTCCAGGTTTTCCACAAGTTAAAATCAACCATTGTAATTGTTAACCCCCTTAGCCCAACTTGACTGGTCGAAAAGATACCCAGATAGTTGGTAAAACATTATATCTGGATACATCTGTGAGGATATCTCCAGAAGAGGTTGACATTTCAATCAGTAGATGAAGTAAAGAAGATCCGCATTCACTAATGTGAGCAGGAATCATCCAAGCTTTTAGGGGCCCAAATAGAACAAAAAAGGTGGAGGAAGGGCAAATTTTTTACTGGCTTGAGCTGAGAAATCCATCTTCTCCTGCCCTTGGACACCAGTGCTCCTGGTTCTTGGGCTTTCAGACATAGATTGGGATCTACACCATTGGCCTCCTGATTTTCAGGCCTTCAGACTTGGACTGAGTTACACCACTAGCTTTCCTGGTTCTCAACTTGCAGACAGCAGATTGTAGAACTTCCTGGCCTCCATAACTAATATGTTTTTGCTGTGTCCCCACCCAAATCTCATCTTGAATTGTAATCCAAATTGTAATCCCCACCTGTCAAGGGAGGGACCTGGTGAGAGGTGATTGGATCAAGGGGGCAGTTTCCCCCATGGTATTCTCATGATAGTGAGTATGTTTTCATGAGATCTGGTTGTTTGATAAGTATCTAGAACTTCCCCCTTCTCTCTCTCTCTCTCTCTCTCTCTCGCTCTCCTGGCACCTTGTGAATAATGTACTTCTCCTTTGCCTTCTGCCATGATTGTAAGTTTCCTGTAGCCTTCCCAGTCATGCAGAACTGTGAGTCAATTAAACCTCTTTCCTTTTAAATTACCCAGTCTCAGGCAGTTCTTTATAGCACTGTGAAAACAGACTAATGCAGAAACTGTGTGAACCAATTTCCATAATAACACTCCTTATGTGTGTGTGTGTGTTCACAGACACAGATATACCCCATTGTATCCCATTGGTTGTGTTTCTCCAGAGAATCCTGAATAAACAACCATCATGAGCTCACAAATCATCTTGAGGGAGAGAAACAACAGATTTAATTCCTCAAGAATTTTAGGTAATAAAACTATTATCTATGTATGTGAGATAACTATACATATTAGCTTTCTGTTGCTGCTATAAGATATTACTGCAAAACTTAGTGAGTTAAAACACCACCAATCTATTCTCTTACAGTTCTAGACTTCAGAAGTCTAAAATTAAGATGTTGTATGGGATATGTTCCTCTGGAAGCTTTAGAGGAAAATATATTTCTTTGCCTCTTCTAGCTTCTAGAGACTACTTACATTTCTTGGTTTATGGCTCCCTCCTCCATTTTCTAAGTGTATGACTACAACTTCTGGCTCCCTTGTCACATTTATTTTTTCTGACTTTGCTTTTTTACCTTCTTCTTATAAGAACCCTCGTGATTATATTGGAATATAAATATAGATAATACCAGATAATTCAGGATAGTCTCCAATTTCAAGAACCTTAGTGACATCTACAAAGTCTCTTTTGCCATGTAAGGTAGCATATTTAAAGTTTCTGGGGGATTTGAATGAGGACATCATTGGCGATGGAAGCTTTATTTTGTCTTCCACACTATGCATGAATGTTTAAAGAATTTTTTTTAAAATGGAAAAAAAGATAAACATCATGGCAATATATACAAGTAATCATGTAGATGTAAAAAGAAGCAGATAAAAATTAAAAATAAAATGTAATCATCAATTAAAAAAAAAACTTAAGGGATGGACCAAACAACAGAGTAGATGTGGCTGAAGAAAGAATTAGTGAACTGAAAGACAGAGCTGAAAACTTTCAGAATGTCACACAGAAAGCTGAAATGGAAAATATGAGAGAGGTTAATAGATATGGAGAAGAGAATGAGAGTGCCTAACATACTTGTATTTGAAGCCCTAGGAAGAAAAAATAAAAATATTGAAGGAGAGGCAATATTTGAAAGCATAAATTTGAGAATTTTCTAGAACTGATACTATATAAGCCACAGATACAGGAAAGATAATATTTACCAAGAAGAATAAAGTGAAAAGAAATCTACCCCTAGTTATAAAGTTGAGCAACTGCAGAACATCAATGACAAAGAGATCTAAGATGTAGCCATGTAGAAAAGACAAATTATAACCTTCTTTCCCCTCCAAAAGACTTAGAATAGGCTTTTTTAAAACCTGAAAAAATGGAAGTCAGAATAATTGCATATGTTAATAAAATATATATTTAATTCAGAGAGAAAAATATTGGACTAGAATTGTCTCTATCTCAAAAATTGGAGTAATATACAGGAATTTTCATATAATTAAATATTGACTACATACTGAGTGTTAATCACTAATAGATCTGCACAAAATAAACTTCTGAAACATATACTTCAGGAGGAAGTAAAATTGTTTTGAAAAGGCCTAAGATGCAGAATAAAATTGTGAGCAAATGAATTTTTAAATGTAGATAAGTGAGCAATGTCTATATAATGATAATGGATAACTTGTTGTGGCTAATAAAGACACAATTGAAATACTGAGGAGCAATAGTATATAAGCCAGAATTGAGGTGATCAGACTTAAAATGTTCTAAGAATTCTTGAATGGATAAGAGTGAGAGAAAAACTCCTAATTTTAGATTTGTTACACATAGATGCTAAATTTCAAAGGTAACTTTAAAAAAATAGAAATAGAGTACATAATTTCCAAACAGGTAGAGAAAAATATGGAATAAAGAGTTATTCAAACAAGAAAAATCTATACAAAGTGAAGAGAACAAAAAGAGAGAAAAAAATCAAAAGCAAAAAATAAGGAGGTAAAACCAAGTCCAAATATATCTGTGATCACAGTAAATTAAAAAGAACCACATTTGATGATTAAAATGCAGTTTGTCAAATTGGATTAAGAGCAAAAATAAAGGCAGCAATCTAATCTTTTAAAGCCAACCTAAAGCATAAAAAACCATGATCAGGTTGAAAATAAAGGAAAGGAAAAATATAGGCAAATCCAAACCAAAGGTAACCGAAACTGAGTTTAGTGAAAAGCTGACTTTTGGATAAAAAGTATGAGAAGTATAATGGTGTTTATTACATAATGATTAAAAGTTTAATTTATTAGGATAATATAGTTCTAAACTTGCTTCTAACTAATAATCTAGTCAATAACATATAAAGCAAAACTTGATAGAACGTCAGGGAGAAATTAACAAATACACCAACCAAATAAGAAATTTTGACATGTCTTTCCCCTTATTAATAGATCAAAGAAACAAATTATTAGCATAGAAGTAAAATAGATCAATGACAAAATTAACATGCTTTATACATTGGACATATATAGAACTCTGCTTGCAATTAGAAAGCATGCATTCTTCCTAAGCACACATGAAATATTTATAAAAATTGACCATATATTAAACCACAAAGCAAGGCTCAGCAAATTTCAATGATTTAATATTCTAGAGACCACATTGTCTGATCAGAGTTTTATTTAATTTATAGCAAAAATCCAATCCATATATTTATTAAATTTTTTTGTTTTTGAGGTAAAACTAACATACCATAAAATTCACCATTTTAACCAGGCTAAAGTGTATAGTTTAATAATTACAATACATTCACAGTTGCCCAGCCTTCATCAATATCTAATTACAGAACATTTTCATTACCTCCACCAAAGAGACTCCATATCCATTAACAATTATTATCCACTCCTCCCCAACCCCAGTCCCTGGAAGCCACTAGTCTACTTTCTGTCTCTATAGGTTTTTCTATTCTGGACATTCACATGAATGGAATTATGCCAGGTGTGGCCTTTTGTGCCTGGCTTCTATCTCTTAGCATAATGTTTTCAAGGTTGATCCAGGTACTAGCATGTATCAGTAATTTGTTCTTTTGTTGCAGAATAATATTCCATTGTATGACTATGCCATGTTTTATTTATCCATTCATCAGTTGATCAACATTTGGGTTGTTTCTACTTTTTAGCAATTACAAATAATGCTGCTATGAACAGTTATACATTAAGTTTTAATATGAACATATGTTTTCATTTCTTTTAGGCAAATACCTAAGAGCAGAATTGCTGGGTCACATGATAATTCTATGTTTAACTTTTTGAGAAGCCACCACATATTTTTTTAAGTGATTGCACCATTTTACATTCCCACCAGTAATGTATGTAGGTTCCAATTTCTCCACATCCTTGTCAATATTATTTTACATTAAAAATATAATCATCCTAGTGGGTATGAAGTAGTATTTGCTATGTCATTGTGATTTTGATTTGAATTTTTCTAATGTCTGATGATGGGAATCATTTTTTTCATGTGCTTATTGATCGTTAGTATATTTTCATTATTTTATTTTTTATTTTTATTTTATTTTTTGAGACAGAGTCTTGCTCTGTTGCCCAGACTGTAGTGCAATGGCATGATCTCGGCTCACTGCAACCTCTGCTGCCAGGTTCAAGCGATTCTCTTGCTTCAGCCTCCCAAGTAGCTGGGATTACAGGCAAGTGCCACTACGCCTGGCTAATTTTTGTGTTTTTAGTAGAGACGGGGTTTCGGCATCTTGGCCAGGCTGGCCTTGAACTCCTGACCTCATGGTCCACCCGTCTCAGCCTCCCAAAGTGCTGGGATTACAGGCGTGAGCCACCGCTCCCAGCCCATCATTAGTATATTTTCTTTGGAGAAATATCTATTCAAGATCTTTGTCCATTTTTAAATTGGGTTGTCTTTTTGCTGTTAAGTTGTAAGAGTTCTTTAAGATTCTGGATGCTACACTCTTAACAGATATATGATTTCCAAATATTTTTCCCATACTGTGGGTTGCCTTTTCATTCTTTTGAGGGCGTCCTTTGGTACATAAAAGTGTTTACTTTTAATAAAGTCCAATTCATTTTTTTCTTTTGTTGCTTATGCTTTTTGTGTCATATCTAAGAATCCATTGCCAAATCTGTATGAAGGTTTATACGTTTTTTGAAGATTTATAAGAGTTTCATAGTTTTAGCTCTTAATATTTAGGTCTTTGATCCATTTTGAGCCAATTTTTGTATACGGTATCAAGTAAGGGTCTAATTTCATTCTTTTGTTGTGGATATTCACTCATCCTAGTAGCATTTGTTGAGAAGATTTTTCTTTCCCCTTTTGATGGTCTTAGTACTCTTGTTGATGTCAGTTGACCCTATACATATGGACTTAATTTCTATATTTTTGAGAAACACTCTTCTAAACAACTTATATGTCATTTCATTCTTCTGTTGTGGATATTCACTCATCCTAGTAGCATTTGTTGAGAAGACTTTTCTTTCCCCTTTCAATGGTCTTAGTACTCTTGTTAATGTCAGTTGACCATATACATATGGACTTAATTTCTATATTTTTGAGAAACACTCTTCTAAACAACTTATATGTCATAGAAAAATTTTGATGAAAACTCAAAATACTTAAATCTGAAAAATAATGAAAATATAACATAATAGTACTGTGAGAATTCTGCTGCCAGTAATGACAAACTACGTTGTTCCATCTAACCCTCCTGCCAAGAACTAGAAAAGTCAGAAAAAATTAAAATTAATCAGTTTGAAAATTGTGGGGAGCCATTGAGACATTAAGGACTTATAAACCCTAGGTCCTAGATAGGAGGAAAGCCCTGAGAGAGGAATCACACATGATATTAAGGCTCCTCTCAAAGCATTTGCCACATCAAAAGCAATGGCTGAAAGGTTGACAACTGAAAAGTAGGAGAGATAAAAGAAAGAAAATACAGAAAAGACATAAGAGGTATATGGGACAAGGTGAAAACTTCTAACATACGTGTAAAGTCTCAGAAAAAGAAAGAAATCAGTCAGAAGCAATCTTTGAAGAGGCAACAGCCAAAAATTTCTCAAAAATTAAAGACATCAAGCAACAAATACAAGCAGGATAAATGCAAAGAAAATCACAGGTAGTCATACACACACCGCATGGAAACTGCTGAAAACAAAAGACAAGATCATAAAACAGAGAAAAATGATATATTATCTTGGAAAAAACAGCAGTAGGGCTGAAAGCATTACTAGATATAAAGTGGAACATTTCATGATAATAAAGGAAGCATTCCACTAGAAATTATAATAATTCTAAACTTGTATCAGTAATAATATATACAGTAAGATGAATTAAGCAAAAGTTGATAGAACTAAAAGAATAAATAAATTTATCACTATAGGAGACAGTAGGAGATTTTAATACACTTCCCTCAATAACTGATAAACCAAGTAGAAAAACAAAATGTCAGTAAAGCTGTGAAATTTAACAGATTATTATTACACTGGCTTAATTTACATTGTAGAACACTGCACAACAATATTTTTTCTATTTTCAATTTTTTCAGTTACACACAAGCTGCAAAACTTAAGCTAGACATCAACAGCAAAATGTAAGTGAAAAAGTCTCAAATATTTTCAAATTATAAAGTAAACATCTAAGTAATTCCTGGATCAAACAAGAATCACAATAAAAATGAGAACATATTCTGAGTTGACAGAGGATGAATATGTAAGAGATAAAAATGTGTGAGGTATAACTAAAATTCTATTTAAGGGAGGTACATAGATTACATGTATGTATGTATGTATGTGTGTGTGTGTGTGTGTGTATATAGAAAAGCTAAAAACAAATGATGTATGTCTTTATGTAAAGAAGTTAGAAAAAAAGCAATAAATTAAGCCCATAGAAAGTAAAATAAAGATAAGGGCAGGAATTAATAAAATTAGCCAAATCATACAAAAGAGTGTACCATCAGAATCAAATGAATAAATTGCTTCTTTGAAAATATCAATAAATCAGTATAATTCTGGGAAGACCAATTAAAGATAAAAAGAAAAAAATAGAAAACTGATAATGTCAAGAATGAAAAAAAGGACATTGCTATATATTTGAGAGTCATTAAAAATAATATGAAGATATGAGGTTATAAATAAATATTTCAAAATAAGTAGTTAATATTTTGAAAAATACAACTTGTCAAAACTGACAAGACACAAGAATTAAGTATGAATTTTTATGATTATAAACAAACTTAAGTCTACTATTATTCACGAGGAACACTCTTGGCCTAGATTGTTGTATCTGTGATTTCTACCAAATAGATACTTAAAAAGCCCAACATAACACAAATTTGCCTTTTTTATGGGTTATTAAGCTAATGTGCCTCACCTCCAAGTTCATTCTTTTATGCTTTACTTTCTGATGCCAGGGCTGGGACTTTGCAATTCCCAGTTGTTTTTTGTTGACTGGCTTCCTGTTGGGTTCTGCAGAAAAGGAGCATCAGAGGGAGACTGGGACAAAAGAAGTAGGAGATGGGTGATATTCTATATTACTAAATACAAAAAATTATATGCTAATTAAAAAACAGATTATAAAACCAAAAGAAAAAGAGAATAATGATCAGCTGAGAGCTCAGAGAAGATGAAGACCATCTTCGAATTTTGTAATTCATTTAGGGAGAGCTGCCAAGGAGAAGTGATAAGGGCAGAAGCCAGATTACAGTGTATTTATAAGTGAGTAGGAAGTAAGAATGGAGACCTATGGCCTGAGCTTGTCGCTGTTTCTGGGCCCAGATTGTATGAGACAATAGCTTTCAGGTCTTTAGCAGCTATACTTTGGCATGGCTGGGATAGGCATGGACGGACAGCAAGGACTCCAATATGTAAATATTATGAGGCTTAAGTATAGATTAGATATTCATTCAGGGCATTATCTAGCTTTGGCTCCATACACCATAATTGGTACTGGAGGGCTGAAATATTTGGCTGGATTGATTCACTTTAGTTCCTATAATGCCAAACCTCAAAGCCCAACAAAGTTATCCTTGGTGGTCTGGACCACCTGAGAATTTTCCATTCCAATCTGGTTTTCTTACTGATACAGAGATTTAGTCTCATACCATAGAAGGCATTTATGCCCCTAAAGGAGCCTAACTTTATTTTAATAATTAATAGTGAATAGGATCTAGTTATAAGATTAGATTGCCCAGTCCATTAAAACAGATTTTAAGACCAAACTCCTGGCTCTAGTGGCTTGTGTTTGGGATCTGAGATTTGGCAGGCAGGAAAGTTTTGGTCCTTCAAGCAGTTTCCTGGAACTTTCAACTGAAATATATTCATGGCAGTTCTCCTTGGTGTCCCCTCTCTAGAGCTGGAGGATTTTGGTTTTACAGAACAGCTACAGCAGTGTTCTGTATGAATTGCAAAGAAGGTCATGGCAGGGAGCCCGTTAATGAGGTAACCTCAAAAATGTAGTCAAGGAAAACTTCCCCTCCTGGGGTTAGTATTAAAAATTTTATAAGGAATGTCCACATGTGCATAAAAATGAAGGTGTTTGGTTCTATTTATGAGGGTTATTTTTTTTTGAATAAAATTCAAGTAACTTATGAGACCATGGAACTTCCCTTGGTCCTCAGGGAACAACCAAAAGGGACAGAGAAGCGCAAAGCAATTTACACACACCTCTTGAGGAATAACTCAGGCAGACATCATCTAATAAGATGCCCACCTGCTTCTCCAAGAGCTCCCCCAGATACCACTAGATTGCTTGATTCTCTCAGGGTTACTTAGTTTCCTCTTTCCTGAAAAACTGGAGCTTCATTATCCTATTTTTTTTGTCCTCAGAGGTTCTCCTTCTCAATAACAACTTGTCCCACACTCCAGGGTAAGGACACTAGATATAGAGAAAAAAATTAAAGCAAGACACTTGCTAATCTAATACCAGTCTACATTGAGTTGGACTTGTTGATACATGGTCACAGGAGCACATATGCACAGGAAATGTCAGCTGAAAAGCGAAAGGAATCCACCCTGAGTTGACTCAGTCACATTTCTCCTGTTCTCTCTGATTTTTGTTCATGGTAGGAAGTGTGCATGTCTTGTGTTAAAGAGGTTATCAATTGTTTTGAATAACCCAGGGATGTTTTTCATTTATTGAGCCTGTCTTCAAGGTAAATCATTCCCTACAGAACACACATAAATAAAAATGTTTTTAGATTGTTTGTATTCAGATACCTCATCCTTCATATGAAGAGTCCACGTCCCATAGCTTTGGATGACTGTATGATATTGGGCCATATGGAAGGTTGTTAGAGTAATGACTTCCAGCAAGTCACACCTTCCAATATCCAAGCACTTATGTATTCCTCTCCCACTTTGACTCTGGCCTTGGTCACTGACTTGCTTTGGTTAATGGGACATCACAAATGTGGCCCAAATAGGGACTTGTGAAGCATTCCCCTATTGGGGCTTCCCTCTTGGAATGTCGCCCTGAGCTGTTGCCATGTCAACACCCAGAATGAAAGGTCACAAGAGGGAAACTGCACCATCCCCGTTATCTCAGCTGAGCCTGACTGTTAGCTGTCTTGCCAGCTGAATGCAGCAACATGCATAGTCCCTAGAGAAAAGGCCAGAAGAACAACCCTGTAAACTTACAGGATCATGAAAATTAAGTCACTTTTTAAAAAGCAAGTGTTGGGATGATTGTTGCACAATGATAGATAACTAAAACAAGCCAGGATCTTATATTTTGGGTATTACATTTTTTTTGCATATGTTTGAGGATAATTGTGATATTCCACAACAAATTACTATGTGTAGAACTGTAAATATCCCTGTGCATATATAGTAAGATATGACTATACAGAAATGGGACTGCTTTCCATAAGGCCTACCCAGAATCTATCTGTTCTATGTTCAGGAGTTGATGTGCATGTATTGTAGAATTACAGGTGGTGAGAGATTAGAGACCAGGTGGAAGAAAATGCATAATTGGGAAACTAGAGGAGACATGGTGTGTGTATGTATGTGCATGTGTGTACATATGCACATATGGGTTGAGAGAGAAAGATCAGGGACATGATCAGGGAAAGCTAGTTAAATGGAAATTGTTCTCGGTGGGTGGTGATGTACTAAACAGCACAGATGGTGAAACATGTTAACTTCCAAGTTCAAGACCTAATCATTAAAACAATCCACATGTGGTGCCTACGCATTGGCTCATAATTAAGATTCAGATTAATAAAAACATGGGCGTTCCAGGGAATTCATTCCTAGGGTTCTTTGTATTTTTTCTTTATATTGCTTGAAATTCTTTGCAAATTAAATATGTAATGCTGAAGCCACAGAGAAAAAAGGGATATTAAAAAAGCAAATAATCTTCTTTTGATACAAACTTGCCTATGGAATGTCTTATGATATTCTGTATTGCTTTTTTAACTACACAGAAAATCAAAAATATGCTTCCCAATGAATAGGAGGAGACTGTATAGTAAAGGATATTCACAATTAGAATTATGTTTGGCAAGTAATGCTTAGCCTTATTTAATACATTCTAACTTGTGTGAGTGCTAAGGAGTTCTCCAAGCTGAGGTTCTACGGCCATGATTCTGGCATTAAGGGCACTGAAGCTGAGTAATAGGGAAGTCTATAGGGTCTATAGGTTACTCTTGTTGTCCGAATAACTTCTTTCTGGGTATGCATGTAATGCCCACTTGCAATGAAACAAAATTAATCCTCTTCTGATAAATACTTTCCCCAGATCTGCAAAACACTGAGGAAACTGTGTATAAATATATATCTGATTACTTTTGATTTATAGTAAGCAATTAAAATGTACACACATATACACCACCACACATATTAAAAGATATCAACAGCTTGGCATGGTGGTACATGCCTGTAGTCCTAGCTACTCAGGAGGCTGAGGCAGGAGGATTGCTTGAACCCAGGAATTCAAGGCTGTGGTAAGCTATTACCACGCCTGTGAATAGCCACTGTGCTCCAATCTGGGCAACATAGCAAGACTCCATCACCCCATCTGTGAAAAAATAATTTTGAAAAAGATACCACCACTGTTTCTGTGCACCCATTTGGGATCTAAACTTCTTTACTGTTCTGGCATAAATATCCACATTCTGGTTAAATAGGAAAAATCAGAAGCACTATTAATCAAATCCTTCTCAATGCTCCTCTAATTGTCTTGCTGTTATAACAGGGATGATTTCTTAGGAAGAAATCACTTGATGTGAAGCAAAATACCATTTGCTGAATGCCCCATTCAGAGTCATCAGGTTAGACAGCTTTCTTCCTACCCAGAAAGTGATGGAAACACAAATGGAATGAAAACAGGTGTGGCTGTTTGGTGCATTGTTTTGTCAGACGTTCCTTGGGGTTTAATGATCCCTAGCATTGCAGGGAAGGAGTATAAAGGAGAACTTAATGGCTTTATTTTTAACTGATTAGCTGAAGGACTCTTCTTTGTGCTCACAAATAATTTTTAAATTACAATATTACCTCTTCCCCCTTCTTGTCACTTGACACTCTCTCACCTCCATCCTGGGACTCCACTGCCCACAACACATTCTCTCTGAAAATTAAGAAATCAGTAAGCCAGTAGTGTCAATGGTGAGATCATTTACAGAGTCTCCTTCCTTCCTTCCTTCCTTCCTTCCTTCCTTCCTTCCTTCCTTCCTTCCTTCCTTCCTTCCTTCCTTCCTTCCTTCTTTCTTTTGACAGAGTCTGACTGTGTTGCCCAGTCTGGAGTGCAGTAGTGTGATCTCAGCTCACTGTAGCCTCTGTCTCCCAGGTTCAAGTGATTCTCCTGCCTCAGCCTCCCAAATGGCTTGGATTACAGGTGCCCGCCACAATGCCTGGCTAATTTTGTATTTTTAGTAGTGACTTGGTTTCACCATGTGGGCCAGGCTGGTCTCGAACTCCTGACATAAGGTGATCCATCCTCCTCGGCCTCCCAAAGTGCTGGGATTACAGGCGTGAACCACTGTGCCCGGCCAGAGAGTTCTCAATGAGATTAGGTTAAACGACTATACTTTTATTTTAAGGCAGTGTTTCTTAAAGTGTGGTCTGGAGACCAGTGCTTTAGCAGAGGGTAAATGGCACCCTAGGGGCAATGTAACTTGTTTGCACTTGCTCTCTCAAGGCTGTGCTGGTATTTTCCTGAGAAATAAATAAATAAACACATAGCCCAAACAAAAGTGTTTCTACATCCTTAGAGAAACAAATCTGAAGATGATGAATCAAATTCTTGTATATTAGCATGTTTGTAGTAGCTCCAGGTATGCACTGCCTTCCTTTTCTCACTCTCACTCTTCCAGAGACCAGCAGCTTCACAATTACTTATTAAAGTTACTTGTGAAAATGAAGATTCCTGACACCTGCTGGGAAAAAAAATTCTGATTAATATGTCCCTAGGTTCATAATATTGTTATGAAGTCATCCTTGCATCTTGGACTATATACTGCTAGAGTTTTATCTGCGAGAAAAATCCATTTCTGCAAAGTTTAAACTAACACTGTTCAATAACTTGCGGGCTACATCATCTCTAATGTTTATGGTGGGTTAAATAGAAGACCTTTCCTGTTGAATCATTCTTCCCAAAACAAAACCCTTCTTGTCTATGTTCTTGCCTTAGCAAGTTCAGTATCACAAACAAATTGAATCTTTGCAAACTGAAGTTGTTCACAGGTTCAGAATCATCAGTACGATCATCAGTGAATACTTTATGGTGGAGGTGGCATAGATAGGCTATCAAGTAGCCTATGTATCAGTTATAGCATTACTGTGGAAGTTGGGTTTTGGAGGAATAACTCACATTAGTTAATAAAAGTTGAGGTGGAGACTACTTACTGGTTGTTCCCAGTGATCTGTTTTTCTTTTTTCCCTTATCCTAGTTTCATGCAAGACCCCATCAGCTTCAACAGGGATGGCACCAGGTTCAAGAGCCTAAAGAAGAGACCCAGAGCCAACAAATGAGGCGTAGTGTTTTGCTTGGGGGAACTTACATACAAGGACACTCCAGTGGCAGCAGGCTGGACAGGAGAACTTCAGCTGCTTGTAAAAAGCATGCAGTTTATATAGCATTTTCACCTAGCACCTGCCTCCATGTAACCTCCATGTGGCAACTCCCATTTCTTAAGTTATTGCTGTCAGGTGCATCTATGATACAGCTAGACCCCCAGTTTTCAGCTGGGCACATGGCCTTATAAAATAAAGTTTGTGGCCTAGCACAGTGGCTCATGCCTGTAACCTGAGCACTTTGGGAGGCCGAGGTGGGTGGATCACTTGAGGTTGGGAGTTCAAGACTAGCTTGGCCAACAGGGTGAAACGTTGTCTCTACTAAAAATACAAAAATTAGCTGGGTGTGGTGGCATGTGCCTGTAATCCCAGCTACTCAGGAGGCTGAGGTAGGAGAATTGCTTGAATCCAGGAGGCGGAGGTTGCAGTGAGCCAAGATTGCGTCATTGCACTCCAGCGTGGGCAACAGAGTGAGACTCCGTCTCAAAAAAAAAACAAAAGACAAAAAACAAGAAAAAAATTGTATTTCTTAGCCTTATTTACAACTAGGGGCCATGATGTTACTAAGTTCTGAACAATGGAATGTAAATGGAAGAGGTGTATATGATTTAAGGGACGTGTTCGTAGGATTTGTTCTTTTACTTCTTCATCCTCATCTTACAGGCTGCAATGCAGAGGTAATGACTGAAGCTTGAGCTGCCCTCTGGGATCATGATATAAAAAAGCAAATTCGACAATACAAAACAATATAGAGAGCAATAGAAAATTTAAAAGTAAAACAAAACACACAAAACAACAAAATAACTATAATCCATATGTTTATTATACAAAAGCAGATATTGTATCCATAAAACAATAAGATAGCCTTATCAAAAGCAAGAATAATAAAAACCAACAACAGAAGCCAACAACAACAGATAAACAAAAGGCAACATGAGATAACCAGGCAGAACTCCCAGAATGCAAAAATATACAGCAGAAATGAGAAAAAGATCAGGTGAAAAGTCGGAAGCTAAAGTTGAAGAAATCTGCCAGAAAGTATGAAATGACAAAAAGGTATAAAACTGGAGGGGAGACTCAATTTAAGAGCCCTGACTCTTAATTTGAGAATGTTAGAATGAAATAAAAGAGACAATGGGAGGAGACATCAAGGAAATAATTTAATAAAACTTTTCAGAATGGAAAAGCTGCATTTTTTTGGTTTTGATATTAAGTAATTTCAACTTTTATTTTAGATTCAGAAGACACATATGCAGGTTTAATACCTAGGTATATTGTATGAATCTGAGGTTTGAGGTATGATTGATCCCTTCATCCAGGTACTGAGCATGGTACCAAAGAGTTAGTTTTTCAACCCTTGCTCCCCTCTCTCCTTCCCCTCTCTAGGAGGTCCAGTGTCTATTGCTGCCATCTTTATGTCCATGAATACCCACTGTTTAGCTCCCACTTATAAGTGAGAACATGTGGTATTTGGTTTTCTGTTTCTGCGTTAATTCACTTAGGATGATGGCCTCCAGCTTCATCCATGTTGTTGCAAAGGATATGATATTGTTCTTTTTTATGGCTGTGTAGTGTTCCATATATATATATATGGACACTATATATATATAGAGAGAGAGAGAGAGAGAGATACATGTATATCTCTCTCACATTTTCTTTATTCAGTCCACTGTTGATGGGCACCTGGGTCGTTTCCATGTCTTTGCTATTGTGAATAGCTCTGCAATGAACAGACAAGTGCATATGTCCTTTTGGTAGAATAATTTATTGTCCTTTGGGTATATACCCAGTAACGGGATTGCTGGGTTGAATGGTAGTTCAACTCTTAGTTCTTCGAGAAATCTCAAAACTGCTTTCCAGGTGGCTGAACTAATTTACGTGCCCACCAACAGTGCATAAGTGTTCCCTTTCCTCCACAGCCTCACCAGCATCTGTTGCTTTTTGACTTTTTAAAAATAGCTATTCTGACTCACATGAGATGGTATCTTATGGTTTTGATTTGAATTTCTGTGATGCTTAGTGATGTGGAGCATTTTTTCATATGTTTTTTGGCTACTTGTATGTCTTCTTTTGAGAAGTGTTCATGTTTTTTGCCCATTTATTGATGGGGTTATTTGTTCAATTTATTGATGGGGTTGTTTGTTCAATTGTTTTATGTCTTTATAGATTCTGGACATTAGACCTTTGTCAGATGCACAGTTTGCAAATATTTTCTCCCATTCTGTAGGTTGTCTGTTGATAATTTCTTTTGTTGTGCAGAAGCTCTTTAGTTTAACTAGGTCCCACTTGTCAATTTTTGTTTTAATTGCAATTAAAAGCATGAATTTTCATATATTAAGGGCTCACTAAGCATTCATTATAATTAATGTAAAAGACTTGCACCCAGACATTCATTGTAGCTTGAAGTTTCTGAAAGTTACATTGAGAGGTGAAAAATCAGGTCACATTTACAAAATAAGGAAACGTATTGGCCCTATGCTCCTCCAGGGCAGCCCAGGATGGTAAAAACACAATAAATCAATGTCTTCCAAATTCTGAGGACTGTGAGAAAATGTGAATCTATAAGAGCCAATTCTTCAAGGTTGATCCTAAATGAATACTGGGCCTAAATTTAAAATGAAACCAAGTGGCCATTTGCTGACTAGGGGTCACACACATACTCTGAGTTCCCTGAAAACCAGAAACTTTTTATCTTTAGGACTTTCAGAGCTTGGCTGTACCAACCAACCAGGGCTCAGCTATATTGACCAATCAGACCTAAGCAAGTTTGAATTCTTCATTTGCATAAATGGACCTGATTAGGAACCTGGGTGGGAACTTTTGCTATAAAACCTGAGTCTTCCCTTGGTTCTCTCTTTGAACTCACTTTGGTTTTACACAAAGAATGTGTAGAACTCCTGTTTGCAAACTGTTTACTGGAATGATATCTTTCCTCCAAATTTCTTTTCAGGGAACTTTTGTTTACAGGATGAATGGTTTCCAAAAGAAAATTCCAAACTCTGGAGAAGAGGAATAGAAACAGGTTGATGGAGGAAAGGGTCATAAGCCAAAGAATGTAGGTGCTTTCTCAAAGCATTCTCAAAAGTGGGCAAGGAAATGAATTCTCCCTGGATCGTCCAGAAGGAACTTAGCCTTGCAGATATGTTTTAGAGTCTGATCTCAAGAACTGTCCAATAAATGTAGGTTTTAAGCCACTACATCTGTGGTAATTTGTTTCAGCCACAAGAGAAAATACACTGGCCAAATACATTAATTACGCAGGCAAAGGAAAGACATTTTACATATTCATGCCCCCAAAACTTTACCTCCCTTTCCCTATGTAGGGAATTTACTATGGTGGTGTTTTAATAAATAAGGATCAGGCATGAGAAAGAGTATGAGGTTCAGGAAAGAAGAGACCCAAAGGACAGGGGCATGAGGGGAAGTCCTATGATTAGGGATGTTCCAGGTAGATAACTGTGTAGACTGTGAGAAAGCAACTGCTCCAGGCTGGAGCAGCTCCAGGCAGGGGCACAAAAGACTGGCTGACTGCTTATCACTCATTTTACTGTCTTGGGTGATGGTTAAGAGCTCAGCTTCAAGAACCCTGAATACCTGGTTTTCCATCCCAGTTTCATTACTTACTAACCAGGCAGATACATTTAACTCACTTTTATTTTTATTTTTGCAAAGTGGAAATAATGATAGTGCTACCATATAGGTTTGTCTTGAGGGTGAAATTAGTATGTGCAGCATGCTTAAAACAGAAAAATTTATGGATAGGCACATGGAATATTGACCAAATATTCCCCTTCTTGAGACAGTTACAAACAGTATTATATACAAGTTTCAGTTGTCAAAAATATTTACCATCATAATTATGTAACCATTAAGTATTGATTTAATCAACTTGTAGCTTAAGTATTTTGGATAGCTGGGAGAGGGATTTGAAGTGTGTGTGTAGCGGGGGGATGAGTTGGGTGGATAGAAAATCAAATGATAGGGTATCAAATTGTAAAATCAAGACATAGCAGTATAAGCATATTGTTTAGAAATAGAAGAGTTAATAATGATTATCTGTAGGGATTATAACCTTGCACTGGGGCAAAGTAAAGCAGGGAACTATTGATTTCCATTATAAGCCTCATGGCACTATTTGACTTTTTCAAGTATGTTCCTGTATTCTTTGATAAAATTTTAAAAATTGAATAATGAAGTTAATGTAGGTGATAGAACACATTTAGCAAGGTGGAGCAAGCCACATAAGCTTCATTACCAAGAGTGTGAAAACTGGCATTCTTGACTCTATTGTCCAAACATATGAGCAAAAATTAACTTTAGAGTTTTGGAAATTGCAAACATCCAGCAACCTTTAGGTTTCATTTCTAATGATGCTTCAAAATCAGTGGTGCCCAACCTGGGTTGCAAATAAAAATGGGCCAGGCTATATACATTGTAGCCACCTGGGAGACTTTTAGACCTCCAATGACCCAGCTTCACCCCAGACCAATTAAATCAGAAACTCTGGGGTTAGGCTCCAGAGTACTAAACGTCAATACTGAAAGGTTTCCAGGTGATTACAATACGTGGCCAAGATTGAGAATAACTGTATGAAAACATTTTGGGCAGCGCTTGGTCAGATTTCCTTTTACTTACTGGCTTTTTAGTAAGCAACACTCCATATTTATCAGCTTGGTAGGAGCGGACATGGAACTGGTAGTAGTTTGCAAAAATAAAGTGTGTGTCACACACGTCCTAAACATTGAAAAATATATGTGTTTCCTAAATATTATAATTTGGATTAGAATCATGTTTGATCACTTTGGTTAATTTTGTCAAACCATAAATAGCTTTACACTAGTTTTTGAGTTATTGAATGCATGAGTCAGACTCCTAAGCCTTCGAGATTTAAACACTGATTGTTATGGCTTAAACACACTGATCTGTGTGAATGCAGAATTTCCTAATGAACTAATGAATAATAACTAAATTATACCAGGAAGACCCAGTATTAATTACCACATAATTCATATGGCAGTTTATAAATCAGATACAAAATCTAATAATTATAGGACAATTGTTATGTAATTACCTTGACTCTATATAGTAATTACAGTGTAATTTTGTCAATGGTTCACATCACATAACCATAAAGAGAACTGCTATTACTTTGCACCCTGGAGTTGAAAATAAGTAGCAAGATTATTCTAGCATCAGTTTAGAGAGGAATCAATATATGATCTTCCCTCTAGATTAGGATCCAGAAATAATGTAACCGTTTGTTTCTAATCTGCTCCGTATTTGTGACTGTACTAATTGATATAAGAGATATTTAATATGTAATGCAGTTGGTGCAGGAAGAATTTAAGCATTCTACCTGCTATTCTGAAATAGACAACATTTAAGTTAAATCATATATAACTAAGCAGATGAAAGCAGATATTCATGAGGAGGAATGTACTTTGATTAAAAACAAATTAGAACATAGTAGAAAATGCTGCTTTTCCTGTGGAGATATAGCTTAAATAGTTTTATGCTAGTTGAATTTGAGTTGGTCAATGCCTTCTTTAGCAAGTGTGTAAACTATCATTTGCTTAGCTCCCCTCAGAAAAGTTTTTTGTTTTTGTTTTCATTTTTAAAAAGATATATTAGCTCCATTAATAGCACACTATACTGGAGAGGTAAGAACACTCCACTGGAGAGGAGGAAAATGACTAGAATTACCATGAAATGGGTGAAGACCTTATATCATCCTCTGGCCAGCACAGGGGTTTACAGTCTAAGACCAAATCTAAAGAAGGACAAAAGTTTCTGCCCATGTTCAAGTAGAGTTGGGATTGATACTGGGAGAATGAGATGTGGGTGAATTTCCTATGGTTCCTTACAGAGAGAATGTGTGGTGCCAATAGCTTAGCAGAGTCATTTCATGGATTTCATGAACATGGCAAAGAACTGGTGAAAAGACACTGAAGTATTTACCAGACCTTCACGACTCATGAAAGTGATTATTCTCTGACTGTAAGCTCCCTGAAGAAGAGATAAATCCCAAGCAGGATGGGATCCAGGAAATATCCAGGAAAGCTTGTCTTTTCAATAGAGTCATAGAGGTCCTCAGGCAGAGAACAGCCCCTTCTGATACTCTAGGCTGAGATTCTAAATATCCTGGACTTGAAACATTGTATTCTCATTGTTTATAGTGGTGAAAGTAACAGCCACAATACTATTTGGAATGTTATAAAAATGAAGCTCAATTAAATAATGAAAGTCAGTCTATTGACTCTGAAAGTTTTTCTGCCAGGTAAAGATGGCCAACTTCCCTGGTAGCTAAGCTGCTGAACATTTATAATTGGAAACCATAGAAAGGATCATTTTTTAAAAATAGAGATAGGGTCTCGAACTCCTGGGCTCAAGCAATCCACCTGCCTCAGCCTCCCAAAGTGCTGGGATTGTAGGTGTGAGCCACAGTGCCCAGTCAGAATAAACTTTTAATGACTCCAGAAAAATAGGATGCCAACTCTCTGATTCCTGTCTACCCAAACACACTGAGGTAATTGCTAGCTAATCGATAAAGCAACGAAACTACAAACAGGATGCAAACCCCACTGAGGCAAGGCTTTGTAAATGGAATGAGTGGTCCCATGAATGTATTGTAGCCTTCCTGTAGCCTGCAGTGACCACCACATCAGGTAAAAAGGAAAGAACACCAAAGCTTGGCCTTTAATACCCTCTAGAAAGTGTCTTCAATATTAGCTGGAGTCTTTCCTTCCACTGTGCACTTTTGTGTATCCTACACTTAGTTATCAAGGATACTCATCTTTTGTTTAACATTCCCTTTAATTTCCTGCTACCAGATTCTTTCTTCCCCTTATCTGAAGTGGCCCATCCATCAACATGTCTCCTGTCCAGACCTCACTCATTATTTAAGCGCTCCATTTTCTTAGTCAAGAGACTCCTTTTGCTTCTTGGAAACTCTGCTCTTGTACTACATATATTTTTATATGCATTTTCTCTATTGGCTTATAAATTCCTGGAGGCAAGTGCCATGATTTACACATTTTTAGATTATTTCCAAGTAGTTATTGTTGAATTTCACAATACAATAAAAACTAGAATGAATGTACCTGTTGATATTTCCTTTGTTAAATTTAAGCATTTGTAGGCTATATTAATTATTAGACCCCAGGATTACTGATCTATGGAGTAAGCATTTTTAGTGCAGGTTTTTGAACCCTCTCCTTCCCTGAGAATGTTTCTTTTATCCTAATATGACTATTAACAACTTGCTTTTTGAAGGACACCGAAGATTTGATGTAGGAATTCAAAGTGATCTCTCTGATAGTAACAGAAAACCTGATTCTGTTATTAGACATAGATGACACTCTTTGAAGAAGTTAAAGCTTAGCTCCTCAAAGACTTTAAGTCACATCAGATTTGAAAAAGGAAACAGTGGAGAAGAGCTCCTGTGTGCTGTCAGAAGAGCCCCAGATGGGGGTTCGGGAGAATGAGGGGCTTCCTCTTTCCCTCAATAACTGGGCTGTATGAGTTGGGTTATGCCAGACAACACCTGAAAAATGAGTGGTTTAGGTTATATGAGCTTGAAGACACCATGAGTCTTAAGAAATCATGCTGTGAGTACATTTCTTGGAGAAAAAATACTGTAATGAAAATAAAACAGCAGGCTGGGATAAAAATCTTGAACTATTGGAAAAGGTAATTATGAAGAAATAATAATTTTTCTCCCAAAGCTTGGCCTTAGGAAAATTACGGCTAATGTATTTATTTATTTATTTTTTTGAGACAGGGTCTCTCTCTGTTGCCCAGGCTGGATTGCAGTGGTGTCATCACAGCTCACTGCAGCCTCAAACTCCTGGGCTCAAGTGATCCTCTTGCCTCAGCCTCCAGGGTAGCTGGGACCACAGGTACATGCCACGACACCCAGCTAACTTAAAAACAAAAATTTATTTATTTTTGGTAGGGACAGAGTCTCACTATGCTGTCCAGGCTGGTCTCCGACTCGGGCTCAGGCAATCCTCCTGCCTTGGCTCAGGCTCTCAAAGTGCTGGGATTATAGGCATGAGCCACCATGTCCGGGCAGCTAATTTAATTTTAATTCTCTCTCTTTCTTCCCTCCCCTCAGTTATTTATCCTAGTTTCAATTCCAAGGGCATTACTTTCAGATTTCTGGACTGATTACAATGGAGTTATTTAAAAAAGCAGTTTAAGGTATTGCTCTTCCTTTAGAACTCTTTGTAGAAGGCACAAGAATCCTGGCAAGTTTTCAAGGCGTAAAGAGATTCTAGTGTTGGGATTTGTAGGAATTCTCCCAGGTGATGAAGCCCTCAGAAGTTTTCCCACTTCCCCCACCCAAATCTCCTGAGAGAGTTGAACAATTAGGATAAATCACTGGTTCTCATTATTAGACATAGATGTCTATGATTAAGATTTCAATCATACACCTGAGGAACTTGGCTCTTGGTTAAAAACCAATGGTGATTTTCTTTTTTGAAGCTTGACTGTCAGCAATTACAAAGGTTTTCCCTGGCAGGCTCTTAGGAGAAGCTGCTCTCCCCACACCAGACTCAGTGCACAACCAGTGTATTCTAATGTCTGCAGGGAGCTGCACTCAAGCCCTCAGGCCCCTCTGGCAGGTCATGCTCTTCCCTATTTGCATTCCTGGCGCTGGCACCTTCATTCCTGAGGTTTCCCAGGCTGGATTGTAGTGTTGTCATCACGGCTCACCGCAGCTTCAAACTCCTGGGCTTAAGTGATCCTCTCGCCTCAGCCTTCAGAATCGCTGGGACCGCAGGTGCATGCCACCACACCAAGCTAGCTTAAAAACAAAATTTGAGGCCTTAGGCAGGGGGCTTCTTCATGCTCCTCTGCTGAGGCCTCCCTGTGCACGGAGGAAGGGGAAGTCTTGAAGACCCAGTCCATGTCCGCTCCTAGCCCTCCCTCTTTGCCCTCCTCCCCCCACCTCAGAGTCCATGCAGCTGTTTGGGGCTCCCTCAACAGTGAGACACCCCCGCAGTGTGTGTCGATTCATCTGACCCACTGTCAGTGTGCTGTTCTCTGGGGGAAGATGGAATAAAGGGAGTTGGTACAGGTTTCTCAGGTTTTAGCCTCTTATAAGCGATTGCAGTAAGTGATTGAAGGTTTAATCCTTTCACTTTTGGCTTGTTGCTTTAATCGGCTCCTCTAACACCTGGAGGCTCAGCTCTCTCTCCCTGCTCAGCTGAGCTCCTACCAGCACCTCTGCTTTCCAAACAACTGAAATATTTGAGCTCAGGTCAGTTTCCCAGAGCACGTGGAATGAAAATGTTTCAATAATCAACACACGACAGGGCCTAGCAACCAGCCGAGGATGACAGGAACTCAACCGCCTTTCAGTCCAGTCGCTTATATCTGAGCATGAAGCTCCCTGTCTGTCACAAAGGTTCTGCACTGCACATTCCATGACCATGAAGACTTATTGCATGAGCATCAATTTTCCCTACAGCCTAACGCAATACCCAGTATGTAATTAGATGTTAATATATATTAATTTAAAAGCAATCATGATATGTCAAGTAATTAGTGAATATGTTGCACAAACATTTTTATCAGGTTGTTACTCTTTCTGTCTCATTGGGGCAATTAACAAAATAAATCCACAATAATATTCATATAAGATGAATTAGAATATAATTATTTGGAAAGTTTAGATTATTAAGGAAAATAATTCAAAGCAATATATTCTTAGAAACACACGTAGGCTAGCAGTTATCTGGGAATATATATGTTACTAGAGTTCTTCGGTTTTTAAGAATGCTGAGGTCCCCAAATTGACCCAGTTATCCTGTCTGAGCTAAATACACATTCACTTTTGCTTCCTAGTTCTGGGTGTTGAGGTTGCAATTGACTTTCTCTTCTCTTGACCAAGATTTACTTGAAATAAACCTAGAGGTGGTTTCCAAAACCATAGTATGATTTTGTGAGGGATTGCAGTATGGGGATGAAATATGTATGTTTTACAAAGTATAAATCTTTGGGCAGAATGAAATTCAGATTTTTGTTTGTGGATTCAGGGAAATTGTAGCAGGCTAGGTTGGTGCTTATTGGATTCTGAAAACATTTGATTTAACTGGATGAAGAAAATGCACACAATATCCACTTGTCTATCTAACAGAAAAATAGAAGGTCATTGATTTAGGGTCCTGCTCCAAAGAGAGAGCCCACTCTGGCAAGTGCACTTCAAGACCATTTGTAAATATGCTAAACAATAAGACAAAATTTCAAAGTATCATGATTACATGTTCTAGAGACATTTAGAACATCATCATTTTTCTAAGGAATGTCCCTACATACAAAATAAAGTCACTTTATACAAAATGAAATGACTTCTCCTCAAACTGCCTAGTAAAAGTAGCCAACAATAGTGTAGGTGACACCCCCAAATAATCCAAAGGTTATTTTAGATGCTCAACTGATTTATTTTCCTAATCATGTTTTTTTTTAAATCAGTTATTTAATTAAGTTCTTCTTAAGACATTTAGAACACCAATTTGTGAGGATAAATTCCATTTGTCAGGGCAAACACATGAGGAATAGCTTTGATTTTTGGTAAAATCTGTGAGTCCACAGCTTTCTCATCAATCTTGCACTGTCTGTATTCTCATATTTCTCTTTTTCTGTGTCGAAGATCTCACCTTCCTGGTGTCTGGGCTTCCGCAGCTGCTTCTTCCTGAAGTAAGCATCAGTAGGATGTTTTGGGATTTTTACATTGCTGATATCAATTTTGGTTGAGGTGGCAATGACAAGTTTCCGGTGTGTTCTTCATAGAGGAATTCGACTGAGGACCAGAGGTCCAGTCACAAGTAACAAGCCACTAGCCAGCTGCTTCAGGAAAACCACCCTCTTGCCCCTGTGGTGTCCAGTGAGGATGATCAGAATGGTCCTGGGGGTGATTCTGGCTCACAGTTTTCTCACGTGCTGATTGAAGGGTTTTGTGCAGTGGCTCAACAGCTTTCCAGGCGCATCTTCAGCAGAATATTATCTGGGCATTTTGTGAAGTTTAACCACCCGGGTACCACCGTTCTTGTCACTACCAACTGGTTTTGTAACAGTTGCAAGAACCTTCTCCTTCTTTTTCTTTTCAACCTTGGATTTAGTGGCTGAGTACTTCCTCTTGTACATGGCCTTTCTGGAATACATAGCAGATCGAGAATACCTGCCAATTCCTCTGACAGGGACAGGATTGTGGCTGCAATGGGGCTTCCCCTTCTTGGGCATCTTAGCCTTGAGGTTGTGCTTTTTCACCTTGCCACCAGCATCAGCCTTCTTAGCTTCGGGTTTCTTCTCTTTAGTATCGGCTTCTCCGCTTTTTCACCTGCCATCTTGCAAGATAGGAAAGAACCTTAATCATGTTTAATATCATTTGATGCCCGATAAAAATTCAGTACATTTTCCTAGTGTTCAAGTTTCATTTAATAATCATTTCATTAAAAAACCCAACATTTATAGTATGCAAAGTAATATTAAAAAAGGATTGTCAGATTTTGAAGGAAAAGACCCACTGAAATACAGCCCCAAATGTCATTCACAGCTGCTGAAAGTAAATTATATAATCTTCTGGGGAGTAATTTGGCATTATGAATGAAAAATTATATAATGTATATTTTTCAATACTGCAATTCCCATTCTAGAAATTTACCATAAAGAAATAATGTTGTATGCACAAAGATATGTATACCAAGAATATTTAACACAGTCTGGTTTATACTACCGAAGAAATGGAGCCAAATGAAATGTTCAGCAACAGTCTTGGTAGCATAAATGAGCAGTCCTCAAAAGTGATGATGCAGATCTATGTATTTTTAGAACATATTACTAAGTAGAAAGTAGTTCCAAAACAAAATGTATGGTATAAAACAATTTTCTAAGTTAAAAAGTGGTTTATTCACCTGTAGTAAAAAGCTGGCAGGCTGTGAATTAATTTTCAGTTGTGGTCATGTTTAGATGGTGGAATTATGCGTGATTGTTTTACTCATCTGTATCTTCTATTGTTTTCCCATAAGGAACATAAATTCCTTATCTACTCCAGGTATTATTCCTATAAGGAGTTAGGAAATAATTTCACCAATATTTTTTAGACAAAAGAGTCTTATGATTATGTAAAACATGCCACATTAGAAGAATTTTATTTAACGGACATTTCTATAGCACTTACTATGTTCCAGACAGTGTTTCTCTGCCATTTTTCCTGCCCATTCTCCCTTTCCTTCTTCCTTTCTCTTTTCCCTCCCTTCCTTAATTTATTCCCCTCCCTTTCCTCCTTTATATCATTTTTTATTGTGGTAAAATGTAGCATTTTTGGTGTATAGGTCTATGAATTTTGTTAAATACATATAATAGTATGGCATCACTACAGTCAATACACAGAACAGTTTCATCCCTCCACCCTCCCAATTCCTTTAAGTCCTTTTGTAGTAAACACCTGTTATCCTAGCCCTGGGAAACCACTGATCTCTTTTCTCCTCTTGTTTTACTTTTTCCAGAATGTTATATAATTGCAGTTATATAGTATGTAACCTTCAGAGTCTAGCTTCTTTTATTTAGCATAATGCACTTGAAATTTATTCACGTTAAGTGTATCAAGAGCTTGTTCCTTTTTATTGCTGAACAGTATTCAATTATATGGATATAGCACAGTTTGTTTATCCATCATCAGCTGAAGGACATTTGGGTTATGTTCAGTGTTTTGTAATAATGCATAAAGTAGCTTGAATATTTGCATACGGGTTCTTATGTGAACATTGTTTTCATTTCTCCTTGGGTAAATACCTAGGAGTGAAATTGCTGGATCATATTGTTAGTATGTCTTTAACTTTATAAGAAACTGCCAAAGTGTTTTCCAAAGGCGCTGTAACATTTTGCATTCTTGCCAGTAATATATGAGAGTTTCAGTTGCTCTGTCTCCTTGACAACATTTGGCATTGTCATTTTTCTAAATGTAGCAGCTTCTATTTTAAATATTTACAAATATTAATTCATTTAACTCTGTGAGATAAATAGTATTACTATCTCAATTTTATTAATGAAAAAATTGATATGGACATCAGGCTCCTCTCTCAAATTCACACAGTCTGTAAGTGGAGAGCTGAATTGGTACCCAGACAACCTAAGGCCAGAATATATGTTCTTAATATACTATACTATACCTCTCTTTCTGTCAATACGGGAAAGAAAGGCTTGCTATAATTCCAGTGAAAACTTGAAAGTTCATCATTTCTACTCTTGGAAAGTTGGCTAAAATTTATTGAGTTTTAAATTAATTTGCCAAACATGTACAGTGTGGCTCCATCTAGAACTATTCCTGTCAGCTAATTAAAGGATGTCAGTAGGCCGGCTCCTGAGAGATCTTTCAGAATACTGTAACTTGTTGGGTTCCCTGCGGTTCAGAGTCTTGCTCTCAGCCCTGCAAACCTAGAAATGTAATCCTTTTGCTATCCAAGAAATGACTGAACTCAGTCATGCTGGAGGACATAAGAGATAAAGTTCACAAGACAATGATATGTTAAACAAAATGGAAATTTATTAATTTATTGCGAGAAATATAATGACCAAAGGGAACAAATATTCATTTATATTTGACAGCACATCTTCCTGTAGAAAAACTGCATGGGAGCCAAATTATAATCAGAAGGTTCCTAGGTATGCCTAGAAACATAACTGGGAGAGTTCTCTGATTTTAATAGCCTGAAGCCTTTAAACACTCAATCATAAAACTAAGTCCTGGAAGTTTGTGCCTGAAATATCCTTATTTGTTCCTTCCCACAGTATGATTTAGTCTGCCTAGGGGCCACAGAGAATGATGAAGTGTCTGCCTTTCCGCTGCTCTAGCTCTGATCAACCCAACTTCTCACTGATGTCTTTGTTTCTTAGACATGGATCTTCTAATTACAATCAATTCATATTCATCTTCAATAACCCAATATTTGTTGATCATCTATCGTGTGCCAAGACTGTTCTATGAGTATGGGATAGAGCTAATTTCAGGAATCATTTTGTCTTTTTAAAATTTTGAAGTATCTCTTCTTGTCTTTTTTTGGATCCATTTTATGTTGAGATATATATATATATGTATATATATGTATGTATGTATATATATGTATGTATGTGTATATATATGTATATATATATGTATGTATGTGTGTGTGTGTGTATATATATATAAAATCTCTAAGGAGAAACTCATTTATGAGGTCTTGATGGTCACCTCACTGTGGTTCCCATGTACTGACTTAGAACATGTATTTTTGAATTTGTATGATTATTATTAATTTTTGTCTTTCTACACAACCCCTAGTTTCAACTCTAACCAATGTGTGAATATTTTAAAAGTCTAGGTCCTTTGTACAACACATTTGGTCTTCTGAGCTGAATCCATGAATTTCAATTGTCTAAATGTCACTGTCTGGACATTTTGCTAGCTTCTCAAACTCAATGACTCACATCAAACCTGCCATTTTCTTCTAACAAACCAGCTTTTATTTTTTAAAAAATCTGCATTTAAAATTGTGTTTTAAATGAACGCAATCAGCATCGTCCAGCCATTCCATATTTTAATTCTGTTCCCATTTTTCCTGCACCCCATGTCATGTCAATGAGTTGACAAATTGGATGAAAAGCATTTTGTAAACCAAACCCTTTCTTTCATTTGGCTGCTTATTTTCAATATGTCCAACCAACTAGTGACATATATCATTAGACACTGAAACTGGTGTGTGTTGTACTGCAAGGTTCTTGAGCAGTAGATCATTCTTTTTTCTTGCTGTTGTCTCAGGGAACTTCTCTGGGCTCTTTCTGTTTGCAATTTTGGGTCCCAACCACATCCTGCCTCAACACCACTTGCAATGGACTGAATCAAAGTGTCTGTGTTAAAATCCTAACCCTTAAGATGATGGTATTAGGAGGTGGGGCCTTTGGGGGGTGATTGGTGCCCTATAAAATAGGTCCTAGAAAGATCCCTTGCCTCTTCCACCATGTGAGGAAACTGCCAAAAGATGGATATCTATGAATAGGAAGCAGGTCCTCACCAGACACTGAATCTGTTGGTGATTTGATCTTGAACTTCCCAGTCTTTAGAATTGTGGGAAATAAATTTCTGTTGTTTATAAACCACCCAGTCTGTGGCATTTTGTTATAGCGGCCTGAACAGTCTGAGACAGAGAGCCCAGAGCTTTGGTTTTGTGTGCTGTTTCTTTCTTTGGTCGAATATTTCCTTTAGACCTTTTTCTGAGCTGCCATGTATCTATGCTTCTCTTCCTGTTGCCCCAAGTTAGCCCTACTTCATTCCTACCCTTCCTACCACTCTCCCCTTCTATGTTTTTCTTCTTTTTTCATCAGGAATCCAGCCCCATTTGACCTCCTTTTCCCCTGCTTTCCTCATTTACCATTCCCTTCCATCCTGTCTTATTCCTTCTATTCTCTGCCTGCCTTGGGTGGAGACTGAAACAATGCCCTCACTCCCTTGGTCAAAATGAAACCAGCCCATAGATGACAGTTTTTGAGACAAATAAAAATTGATCCTCCTGGTCTTAAAGCTTGAAATTTACATTTGTCTTATCTGAGTTCCCTCTTAGGAAACTGACTCTCAGGCCTCCCAGATGGTATTAAGGAAGTGAAACTCATCTTCCTTACCTCTCCCTAATTCCTGTTTTACCAACTGACTGCCTGCTTTCTGTTGACCAGCTCCTCTTTCTTACCATCCTAATCCCTAATCCCTGCTTTCTCACACATACTACATTCCTTCTCTGCTATGTAAACCCCCAATTTTAGATGGTTTGAGAGATGCGTTTGAGATTGATCTCCCATCTTTTTGGCTGAAGCACTTGAATAAAGCCTTCTTCTTTGGCAATACTTGTTGTCTCTGTGATGGGGTTTCTGTGCAGTGAGCAATGGGACCTAGACCAAATGGCTGGTGTTTTGGTATCAAAAACATTCAATATCTCTCAATGAAAGAAAACATTTCTCATTCACATTTATGAGGCACTTCAACCATATTAGCCAAGTTTGTACTTTCAGGCTTAATTTTTATTATTTTCCTACAAAGAGCCTCGTTCCATTTAAAATAGGGGTCCTTCTTTTTTCCTAGTATTCCCTAACATGTCCGCATCCCTTTTCCCAAACTTCAATTCATACTGATTGCTAAACTTATGAAGTTATTTTATTTCTCCTAATTGATGGAAGTCCTACTCCTTATGCAAATTCATGTTTTCTTTAAGTCTTTTCTATTACCCTTGATCAGAAAAGTATCCTCTGCAGCCTTCAAATTAGGAAAGAACTTTGTTTTTAGGTCAATTTTACTATACTTAAAAGTTATTTGTATACATTTTTCCCACTCTGCCAGATTATACATTTAATGAAGTTTCAAGCATATTAGTTTTCAAATACTCAACCATGGACTAGTGGGTACTTTACCATTCGAGGAGCTTAATGACATAAATCTACTGTGTGAAAGAATGAGAAGATGAGTCACTGCAGCCTTAAACACGATTTCATTTGTTCTCCATTCATGTCATCATCTACTATGTAATTTTCTTCTTAAACCAGAGACATGTAGATTTCAGGCAAAGCCTGTACTTTGTTCTCTTCTGACCCCTTAAAGCCTTCATTATGCCCCACAGACCTAGGGTGCCCATCTTTCCTTGAATTTCTCCTTTTCTGGATCTAGTTATACGTGTGCAGGCTGCAGCCCTCCACTGTCCACTGGCTATGTGGGAATTTCCTGATACAATAATCTGACCTGAAATGTCACCAAGGCAGGTTTGGGCTGGCTTCCAGCCCAATGCAAACAGCAGGGATAAACAGCAGTGTTCTGCTCAACACTTCACCAGTTAAGCTGTCATTAAAAGGGAAACACCTGCTACCCAGAGAGTCTTTATATTTTACTTTACCACAGGGGTCTTCTCTGGACTTGTCAACTGATTGCTTTGGGGCTAAGCTGGAAAAAAATACATTATCTCCCCATGTAACTATCAAGTAAGGAAAGAAGTTTCCTCTGTGTGATTAGACCCATCCACAAAACAGGCCCATGGAGAGTCTAGAAGAACATGCTATACCTTAGAAAAGGAGAAATACACTATGTTTGCTGTTATATGGAAGAAGAGAACAGGAGCATACAAAATCATTGTGCAGTTAGAATCCTGCAGTCAGTTGGAGTCTCTGTTCCACAGCAGCTTCCTCTGTAATTCCAAAATTATTTGTTACAGAATAAAAGATAGCAACATAAGGTGCTAGATCTGCAATCTTTTGAATTAGTATAGCTTGGGAGGTAGGAGGCACAAAGGTTAAAGTCCTAATTCTACATATTATTGCTTTACTTTGGGCAAAAGTTTTAACTTTCTCAAGACTGCTTTATCAGTATAATGTGGTGGTGAGGCCAAGTAATCTTAGAATTTACCTATTTAATTCCAGTAGTCTAAGACTCTGTGACTAGTTAATGCTTCTTGACTCTGTACTTAAGCAACTTAAAGTGCGAATTGGTAGCATTTTATAAGGCAGTGCGTTTTCTCAAGATTTACAGTGAAATCTCTGTGGTTTGTGCTTACAGAGGGGGCAGTGAATAGTTTGAATTATGGGATACTTTTTCAGAAATGCCATCTTTATTACTTTCAAATGGGTGCAGTAAATATGCTAGGCTAACAAAACGTTGCCAGGATATTTTGCCAAATATAGATCTTTTTGTGAACATATCAGAATGATATGTAATTAACTTTTATTGTTTATACATCAGTGTGAGCTTTTAAAGTGCTTAAAAAGAGTTTGTTGCCTTAAATGGTTTTGTGAGTACCTTCGTTGCCAGACTTTTATTTACACGATGCCCTATAAGATGGTTAATTTTATGTGTCAACTTGACCAGGCTAGGGGATGGCCAGACGGCAGTGAAAACATTATTTCTGGGTGTATCTGTGAGGGTGTTTCTGGAAAAGATGAGCATTTGAATTGGTAGACTGAGTAAAGAAAATGGCCCTCAGCAATGTGGGTGGGCATCATCTAACCTGTTAAAGGGCCTGAATAGAACAAAAAGGCAGAGGAAGGGCGAGTTTACTCTATCTGTTTGAGCTGGGCATCTGTCTTCTTCTGCCCTTGGACATCAGCATTCCTGGTTCTCAGGCTTTGGGACTTGCATTGAATTTCACCATTGGCTTTCTTATTTCTCCATCTTGCAGGTGGCAGATAATGGAATTTTTCAGCCTCCATAGCTGTGTGAACTAGTTCCTATAATAAATCTCCCTTTATATATAACATATATCTATATCCTGTTAGTCTGTTTCTCTGCAGAACTCTGACTCATTCATTCTATGTAAAATTTGTTGGTTAAAAGGTAAAACTTACATTTTCTTATTATTAAAACTTCAAGATAAGTGATGTTTAGGATGTTTTGAATGATGATGAGTTGGGATTACAACATAGCTCTGGATACACACTTCTTTCATGTAAGCATTCATTACTAAGCCTTGAAACCACGAAGTCTTTGCAAGCTTTGTCTTCATAGTTACGCCATTGTTTCAGAAGTTTTGCTTCCTCATTTTGTTCTAGCTTGAGGTACAAGTTGATGCTGAAAAATAAAAGAGATTCTTTGAGGTTCAAGCTCTTTGACTCAGTGTGCCATTGGCTATCTCTCCTGCTCCCACCCTCTTACCCTTTGTCCTACATGTCCTAGTACCTAGTAGAACCTTAGACCCCTTCTTGTCTTACTGCCCCATAGGACCTGCCAACTCCAAGGCTCCTAAGTACAGTTCAGGAAATACCAGTTCCTATGGGGTAAAGCATTGCAGTTTAGGAAATGATAACTGATGGTCACTGACAACCAGGGTTACCATCAAAGTCTTTAAATTCTTTATTAAGTCAGTAACTGTTGAATACCTACCATGAATAAGCTATAGGGGTTGTACAAAGATGAATAAGATACAGCCCCAGTCTCAGGAAACTTGTTTGCAACTTGGTAGAGGAGGCTAATTTCATCATAATTGTATCTCTAATTTCTAGGAGAATGGATTTTTTTTTTTTTGTCCTCAGGCTTTAATACCCACAGAACTATGCAGAAAGTATCACCTTCACAGCACTGGTGTGGTCACCTTTTTCATTATGCTTACACTATGCCGAGGGAGAAGATGACCTCAATACATTATTACTTGGCTTAATTGCAGCTTCCATAAAACAAATAATACACAAAATTATTTGAAACCACAAAGCAGCCTAATGACATATTGAAAATCCCAGATCAAGTGAATAGGGAGAAAGAATATGGAATTTTTTTCAAAACAAAAATTAAACTGAATTTTTGGGGGTAGGTTGGGGTGGGTGAGGATTTTGGCCTAGGTCATCAGCATGAACTGATAGAACATGTGAAGGCAGAAAAAACAATGAACTAGGATCTTTCTACCATCCTCCATCAAGACGGAATCTTTGCTGACCTTTCCATATTACTTCACTGCTTCTAATAGTGTTGGAAAGTAATAGCACAAAAGCTTGCTTTATCTGGTGATGGAGAAGCAAAGCCAGACTTTCTCTTTGTGTGGTGTGACCCAAGATACCTCAAGGCTAAGATGACTTCCAATAGTTCTTTCCCTTAACCCACAGCAACCAAAATTCCCACCATTAGAATTTTTATGTAGGTGCTTTCTAGAGATGTGTACTCTGTGGATAGATCAAGATCTTATTATTTATTTAGAAGTCTAATGTCTTGGGTAATGTCTTAGTCTGTTTTCCACTGCTGTAACAGAATACTTGAGAGTGGGTAATTTATAATAAAACAGAAACTTATTGGTCAAGGTTCCAGAGGGTGGGAGGTCCAAGACCAAAAGCTGCATCTGGTGAGGGCCTTCTTGCTGTGTCATCCCATGATGGAAGGGCAAAGAGAGGGCATGAAAACATGAAAGGACTAAACTTGCTTTTATAACAAACTTACTCTTGCAATAAAGAACTTATTCCTGCAGCAATGACATTAATCTATCAATGAGGTCAAAGCCCTCATGGTCTAATCACCTCTTAAAGGTCCAGTCTATCAATATTGTTGCATTGGAGACTGTTTCCAACACATGCTTTATTGGAACTTCCAGATAGCAGGGCTTTGGTGATCGGAGAGTCCATTAAGGATCACTTTGATCTAAGGGAGAGATATGAGCTGGCAAAAAATAATAAGAAAGTGATATGGTTTAATGAATGAAGTGTGGATGGCAGAGAAAGGAGAGAAAAACAAACTAGAGCTGCTCTAAAATCTCAGTGACTTTAGAAAAATGTGTCAAAGGCTTTGGCCATTGAGAGGTGGAAGGTCTCTGCCTTCTCTCTTCTTTACCTGTTTCTTATCAATATGTATGGCTGATATTACTTAGCATTAAATGGTAACATGTTTTTTCATGCTTGCTTGTGGGATGGGAGCTGATGGTTTTGCTATGAGCCAAACCAGGCAGCAAGAGACACTTCACTGGGATGGGTTAAATCCATGGATTTAATATATCATTGAAATGGGTACCAGATTATGTAGGTTCTTGGCCTGGCTCTGCTGGGAATTACTGTGTGGCCCTAGGCAAGTTTGTTTTTCTTTCTAGAGACCCATTTTCTTTAACCACACAATGGCCAGGACTGGTGGAGAGAGGGACCATATAGGAGTAGCTGCCTCAATTCTAATGGAAGCTTATACCCTATTTCATAAAAGCAGAAAATGCTGTGGTATCTGAGAACTGGATCTTATATTTACCAGTATCTCAGAAATAAAATTCAATTTCAGCAAGAGATGGTTCTAAACACTCACATGCTACTTGGGGGAATCTAATGCACGTAAAAGCTGAGTACAAGGCTGCAAATCCCCTTCCAAGCCTTCTTCACCTGCTGAGTCATCTTCCAAAGTCTGGATATGTCGCTCTTGGGATATGTCCAGCTTGCCTTGAGCTAGGCAGCAGGCATCTAGTCAGGGTAGAAGCTTGGATTTTAATATAACAACTGGAGCCAATTTACAGAAGCAATATGATTTTCTAAATTATTGGAATTAGCTAGTCAAGCCTGGGAGTTACAATCACTCACAGGCTCACAAACCCTAATAACATCTGGCAAACTCCAACAGGGGCAGAAAGAAACACACACACATGCACACACACACACACACACACACACACACACACACACACACACACCCCACATACCCAACAACAAGCAAATAAACAAAAAACAAACCCAAGGCATTCACATCCTTTTTTAGTATGACATCCTTAAGGTCACCATGTCAAGGGACTGGAGGAAATTAAAAGGAAGCTTCTCAGAGGACACTGCTTACAAGGACTCCTTTACTTATAGCTTGTTAATTTTCACAGTACAGTGGCCCTGGGTCATGAATTAAAGAAACAGATGAAAAAAAATATTGTGCTTTAAACTGTACTGGAGGCCCCTTGCATACTCCTGTGCCTTTTGATGAGAAACATTAAACATTTTTAATTTAGCACGTCAATTTGAAAATCTAATTTTTTTTTAATGCTTTGTAGCAGCAGACGCGTTCACGGTGCTGTCACTACCATAGAAGAATTATGAGAAACTTGAACCGCAAAAAGTAAATTAGAAAAATCTCATTTCAGTTACTCTAAAAAGAGGGGAAATTAGATTTTGATTAAAATCACTCACACATACAATTTTAGGTAAACTAATTTAGCAAGACTGACTATATAATTTTTTTTCCTGCCAGTATGTCCTTTTAATACTGGCTGTGAGGTATTTGTACCCATAACCTTTCTTCCAACAAGTGGATGAAAAAAAGAAACTCTAATAAAGTGGCCTCTTGACCACTGTGTGCAAGGCCTGGTAGGGAGAGATTAAAGTAGTGTATTTGTCAATATAACAGGCAGAAGCTGAGAATGAATTAAGACTCCTTGTACAAGTCTTTTTTAGCTGGTTCTTAGCTTTGCCTTTTCAACTATTTTTTTTTTAAGGTTTCAACTTGGAAATTTTTACTTTAAGGAATGATGTGTCAGCTAATGTAGGGGATTAATTGCATCATTAGTGCTGCATAATGTACAGTCCATGGCCAGAGGCCCCAGTCTGGGTGACACAAATGCTGCCACCTCCAAGGTGGGACGGGAGCACAGCAACTGACAGTTCTCATTAGTTAAAGGTAGACCCACATCCTCTACAAGGGTGTTGCCAGTTGCAGTGAAACGATGCATAAAGATGTGTTTTGTAAACCATAAAGTGTTACCCAAGACTGTAGTGTCAGTATTATTCTTCTGTCTGAGTTCAAATTACTGCCTTCCGGGGTCTGAGCTTGGTCCTCTGAAATCCCAGCATGGAATCTAGGTTTTAGTTATTAAGCATCTTGTACCAAACCTCATTTTGAAAATAGCATTGTTAATGAATTCAAAACTTTTAAATTAAGGCTGAAGGGCAAATAGTTAACTCTCTGAAAGAACAGGAATGGCTGGTGTATAGAAGATTGTGCCCATAACTGATCTCCCTCCCTACTGAGCAGAATACTTGGAGAAACAGGTTTCCTTGAACTTGCCAGTGAGGTGTGATGAGACGTGCATGATGTAATATATATGGGAGTGATATGGTCAGTCTCTGTGTCCCCACCCAAATCTCATCTTGAATTGTAATCCCCATAACCCCCACGTGTTGAGGGTGGAACAGGTGGAGATAATTGAATCATGGGGGTGGGTCCCGCCATGCTGTTCTCATGATAGTGAGTTCTTTTTATATGGTTTTATAAGGGGATTCCCCTTTGCTCGGCACTCATTCCATCCTGCCACCCTATGAAAATGGTGTCTGCTTCTCCTTTGCCTTCTGCCATGACTATAAGTTTCCTGAGGCCTCCCCAGTAATGCAGATCTACGAGTCAATTAAACCTCTTTCCTTCATATTAATAAATTACTCAGTCTTGGGTATTTCTTCATAGCAGTTTGAGAACAGATTAATACAAGGTGCCTTTGAAAAACATAACATATAATGTATAGGTAAGATACTATTTAAAAAGAAATAAGGCTGGGCGCGGTGGCTCACACCTGTAATCCCAGCACTTTGGGAGGCTGAGGTGGGCAGATCTCGAGGTCAGGAGATTGAGTCCATCCTAGCTAACATGGTGAAACCCCGTCTCTACTAAAAATACAAAAATTAGCTGGGCATGGTGGCATGCACCTGTAATGTCAGCTACCTGAGAAGCTGAGGCAGGAGAATCACTTGAACCCGGGAGATGGAGGTTGCAGTGAGCTGAGATTGTGCCACTGCACTCCAGCCTGGCAACAGAGCAAGTCTCCATCTCAAAAAAATAAAAAAATACAAAGAAACACAGTATAAAAATAACAGTTCAGTACGATGTCTGTAAGTAGCAGAAAGACAAGGAGGGTTGAAAGAGAGCTGTTATTTACTAATCATTGTCACCTGGATGTCCACTCTTCTCCAATCCTGGCATGACACAGAAAGATAGATAAGATCGAATCTGGAAATAGAACAGGGGAAGAAAAGAAAGTAGAAAATAATTAGAAATGAAAGAGTAAATTAGGCTAGAGAAGTTAGAAATTGAGAAAATAGAAGAAGAGAAAGATACAGGAAAGAGAGAAAGGAAAAAAAAAAGCAAGAATCAGAAAAACAGAGGGGAAAGGAAGAAGGTGGGAGGGATGATCTTGACTTTTCTTCATGAGCCTAGTCCATTTTGACAACATTTTGGTCAAATAAGCCTCATATATCACTTTCAGTCTTGGAAATAACAGAAACCTTCTTAAAGCCTTCTTTAAAACTTCCATAATAGAAAAGTACCAGGACATTTTTTTCACTGGGCATCAGTCTCTGCAGTTGTCTCTCTCAGCTTTGAGTCCGTGGCCCATCCCTATAAGCACTCCCTTGCAAGCACCATAACTTGTCTCTCTTTTCCAAAGCCCTGCTAGAACCCAACTATTCACCTTCTGCTTGTTCATCACAGAGTAACTAAATATTTTTGGATAGAAACCATACAACAGAACAGTGAATGCTTTTTAAATTAATGATTGCCAAGATTCAGAATAACAGGTGACTGTTTATTATTTTATTTTCTAGAGACAGACTCTTGCCTTGTCACCCAGGCTGGAGTGCAGTGGTGGGATCACATCTCACTGCAGCTTCAGCCTCCCAGGCTCAAGCAATCCTCCTGAATAGCTGGGACCATAGGTACATTCTACTACACCTGGCTAATTTTTATTTTGTAGAGATGGAATCTCCCTATGTTGCCCAGGCTGGTCTTGAACTCTTGATCTTAAGAGAGCCTCCCACCTTAGCCTCCCAAAGTGCTGGAATTACAGGCGTGAGCCACCACACCTGGCCAACAGGTGACATTTCATGGCATTTCTGTCTTCCTATTCCATGAAGTGACTACTGGCATACCTCTCAGAACATCTTCCTGTTTGATGCCATTTGGTTTTTAATAACCAAACTTGATGAGGCGTAAATATTTCTCACTGGGACATTTTTGAGGTGGATGTTTATGCAGAGAATATTTATATTTACATGCCCTAAACTCAATAAAACACTTTAAACAAAATAAAATTCAGGAAATTACTCAAAATGATTTCCCAATACAATAAGTAGCCTAAGCACCATATGTAGATGTTTTAAAGGGCATGCTGTGTGTTAACAGATGTGCATCTGACTTACTGAGAGAAGTGATGTTACTGCATACACAGCAATTATTTCTTAACAAGTATATTAACTTTGAGATAATAAAGATATGTTATAAGCATTATATGTCTTAACATAATAATTATATATGTATAATATATAATTGGTAAGAATTTTTCTTTCTTGTGAATGTTGGCATGCTGATTCTAAAATGGATATAGAAATGTAAAAGGCCAAGAATAGCTAAGGCGATTTTTTTTTTTTTTTTTGAGACAGAGTCTCTCTCTGTTGACCAGACTGGAGTGCAGTGGCGCGATCTCAGCTTACTGCAACTTGTGCCTCCCGGGGTCAAGCAATTCTCCTGCCTCAGCCTCCTGAGTAGCTGAGATTATGGGCGTGTGCCAACATTCCCAGCTAATTTTTGTATTTTTAGTAGAGACAGGGTTTCACTATGCTGGTCAGGCCGGTCTTGTACTCCTGACCTTGTGATCTGCCCGCCGTGGCCTCCCAAAGTGCTGGGATTACAGGCGTGAGCCACCGCGCCCAGCCTGATGATTTTAAAGATGAATAATACTGGAGAGTTTTCAGATAATGTGCTATTGACACAAGGACACACACAGAGGTAAATGGTACAGAAGAGAGGGTTCAGAATCACATGGAATTCATACTTGATTTAAAAATCCATGGCACTGAAGAGAAGTGGTGAGAGGATGTATTTTAAATCCATGATACTGAGTTAATTTGGTATCCCTATATAAAAAAATAAAAATTTGAACCCCTACCTTACACAAAATACACAAAATTATTTCCAATGGGTTGTAGCTCTACATATGTATGACAAGTAAAACGATAGCCTCTAGAACATGGCATAGGAAAACGTCTGCATAGACATTTTTCAAGTTACTTATTAATTCTAATTGTAGATTCTTTGGGAATGCCTGTGTGCAGTAATCACGTGGTTTCTGAATAATGGCAGTTTACTTTTTTCTTTCAAATTATCATGCTTTTTATTTCTTCTTTTTGCTTTATTGTCCTGACTAAGATAGTCAGTACACTGTTGAATGGAAGGGATGTTAGCTGACAACCTTATCTTATTTAAGATCCAAAAGTGAAAGCTTTTGATATTTAGTATTAACTTGATGTTTGCTATAGGTTTTTTTGTAGCTGTTATTCATCAGACTAAGGAAGAAGTTCTCTTCCTTTTCTAGTTTACTAAGAGTTAAAAAGTATCACAAATGGGTATTGAATTTTATCAAATGCACTTCCTATGTCTATTGAAATAATAGAAATTTTCTCCTTAATGTGTTTAATTACATTAATTGATTTTCAAATGTGTTAACCAATTTTACATTTCTGGAATCAAGCCCACTTAGTATTGATGAATTATTTTATATGTCCCATAATTGTTTGCTAAATTTTTAAGTGAATTTTGATATAAGGAAGGTTGGCTTCTAATTTTCTTTATCAAGTTTTAGTATTAATGCCATGCTGGTATGCTGGTCATACAAAATTGGCTGGAAAACATTTCTCTTTAAAACAAATTCCTGCATACATTTGTGTAAAATTGGTGTGCTTTTTTTCCCCCTTAAATGTTTGGAAATCATCTAGGGTTTTCTATTTTTAAATTTTTTTTAGAGGAGGCCTTGGAAAATTCCTTTAATTTCAAAGGATTTAAAGGATTCAATTCCTTTAATAGGTCTGTCTTTTTTCTGGTTTTTAAATATTAAATTTTTTTTAATTTTTTCATGTGTTATTAGGGTACAGGTGGTGTTTGGTTACATGAATAAGTTCTTTACTGGTGATTGTGAGATTTTGGTGCACCTGTCACCTGAACAGTATACACTGCACCCTATTTGTAGGCTTTTATCCCTTGCCCCCTCCCACCCTTCCTCCCAAGTCCCCAAAGTCCATTGTATCATTCTTATGCATTTGTGTCCTCATAGCTTAGCTCACACATGTAAGTGATAATATATGATGTGTGATTTTCCATTTCCGAGTTACTTCACTTAGAATAATAGCCTCCAATCTCATCCAGGTCATGAATTTATTCCTTTTTGTGACTGAGTAATATTCCATCACATATATATATATAATATCTCACAGTTTCTTTATCTATTCATTGATTGATGGGCCTTTGGGCTGCTTCCACAGTTTTGCAATTGCGAATTTTGCTGCTATAAATAAATGCATGTGCAAGTAACTTTTTCGTATAATGCCTTATTTTCCTCTGGGTACATAGTAGTAGGATTGCTGAATCAAATGGTAGTTCTACTTTTAGTTCTTTAAGGAATCTCCACACTGTTTTCCATAGTGGTTGTACTAGTTTACATTCCCACCAGCAGTGTATTTGTGTTCCCTGATCACTGCATCTATGCCAACATCTACTGTTTTTTGATTTTTTGATTATGGTCATTCTTACAGGAGTAAGGTGGTATTGAATTGTGGTTTTGATTTGCATTTTCCTGATCATTAGTGATGTTGAGCATTTTTTCATATGTTAATTGGCCATTGGTATATCTTCTTTTGAGAATTGTCTATTCATGTCCTTAGCCCCTTTTCAATGGGATGTTTTTTTCTTGCTGATTTTAGTTAATTGTAGATTCTGAATATTAGTACTTTGTCAGATGTATAGATTATGAAGATTTTCTCCTACTCTGTGGGTTGTCTGTTTACTCTGTTGACTGTTCCTTTTGCCATGCAAATGCTTTTTAGTTTAATTAAGTTCCAGTTATTTATCTTTGTTATTATTGCATTTGCTTTTGAGTTCTTGGTCATGAAATCCTTACCTAAGCCAATGTCTAGAAGGATTTTTCCAGTGTTGTCTTCTAGAATCATTATGGCTTCAGATCTTAGGTTTAAGTCCTTGATCCATCTTGAGTTGCTTTTTGTATAATGTGAGAGATGAGGATCCAGTTTCTTTCTTCTCCATGTGGCTAGCTAATTCTCCCAGCACCGTTTGTTGAAAAGGGTGTCCTTTTCCCATTTTAAGTTTTTGTTTTCTTTGTCAAATATCAGTTGGCTGTATTTTGGTTTATTTCTGGTGCTCTATTCTGTTCCATTAACCTATGTGCCTATTTTTATACCAGTGCCATGCTGTTTTGGTGACTATGACCTTATAGTATAGTTTGAAATCAGGTAGTGTGATGCCTCCAGATTTGTTTTTTTTGCTTAGTCTTGATTTGGCTATGTGGGTACTTTTTTTGATTCCATATGAATTTTAGAATTGTTTTTTCTAATTCTGTGTTGTATGATGGTGGTATTTTGATGGTAATTGCATGGAATTTGTAGATTGCTTTTCGTAGTATGGTAATTTTTCATAATATTGATTCTTCCCATCCATGGAACATGGGATGTGTTTCCATTTGTTTGTGTCATCTATGATTTCTTTCAGCAGTGTTTTGTAGTTTTCCTTGTAGAGGTATTTTGACTCCTTGGTTAGGTACATTCCTAAGTATTTTTTTTTTCTTTTTTGCAGCTATTGTAAAAGGGGTGGTGTTCTTGATTTGTTTTTCAGCTTGCTTGCTGTTGTTGTATAGAAGATCTACTGATTTGTGTACATTAATTTTGTATCTAAAAACTTTGCTGAATTCTTTTATAAGTTCTAGGAGCTTTCTGGAGGAGGCCTTAGGGTTTTCAAGGTAAACAAACATATCATCAGCAAACAGTGATAGTTTGACTTACTCTTTACTGATTTGAATGTCCTTTATTTCTTTCTCTTGCCTGATTGCTCTGTCTAGGACTTCCAGTACTATGTTGAAGAGGAGTGGTGAGAGTGGGCATGCTTGTCTTGTTCCAGTTCTCAGAGGGAATTCTTTCAACTTTTCCCCATTCAGCATTATGTTGGATGTAGGTTTGTCATATATGGCTTTTAATACCTTGAGGTATGTCCCTTCTATGTTGATTTTTCTGAGAGTTTTAATCACAAAGGGATGCTGGATTTTGTTGAATGCTTTATCTGCATTTATTGAGATGATCATGTGATTTTTGTTTTTAATTCTGTTTATGTGGTGTATCACATTTACTGACTTGCATATATTAAATCATCCCTGCATCTCTGGTATGAAACCCACTTGATCTTGGTGGATTACCTTTTTGATATGTTGTTGAATTTGATTAGCTAGTATTTTGTTAAAGATTTTAGCATCTATGTTCATCAAGGATATTGGTCTGTAGTTTTCTTTTCTTTTTTGGTTATGTACTTTCCTGGTTTTGGTATTAGGGTGATGCTGGCTTCATAGAATGATTTTATTCTCTATCTTGTAGAATAGTGTCAAAAGGATTGGTACCAATTCCTTCTTTGAATGTCTGGTAGAATTCTGGTTTGAATCCATCTGGTTCTGGACTTTTTTATTTTTGGTAATTTTTAAATTACGATTTCTTTCTCGCTGCTTGTTATTGGTCTGTTCAGGGTATCTAATTCTCCCTGATTTAAGCTAGGACGGTTGTATCTTTCCAGGAATTTTCCATCTATTCTAGGTTTTCTAGTTTATGTGCATAAAGGTGCTCATAGCAGCCTTCAATGATCTTTTGTGTTTTTGTGGTGTCAGTTGTAATATCTCCCGTTTCATTTCTTATTGAATTTATTTGGATTTTCTCTCTTCTTTTCTAGGTTAATCTTGTGAATGGTCCATCAATTATATTTATCATTTCAAAGAACGAGCTTTTCATTTCATTTATCTTTTGTATTTTTTTGTTTTAATTTCATTTAGTTCTGCTCTGATCTTGGTTATTTCCATTCTTCTGCTGGGTTTGGGTTTTGTTTGTTCTTGTTTCTCTAGTTCCTTGAGGTGTGAGCTCAGATAGTCAGTTTGTGCTCTTTCAGACTTTTTGATATAGGTGTTTAGGGCTATGAACTTTCCTCTTAGCAGTGCCTTTGCTATCTCACAGATGTTTTGATAGGTTGTATCATTACTGTCGTCCAGTTTGAAGAATTTTTAAATTTCCATCTTGATTTCATTTTTGACCCAATGCTAATTTAGGAGCAGGTTATTTGTTTCCCATGTGTTTGCATGGTTTTGAAGGTTCCTTTTGGAGTTGATTTCCAGTTTTATTTCACTGTGGTCTGAGATATTTTTTGATATGATTTCAATTTTCTTTAATTTATTGAGGCTCATTTTATGGCCTCTCATATGGTCTATCTTGGAGAAAGTTCCATGTGCTTTTGAATAGAATGTGTATTCTGTGGTTGTTGGATGGAATGTTCTTTATATATCTTAAGTCCATTTTTTTCCAAGGTATAGTTTAAATCCATTGTTTCTTTGTTGACTATCTGGCTTCATGACCTGTGTAGTGCTGTCAATAAAGTATTAAAGTCTTCCACTATTTTTATGATGCTATCTCATTTCTTAAGTCTATTAGTAATTATTTTATAAATTTGGGAGCTCCAATGTTATATATGTTTAGGATTGTGATATTTTCCTGTTGGAGGAAGCCTTTTACTATTATATAATGTCCCTCATTGTCTTTCTAAACTGTTGTTACTTTAAAGTTTCTTTTGTCTGATATAAGAATAGCTGCTCTTGCTTGTTTTTGGTGTCCATTTGAATGAAATACCTTTTTCCACCCCTTTAAGTTTATGTGAGTCATTATGTGTTAGGTGAGTCTCTTGAAGGCAGCACATAGTTGTTTGGTGAATTCCTATCCATTCTGCAGTTCTGTATCTGTTAAGTGGTGCATTTAGGCCATTTTCATTCAATGTTAGTATTGAGATGTGAGGTACCATTCCATTCATCATACTATTTTTGCCTGTGTAGTTTGCTTTTTTGTTTTTGTTTTTTAAGTTGTATTTTTGGTTTTAAGTCCTGTGAGATTTATGCTTTAAAGATGTTGTGTTTTGATGTGTTTCCAGGATTTGTTTCAAGATTTAGAGCTCCTTTTAGTAGTTCTTGTAGTGGTGGCTTGATAGTGGCAGATTCAGCATTTGTTTGTCTGAAAACAACTGTGTCTTTCCTTCATATACAATGTTTAGTTTTGCTGGATACAAAATTCATGGCTGATAATTGTTTTGTTTGAGGAGGGTGAAGATAGGGTCCCAATCCCTTCTAGCTTGTAGGGTTTCTGCTGATAAATCTGCTGTTAATCTGATAGGTGTTCCTTTATAGGTTACCTGGTGCTTTTGCCTCACAGCTCTTAAGATTCTTTCTTTCACCTTAACTTCAGTTAACCTAATGATAATGTGCCTAGGTGATGATCTTTTTGTGATGAATTTCCCAGGTGTTCTTTGTGCTTCTTGTAGTTGGATGTCTAGGTCTCTAATAAGGTTGGGGAAGTTTTCCTTGATTATTTCCCCAAATATGTTTTCCAAAATTTTACATTTCTCTTCTTCCTCAGGAACGCTGATTATTCTTAGGTTTGGTCATTTAACATAATCCCAGATGTCTTGGAGCTTTTGTTTATATTTTCTTATTCTTTTTTTCTATGTCTTTTTTGGATTGGGTTAATTTGAAGACTTTGTCTTTGAACTCTGAATTTCTTTCTTCAACTTGTTCAATTCTATTGCTGAGACTTTCCAGAGCATTTTGCATTTCTATAAGTGTTTCCAATGTTTTCTGAAGTTTTGATTGTTTTTTCTTTAAGCTATCTATTTCCTTGAATATGTATCCCTTCACTTCTTGTATATATATATATATATATATATATATATATATATTTTTTTTTTTTTTTTTTTTTTTTTTTTTTTTGGATTTCCTTGCATTAGGCTTCACCTTCTTCTGGTGCCTCCCTGATTAGCTTAATAACTAACATCCTGAATTCTTTTTCAGGTAAATCAGGGATTTCTTCTTGGTTTGGATCCATTGCTGGTGAGCTAGTATGATTTTTTTGGGGTGTTAGAGAGCCTTGTTTTTTCATATTACCAGGTTGGTTTTCTGGGTTCCTTCTCATTTGGGTAGGCTCTGTCAGAGGGAAGGTCTAGTTCTGAAGGCTGTTGTTCAACTTCTTTTGTCCCAAGGAGTGTTCCCTTGATGTAGTACTCTCCCCTTTTTCTTATGTATGTGGCTTCCTGAGACATGAGGTGTAGTGATGGTTATCTCTCTTCTGGATCTAGCCACCCAACAAGTCTACCTGGCTCCAGGCTGGTACTGGGGGTTGTCTGCACAGTCCTATGATGTGAACTGTCTATGGGTCTTTCAGCCGTGGATACCAGCACCTGTTCCAGTGGAGTTGGCAGAGGAGTGAAATGGTCTCTTTGAGGGTTCTTAGCTTTGGTGGTTTAATGCTCTGTTTTGGTGCTGGTTTGCCTCCTGCTGGAAGGTGGCACTTTCCAGAGAGCATCAGCTGTGGTAATGTGGGGAGGAACAGATGCTAGGCGGGGCCCTAGAACTCCCAAGAGTATATGTTATTTGTGTTCAGTTACCAGGGTAGGTAGGGTAGGACCATCAGGTGGGGGCAGGGCTAGGTGTGTCTGAGCTCAGACTCTCCTCAGGTGGGTCTGGCTGCAGCTGCTGTGGGGGACGGGGGTAAGATTTCTAGGTCAATCGAGTTGTGTACCTAGGAGGATTATGGCTGCCTCTGTGGAGTCATGCAGGTTCTCAGGGAAGTCGGGGAAGGCTGGCAGTCACCGGCTTCACTCAGCTCCTACACAATCCAAAGCGTCTTTTTGACTCCCACCATGACCGCCTAACAGCACTAAGTCTGTTTCCAGGCAGTGGGGATCCAGGGCTGAGAACTTGCCCCAGGCTACCTGCCTGTCAGCTGTGAAAGCAAGTAGGGCTTTTGTGCTTCCCCTGCCTGTGGAGTCTGCACACCACATTCATTACTTCCCCTGAGTTCTGGCCAGGAGGCTTCTTGACCAGTTCAAGCTGGAGATTTCCTTCTCCCTGTGGCACTTTCCCCGTTCTTCTGGTCACCATCCTGAAGAATCCCTGTGATGCCAGGCAAGAATGGCCTTCTTGGGGACCCAATGAGGTCACAGGGCCTTTCTTGCTGCTTCCCCTACCCCTGTATTTCACTTGGCTCTCTAAATAGACTCACCTCCAGGTAAGGTTGGAATCTTCTTTAGTAAGTTAGACCTTCAGTTTCCCAAGGGGGATATGTGCTCGAGGGTAGACAATCTCCCTTTCCCACTTCCACAGTTTGGGCACTCACAGTATTGGTGGTGTCTCCTGGGTCCTGCAGGAGCAATCTGCTTCCTTCAGAGGGTCTGTGGGTCCTCTTGGGATTCCTGGTTGGTTCTTGCAGTTGTTCTGGAGTTAAAATTCACAATGCGAACCTCTGCATGCTGCTCTGTCCATTTGAGTCAGAGCTGCAATTTAGTTCTGCCTCCCATCCGCCATGATGCCCTGACCTTGACTCAATAGCTCTGTCTTTACAATAAATAAATAATAATGATTTTTTAAATATTTGTTGTCAGTTTTGATGAGTTACATTTTTCTAGGAATATGTCAATTTTTAATCCAATTGGTAAAGTTATTTAATGTATACCGTTATGATTAATTTATGTTTATAGGATCTGTAGTATCGGCCCTTTTCTCATTTTGTATTACCCTCTCACTGTTTTCCTTGATCTGTCTTTGCAGGAATATAACAATTTTGTTAGTCTTTTCAAGACAGCAACATTTGGCTATGCTGATCCAATTTTGCAGGACTACTCAAAGTGTTGTCTATAGATAGATGATGGGCTGTGAAGTGTTTCATACTGGTCTGAGATATAATGAGCATTAAAAATGAAGAATGAATGTTCAGAAACTTTTATAGTAATTTGACATTGCCATGACATTCAATCACATCATTAGTCCTAAAAGTGCTTTTATTTTATAAAATTATTTATGAAAAAAATTTTATATATTTTGAAATCATAGAAACATACACACAAACACATATAACACATTTATGTAGGTATACATGCATTTATAATGTACATGTATATGCATAATTTTAATGTAAAAGTAAAATCTAATGAAAAATAAAGCTGATGCTAGGTGGAGATCAATAATGTTAGGGAATTGGAGATATTAAAAGAACATAAAAAAATAAATTTGAACTCTTAAAAGATAACATGAGAAAATATAGATGACCTTGAGTTTGACAATAACTTTTTAGATATAGCACAAAAGGCACTTATTTCTAAGAAATAAATAATTAATAAACTAGACTCATTAAAATAAAAATTTCTGCTCTGTGAAAGACACTGTCAAAATAATGAGAAGACATTCTACAGATGGAGAGAATACTGGCAAAAGACATATCTTATAAAGGACTGTTATCCAAAATATACAAAGATCTCTCAAAACTCAATAATAAAAAAATGAAAAACCTGATTAAAAAATGGGCCAAAGATCTGGACAACTCACCCAAAAGATACACAGGTGGCAAATAAGCATATGAAAAGATGCTTAACATTATATTTCATTAGGGAATTGCAAATTCAAACAAGAAGATACCATTACATACCTACTAAAATGCAGAAAATCCAAAACTATGACAACATTAATTGTTGGTGAGGATATGGAGCAACATAAACTCTCATTCATTGCTGGTGGGAAAGCAAAATGGTGAAGCCACTTTGGAAGACAGTTGGATAGTTTCTCAAGAAACTAAACATACTCTTACCATATGACCCAGCAACTGCATTCCTTTTCGTTTACTCAAATGAATTGAAGGCTATGTCCACACAGAAACCTACACATGCATGTTTATAGCAGCTTTATTTGTAACTGCCAAAACTTGAAAGCAACCAAAATTTCCTTCAATAGGTGAATGGATAAATAAACTGTGGTACATCTAGACAATGGAATATTATTCAGTGTTCAAAACAAATGAGGTATCAACATGAAAAGATATGGAAGAACCTTAAGTACATAACACTAAGGGAAAGAAACCAATCAGAAGAGGCCATATACTGTATGATTTAAACTATAGAATAGTCTGGAAAAGGCAAAACTGTGGAGACAATAAGAGGCAGCAGTGAATAAGTGAAGCACAGAGGACTTTTAGGTGAGTGAAACTACACTGCATGATAGATGCTATGATGATGGGTGTGCTGTTATACATTAGTCAAAACCCATAGAATATACAACTCTAAGAATGAACCCTAATTAAACTGTGGACACAGGGGATAATGATGTGTCAATGTAGGTTCATCAGTTATAAATGTACCACTCTGGTGTGGGGTGTTGATAATGGCTAGGGGATGCATATGTGGGGCAGTGTTATATGGGAATTCTCTGTATCCTCCACTTGATTTTGCTGTGAACCTAAAATTTCTCTAAAAAAATCAAGTCATCTAGGCACGGTGGCTCATGCCTGTATTCCCAGCACTTTCAGAGGCCGAGGTAGGAGGATCACTTGAAGCCAGGAGTTCAAGACCTGTCTGGGCAGCATAGCAAGATGTCTCTACAATGTTTTTGGTTTTTTTTTTTTTTCATTTTTTTTTCATTTAATTAGCTGAATGTGGTGGTGTGTGCTACTTTGAGAGGCTGAGGCAGGAGGATTGCTTCAACCCAGGAGCTGGAGGCTGCAGTGAGCTATGATCATGCCACTGCACTCCAGCCTGGGCAACAGAATAATATCCTGCCTCAAAAAAAAATAATGAAGTCTATTAAAACATACCTACAATTTACCAATAAACATTAATAAATAAACAAATTTGAGGCTACTAAAGGGGGTTAGAATGGATATGTAATTTAAAATTAAGGTTTTTTTTTGTTTTGTTTTGTTTTCTTTTTTTTTTGGTTTTCTTCATATTTGTGCTTGATCTGGTGGAAAGAGCACGAACTTCATATCAGGCACAATCATTGTATCCCAGCACTGTTATTTACAAACTCTATGACCTTGGGCAAATCACTTAAGCTTTCTAATTCTCAGAAATCCCACCTATGAAACCTGCACTCTACATATCCCAATGACCTAATATGTGTCATTATTGTGGTGCCTAGTTCATTTTAAGTCTCAGTAAACAGTGGCTAGTAGTAGTTTTAGATGTAATATTCATCTTTACAGTATTTATTGTAGGCAGTGTTCTTGATTCTGGTTGTAAACAAATGTACTGCTATGTGTTGCTGTGTATTGCCGTGTGTAACATAATATGTTATCCACAATGTGCCATTCGTGGATAACTTGTTTATAAATTACTGTATAGGTTAAAAAGTGTTTTAAACATCTTTTTGTTGATATTTACAACAAATCTGTGAATTAGGTATTGAAGTAGGGAGATATTATTACTATCTTTTGTTACATAGATGAGAAAACTGAGTTTTCTTAGGCAAGTCCCTCACTTAAGATCATGTAGCTAATATGTTTTTATTCTAAAGAGAATAGGAAAAGAAAAATAATGCTCTAAATTTTTGAAAAAGTAACAGAAATAAAAAGATACAAGAATTAAAAAATAAAGTAAAAAAACCATAAAAACAAATAGCAGAACCCATTTATGCTGGAGGTTGCACATTTTTGTGTGTGAAAAATCAGATCTTGGTGATGACCTTGGGCAGTAGGATATAAATAACTCCTACAAGCTTAGCGTTCCAATAATGGAACACTGGGCATAAATGGGTTAAGAAACTGAAAAATTTTACCAGAATGGAGAGCCATGTTAGAAGAAGCAAGTAGGATAGATGTCACTAAAAGAGAGTCAGGGACATGGAGAAAATGTTCGAGAAAATCATATAAAACCAAATGGAGAAGAACAAAAAGATGAAGGCAACTCGAAAGAGGAAGAGATGTGTAAAATAAGTGGAATTGAACATGTGAATCATTCTTAATGAGAGAAAAGGATTCCAAATTTAATAAAACTTCCCTCAACCAATTGTCTGAAAAAGTACAGTGATTCAAGAAAATAAAAATAACATAGAATAATAGATGTAGAAAAAGCGGGGGGTTTTTTGTAAGGCTGAATTTGGCTTACTCCTCTATATCATTTAATTTTAAAATAAGGTGAATACAATGTCTACAGATTTTTATAGGGGTAAAAAGTAAACATAAGTATTTTATTCCACATCGGATTATCAATCATGTGAAAAGAAAGGGATGTTTTTTTTTCTTTAGGAGAGAGAGGGGGAGAGAGAGACAGAGAGAAAGAAACACTGTGCGGCTGCGCGTGGGGGTCGAATGCCTCCAGCCGAAGAAGGCACAGCTTAGAGATCTCTTACCACTAGGGAAAGTATCCAAGTCATGTGGCACCAAATATGTAACTGGTAGAAGGTATCCAAGTTACCAGGGCTGATTTCTTATGGGTCTGCAGCAACCTTAATTCTTGCCTCCTCAGAAGAAAGAATTTGACTGAGGGGCATAAGGCAGAAAAGGAGACCAAGGCAAGTTTCAGAGCAGAAGTGGAAGTTTCTTAAAAAGCTTTAGAATGTAAGGAAAGGAAGGAAAGGAAACAAAGGAAGGAAAGTACACTTGGAAAAGGGCCAAGCAGGTGACTTGAGAAACCAAGCGCATCAAGAAAGGCATTCTTAAACGTGAGAGTCATGGAGGAATGTAAGGCTTATCAATGGTTTCGAAGCAATTACTTCATGATGAAACCCTAAATGAAATTAAATAAAGGATTCAGGGATGAAAAAGCAGCAGTATGAAAGACCAAGAGGCAAACAATGAATTCATTAAAAAAAAAAAAAAAAAAATATATATATATATATATATATATATAAAAGCTGCTATGGAGGTTTTAATCACAAAAGAGGCTGTAACTGACATAAACCTTGACAATGTGAAATGATAATGACATAACTGAAAAATCTACAGGGAGGGAGGGAAGAGGGGAGTTAAGACAAGAGAGCACTAATTTCCTCATCTTTCATCTTGGAAGTCAAAAGACACTGTCTGAAGTTGTTAGGTCAATAAATAGAGGTTGAAGTATATAATTAATAGTTAAAAAGAACTTGAAAAGACAATAAATCTCTTAAATAATCAGAATAGAACAAAACATTAACACTAAGGAAACAAAGACTACAAGAAAAAGGTAGGAAACAATAGAAGTATAAAAACAGAAACAGTAAGAAACTAAAATGAAACCTCAAGACTCAACATGTTTCTTATAAAAATGTGTATAAATGGAAGAAATTCACTTAGCGAAACAAAAGTTATCAGATTATATAAAAGGCATAAAATTAAAATAATTCCAAAAGACTAAATATAAATCAATATGAAAAGAAATATCTGGTAGCTGAATACATGCATGTTAAAAAGGAAAACAACCAAAAATAATAACAAAAACTAGAGGTCACAACTAGTAATATTATAGAAGAGTGAATACAAAACAAAAAGCATTACATGGAACAAAAATAAACAGTTTATATTAGTAAGGGGTGTACACCACCCTTTTGAAATAAAACATTAATTTTTTGAACCCATGCAGAATCAAATTATTTAAGGCCAAAATTACAGTAAATAAATGATAAATTGACAAATATTCTAATAGTAGAAACCTCTAATGCACTGCTCTTACTTTTTGAGAGGTGATATAAATAAAATTAACTAAATTACTTTGGGTTTTTACGATATAACTAAGAATGATTATATACTCATTTACACAAGCATATATCATGAAGCATTTAAAAAATTGATCAGACATCTTTATGAAAAAATCAGAAATTTATAGAAATTTATAAATTTATAGAACTTACCCCATAATTTTGGCAAGTTTCCCTGAAGCCATAAAGTTTCATGAACTAGAGTTCGAAAACCTCTAAATTAAGAAACGAGTGAAATGTTATTAGACAGGCAGCATGAAATGGTTTCCTTTCAATATCAAACTACTTTTCCCATTGTTATCTCAGAGAAAACATTGTTGTCATTACAGGTGTCTAGACAGCTGTTAGTTATAGCCAATTCTACCATTTTCTAATGAAGGAACTAAGGAAAACCTGGAATCAAAAGTCATCTCTCAACAATGATTTGAGTAATAACACTTGTGGTTGCAAAGCCCTTGGGCTAGTAAGAGCTGGTGTACCACCCATTCAAGGTTCTCTGATCTTTCCCTTATGACATACTCATGAGTCAAAGATTCACTTTAATAGATGAGGTCATGTTTCCATTGATTAGTAACTGAACTGAGAGTTGAATCCACATCTCCTGAATCTTAGTCCTTTGCTACTTTAAGCCACATTGCTTTTCCTCAGCACACACAAGGACTATGGCTGCAGGTCAGCTTTTCCTTCAGTTGAACGTTACAAGAGATGTATTTAACTGGTTTTCTGACCATTGTTCCTATGGCCTTAGCAATTTTCCTGAGTCTTCATACTCAGTCTTATGAGTGTTCATTGTATAAAATGTGATTGATTGGTCTATTTTTAATTGCATAATTATCTTGCTCACACCAGATTATTGTTACAAAGGAAGGTTGCGAATATAGCTTTCTCCCCGATGGAAGCCTGTGGTCAGCTTTTTGGATATAGTAAACACATCTATCCCAGCTCTATGGTGACATCCCCTGGGTACTAATCTAGTAGCTCTGGTCCCATGACCCCACAGGTATTGCTCTACATGTGATTTTCTTCGAACTTACCGTGAATGTGGCTGCATGCATTATTGGGATCTTTTTAATCTTTTGCCACTCTCTGCATACTTTTATCAGGTATACCTTCAACCAGGTGTTTAATAGACTCTACGTATGTTCCTTTTACAAACATTTTATTTGTAATAATAAACTAAAATGTTCTTACTCAAAGAATATTCAGAAGAGTCCTGTGATTTAAAAATAGAATATTGCTTTCTTTACTGTTTTTCTAGGTCTCTATTCTGAGCCTTTTGGTTCCTGCTGAAGGGCTAAAGCTTTCCTAAGCCACTGGGAAGGAAGCCAGTCCCAGAAAAGAGGAGTGAATAGTAGCCATTCCTAGAAGAAACTTATAATTTTGACAAGGACGGTATCTTTATTTTTACCATCAAGACTGTCTCTAAGCAGGGATATCACACTTGGGTCCTCCTGTACAAAGATGGGAAAGTTAATTCATATTTATAATGTTGAAAATCTGGCTGTTTTAAAACAAGATGCGAAAACATCCCAGAATGGTGAATTTGTTAACGCAACATGCTATCAATCATTTCTCCTTTCCCTTTAGTGTTCTTTTTTAAATTTATAGAAACAAAATGTTTAAAGCTGAACTAATTAAGTTTTGTGTTTTAAGGGGAAAAAAATCTACATGTAGATAACAATTCATCTTGGGTTCCTTTCAGGCAACTTTTAAAAGTTCAAGAGATGTTGATTTGTATCTGAGCTATTTAATAGAATTGTCATTGTCAGGAAGTGTCTACATGCAACTTGATTTTTTTTTTTTTTTTAACTGAGACAGGGTCAGGCTGGAATGCAGTGGCACCATCTCGGCTCACTGCAGCCTTAACTTCCCAGGCTCAAGCAATTCTCCCACTTCAGCCTCCTAAGTAGCTGGGACTACAGGTGCATGAGAACACGCCCAGCTAATTTATGTTTTTTTTTTTTTTTTTTTTTTTTTTTTTTTTTTTTGTGGAGATGGGGTTTTGCCATGTTACCCAGGCTGGTCTTGAACTCAAGGGCTGAAGCCATCCACCTGTGTCAGCCTCCCAGTGTGCTGGAATTACAAGTGTGAGCCACCACTCCTGGACTATACAATACATTTCATTTTCAGTTATTCTATAAATATTTTGAACAGCTTCTGCTACAATGTATTATGAGTCCTGTGGAAAAAAAGGGGTGGTGATCTCAACCAGACTGTCAGCTCATTGAGGCTAGAATGTGACATGTGAATAAGTCATTTGAATATGAGATAGGAAATGTTAAGTGTAATGGGAGATAGAGGTAAAGGACTTTGAAAGTACAGGGGCGGCAGAGATTACTTCTGGCTGGAGAATCAAGAAAGAGACAATATTTGAGGTGAACTTGAAGAATTAGCTAGGATCTTAATACACAGAGAACAGGCAAAAATACACTCTAAGCAAAGACATCATTGTAACCAAATTTGTATGAACTTCCAGTTGAATTATTCTTCTTAGGATCCTGCCAGAGAACCAGGCTAATTTACAATTAGACACCCAATTTTTGGCCAATAATAACTCTCATCTCTGCATTTTGGGTCTGCGTGTTTCTACAATTCCAAAACCTGGGCCAGATGACAGCAGCAACCTCTTTAAGGCTCCTAAGGCCAGTGGCCCACTGAGCTTGTGGTGGAGACTCAGCACATTGGGACCCATCTGTATGTCAGAGCCCCTGGCTGGAACATTCTACTCCCAGCCATCTGTTCCTGCCAGCTGTCCATCACCTTGGAAAAGACTTCCCTTGGTTGAGATGTGGACAACACAAGTATTGCTTTTTTTTTTTTTTTTTTTAAAGTGTGGTAGGATGTGCTAACACAGAACCCAGAACATTAAAAAATAAAGAAATTAGTTTTGTGGTAGTTTTACTGTTTGCTGATTTTGGCAAAGGCAATTTACACTGCTGGGTTTGTTCCTCCACCTGGAAAATAGGAATATTAGCATTGGATTTGTTTCTGCCATCCATAGCAGTTGAGAGAAGAAATTAATTTCAAAGTATTCCTTCAAAAAAATTCTTTTTTTAAAGAGTCAGGGTCTCTCTGTCACCCAGGTTGCAGTGCAGTGGTACAATCATATCTCATTACAGTCTCCAACTCCTAGGCTCAAGTGATCCTCCCACTTCATCCACCAGAGTAGCTGGGACTACAGGTGCATGCCACCACACCTGGCTAATTTTTAAGTATTTAGTATAAATGGGATCTTGCTATGTTGCCCAGGCTGGCTTAGAACTCCTGGCCTCAAGTGGTCCTCCCACCTTGGCCTCTCAAAGTGCTGAGTTTATAGGCAGAGCCACTCACTGCACCCAGGTGAATTCATTTTTTTTTTTTTTTACATAAAAACAGATGTATCTCATTCTTTGGACGAGATTTAATTCTGTAAATTTAGCTATGTAATATTTTTAGCAAATTAAATAGTAAATATTTTCCACCATTTTTCTTTGTAAAAGAAAGAAATGTTCATAGAAGGCAAAACTCAGGACACAAAATTGCATGTAGTAGCCAATGAACTTTAAGAATCTCATATCTTTGATCATCTTTTTTTTTGATAACCCTCTAATGTCAATGTTAAAATAAGCCACACAATAAAAGGGTTTACCTGAAACCAAGTTCTCCCAGAACGAATCCCATGTGAGAAGAAGATAGGCTGTATGGGTTATATGCTGTTTAAAATTATGCTGTTTAAAATTATTCTCTAACAAGTGTCTAGGGTTCTTTAGCTATACTAAGCATTTATTGACATTTATCAAAACTCTTGGTCACTTTCTACTTGGCTGGTGGGCCTGTAAACTGGAACAAGCCTCTTGGAGAGCAGTTTGGCAAATCTGTCAAAGATCTGAAACATATTCATACCCTTTGGCCCCATAATTCCATGCCTGGGAATTTATCTTAAAGCAATAATCAGAGATGTGCCCAAAGATTTATGTATGATGATATTTATCACAGCATTTTTAATAATAGCAAGCAGTGGAAACAACTTAAATGACAAACAATAGGGGGTTGGTTAAATAAATTATGGTACATCTATATCCAGAATACTGTGTAGCATTAAAAATAATGATCTTAAAGAAGCTTTTAAGGCTGTGTGAAAATGCTTATGATATTTCACTAAGTGAAAAAGACAAGAGTCAATAGAGCAGATCCCAATTTGTTTAAAAAAGCATATCTATCTCTACATAGAAAAAATAATATGGATATATATTCTAAAATGTTAATAGTGATTATCTCTGTATGGTAGAACAAATGATTATTTATGTTCTTTTTTATACTTTTTCTCAATTTTAGATTTCAACATATGCTACTAGTATCTTCAAAAAAGACTTTCTCTTTTTTTTATATGTCATATAATATACAATTGACCATGAAACAACATGGGGGTTAGGGGTACTAATACACCACACGGTAGAAAATCTGCATGCAACTTTTGACTCCCTTAAATCTAACTGCTAATAGCCTACTGTTGACCAGAAACTTTACTGATAACACAAACAATCAACACGTATTCTGTATGTTATGTATATATTATATACCTTATCCTTACAAGAAAGTAAGGTGGAAAAAAGAAAATGTTATTAAGAAAATCACAAGGGAGAGAAAACATATTCACTGTTCATTAAGTAGAAGTGGATAATCACAAAGGTCTTCATCCTCATTGTCTTCACATCGAGTAAGCTGAGGAGGAGGAGGAAGAGGAAGGGTTGGTTTTTCTGTCTCAGGGAGGGCAGAGGCAGAAGAAAATCTGCATATAAGTAGACCTGGACAGTTCAAACTCCGTTGTTCAGGATTAACTGTAAAACTTGTATTAAATACTTCCTAAATTTCCCTAGTTCAAGGAATCCCCCTGAGGGTTGGCTTTGCTGTGGCTGTTCAGTTCCACTGTTAGGTTCAGAAACATCATTTCATAAGGGTATTCAGAAGATAACGTCACTCTGGGAGGATGGTTCTCACTAATCAAGCTCAAGAGTGATTTCAATGAACATAAAAAGAACAATTAAGTAACTTTGAAAATGGACTGTAGTTTTCTAGTGATTAGAGTCCCACTGATTCATTGAAAGTGTGAGCTGGAAGAACCCTCAATGATGACAAACTCCAGAATGGTTAGTGTCATTCCCAGGTCACACAGATAATAGTGAAAAAATGAACCCAGAACTCAGGTTTGAAACCTTTCTTCCACCTTCTCTTCCACACTGGTTTGAACTGAGCTCCAAGGTTTCCTCTATAGGACACTCCCTTTTTGGTATGAAGATGCTGGAAAATGTAAGTGAATAAGCTAGCTTTTAACGACTAATTCATTCTGAGCAAAGACAGTTGAGAAATCTTCCAGAGATGATACAGGCTGACTGCTATGGGTTCTGTGGGTTCTTAGTTGTTGTCTTTTCACTAATAAAATATCTGTTGGGTAGACCAAAATACTTATATATGGCAACTATATGGGTCTTTTCCAGTTCTTGGAGAGAACCCAAAAAACCAAATCAAATCAAAACAAACACTGACAAATTATTATGAATTCTTACCTTTCTTCTTTATTAAAGCTTTTTTAATGTTACCAGAAGCTTCTGTCATTTTAACACCATCTGGTTGCAGTTTTCTAAGAGGAAGGCAGCTCTTTGCATTTCTGTGGTTGTTAATTTCTGATGAAAGTGGGAAGCCCCACTGTTTATTATGTGTGAATTCCAGTGCTTTTCAGATATGGGGAGAGAATTGTGGACCTTGTCCCTCAGTTGTGGAGTGATTCCTCTTTTATGTGGGAGAGTTGTCCTTTATCCATATCCTACATTATTTCCTAAGCCATTACCATATATAAAATATCCTAATCTAATCTAATTAGTATTAGTACTTGAAGAAGGTTCATGCAAAGACACCAAATAGGTCAGTATATCTCTTTTATGCTGCCTGAAATTCTACCTCTATTTCTTTTTTTTGGTCAAGAAACTTTCTTTCTAAATTACATCAACCTGTGTAAGAGATTAAGCGGTCTCGTAATTTATTTCTCTATAAGTAGCTATTTTTACATTACGTGTCTCTTTTATATAGTATTTTTCTGTGTTTGGCTTCTATAATTACTGCAGCTGATTTTAATATAACTTTGTGGGCAAACTGGTAGGAGGATGATATAAATGTTGGGAAATAGAAAAATTACATAAATACGACTTTTCTTCTTTATGTAATGTAATGAAATCATTTCTAGGTATGGGATACAGAGGGTGTTGGATTGGGAAGAAGTGCGTATGGGGAATTTAACACAGATAATATCAAGGTAACTGCAATACATTTTCCTATTAGATTCCAAACACCACCTGAAGATAATTTGGAAGGTGTAGCAGCAGAAAATTAAGCCCTGTAAATGCTGTCTAGCAAATTAAAAGACATAATTGATTATATTAGCTTATTTAAGTGCTTCTAATTGCGAGCAATAGGATTTGTTTGGTATGGCTTTTCAACTTACCAAGCAAAGTTTACACTGTCAACAAGCAAGTAATACAAGTTGCCAAATGGCTCTTCTAAAAATTTCAACTCTCAGGTGCTTAATTTTACTTGATACTTTCCTTTTGGTGCCAAACTCTCTTCTGTAGTCTCCAGTAAGTAAAACAAAAACAAAAACAAAAAACACCAAAAAAACTGTAAGAGCATCATGTTGGATTTAGGAGGGGTCCCCAATGCCCATCTATTCTTCTTCACTGCAGCCAAGGGTTCTAAACCCATATCCAGGCAAAGAGATTCTGTTTCCATTTGAGTTACTGATTGTAACATTCACACCTGTACTCAGAGATTCCCAGAGCTGGTTTTATGGGTAATACTTAAGGGTACCATTCTCTCTCTTCTGCTCGCTCTGCGATGCCAGAAAACCACAACCTTTGAGTCAGCACCCAAATACTCTAGGCCTGGAGGGTGTTAACACCAAGCTGGCTAGACCTCCTTTGGCAGTACATTTTTCTCTAATACAAGTGGGTAAGGCAATGGAATAGCACCCAGAGTATTCCTGCTTACTCACATAAAATTCTTAATTACCTATGCAAATTACCTGGTTTTAAAGGGCTCACAGATTCCCCCAACCCCATCGAAATGCTATTTGTTTTCTGAATATTGAGTCTCTCTGTTAAGGCACAATACATATTTATTGGGCACTTTTCATGCATGCAACACTATTCTAGATGCTCTAGGGAAAGTAAAGAGGGTATGTGTCAAAATTTTTGTCCTCAAGGAGTTTACAGTATGTCAGAGAGACAATGAATGCTTACCTTAAAATAGCTACAACATAAGTCAGTTATTTGTAAGTGTCAACTGACGTGCGTAAGGGACCTGTTCTAAATCCTGCTAAGTTGTAAGTACTGAGAAGGTAAGGACTCAGGATTCTTGAAGGCCAGCCTGGGTTTCTCCCTTGCGTTTACTCAGCATCTACGCCCAGGGACAACTGAGAAAGCAAGGTTATTGTACTCAGTTCTTGAACATTTTTACAGTTCAGTGAATGATGTCCTTTTCCACCTGGGGAGGGGAAACATTAAATGGTTACTGACATGCTATTTCCTTGCCCGCCATCTCTGTTTGGAAATACCAGTTATGGGAGGAATGGAACAGGGAGAGACAAGCACCAAGATGATTTTGATATGGTCTTATACATGCTCTTCTATTTGCATGCTAAGCCTGCTACTAGATGTTCCCAATGCAGATGAAGCTGTGAATGTGAAAGAGTTTTTAAAAGCATAAATAATTGTAATAGCCAGCATTTATGAGCACTGTGTGCCAGGCTCCTGGCTAAGCATTTTGTGTATATGATTTATTTTAATCCTGATGACAACTTTATGAAGTCAAGTAGTATTTTTAGTATCATCATTTTCTAGGTGGGGAAACAGAGCTTGAAGAGGTTAAGTTGCTTGCCCAGTATTACCTGGCTAATGGCTACTGGCAGAACGAGAATGTGAGCCTTGGTCTGAGTGACACTAGAGCTCACGTTCTCTAACACTACTCTATACTACCTTTTAGAAAGCATTTTATTACACCAAGGGATGGTGATGTTTATGTAGGTAATGATGGTGCGGAAAGAGGGATGGCAGCTCACTTTCTGTATCTAGAAAGAAGCTTTCTGGTGCTACCTGTTGGGATTTCTTGTATTCCCATTTCCAATAATCTTTAATTAGAAGCAGAAGGATGAGATGAATACAGGTATCACTTCCCTGCCCCACTACAGAGACTAGGTCTCTCTCCATTTAGACATAAGTTCCTGTCTTGAGACAAAAAACCCTTTGTCAGATTGGATCAAACTTTTGACTTTGGGTTATACCAATGACTCACCATTTATGATTCCTGATCACAGTTGCCTGTGGATGACATAAGCCTTCCCCCATGCTCGGGATTTCTAAAGGCTGGCTGTGTCTGCTCCTTATCTGTGGTTGAGGATCTTTGATTTACAGATCCTTATCTCTTCTCAGTAGCACGTTATTGTGTGTTTCTATAGCCCACTGCCTGGGCTCAAGTGTCAGCTTCCAAATGAGACCCAATCTGGCTGTGCCACTTACTGGCAGCATTGCTTTGGGTAAGTTATTTGACATTGCTAAGATTTAGCTTCCTCAAATCTAAGATAGTTTAGTAGTACTTACACATTTTTGTGGTTGAGAAGATTAAATAATGCTTGTAAAATGTTTAGCACATTACCAGGCACAAGAAAACTACTCAGTAAATGGTTGAATAGTCTATCCTTTTACATAGCTTTGGCTTTCTCTGAGTAATTGGACTTTTATCCTTTCCCTGCCAGTGGGAAAATGATCCCCCTAGGCCAATGGTCTTGGACAATGAGCTTGGGCAGTGTTCCAAAGGTAAGAAATAGGTGGCTGAGGTCTTGGCTTTCTAGAGCAGTTGGATCTGCTCCAGATGCCTCTAGGCTTCCTCAAAAGGTGGTCCCGGCCAGGGTGGGGCTAATTAGCCCCAGAAGTCCTAGGCCAGCTGCTTTGGGGAGCTGCTGTAACTGGGGCCTTCCAGCAAGCTCAGAAGGCACTGCTATCTTCATACTCCCACAGCTTCCCTGTGGCCTTACTGAGACAACTTCAGCTACCCCCAACTACAATACCCTTATACTTGATGACACATGGGGAAGCCCCATTATTTATTATGTGTGGATTGCAGTGTTTTCCACATATAGAGAGACAACTGTTTGTGGGCCTTGCTACCTGGCTCCTGACCAGCCTGCTGATCCAACCTGACATACTTTTGCTTTCAATTTAGGGCTTAACACTGTGGCCAGAACCACTGATTGTTTTTGTTTTTTTGAGACGGAGTCTTGTTCTGTTGCCCAGGCTGGAGTGCAGTGGCACTGTCTCGGCTCACTGCAGCCTCCACTTCTTGGGTTCAAGTGATTTTCCTGCCTCAGCCTCCTGAGTAGCTGGGACTACAGGTGTGCACTACCATGCCCAGCTGAGGCTAATTTTTGTATTTTTAGTAGAGATGAGGTTTCACCATGTTGGCCAGGCTGATCTTGAACCCCTGAGCTCAGGCAATCCATCAGCCTCGGCCTCCCAAAGTGCTGGGATTACAGGGGTCAGCTACTGCGCCTGGCCTGATTGTTATAGTAGGTAGTCACGCAGGCATAAGCAGGAGAGGGTTCCCCCTCCCCACACCAGGAATGTCAGGTGACCATCAGGTGATGGTCAGGTAGTTGTTAAGCTGTTGCTCTAAAAAAATTGGTCACAACTGGCACCAGGGAAAGGCAGTCTCTCAGTATGTAGAAAAACCTGAAACTGGTGATCAACTTCCCAATAAGATCTCCTGAGCTAGAGGGCTCACACATGTGCATTAAAAGGCAAAATGGTGAAGTTTAACTGGTATATTACCTTACAGAAACACTGGACTTGTAAGGGAAAAAGGCTTCAAGTGAGCATGAGTACAACTCTAGTAAACACACTGCACATGCTCCTCTCCCAATCACTGGTAGGCCACTGTGCATGCAGGACAGACCGCCCCAAGGGAAGAATCAGAGGAGAAGTAACACAAGACCCCAGAAGCATGCCAGCATATAAAACCACAAGTGAAAAGGTCAAACTGTGCACTGGATCACTCAAGCTGTCTGCTCGGCCCACTTCCAAGTGTACTTTCCTTCCTTTCATTCCTGCTCTAAATCTTCTTTTATTATTATTATCATTATTATTTTTATTTTATTTTATTATTATTATTTTACTTTAAGTTTTAGGGCACATGTGCACAATGTGCAGGTTTGTTACATATGTATACATGTCCCATGTTGGTGTGCTGCACCCATTAACTCGTCATTTAGCATTAGGTATATCTCCCAATTCTATCCCTCCCCCCGCTCCCCACCCCACAACAGTCCCCGGTGTGTGATGTTCCCCTTCCTGTGTCCATGTGTTCTCATTGTTCAATTCCCACCTATGAGTGAGAACATGCAGTGTTTGGTTTTTGTCCTTGCGATAGTTTGCTGAGAATGATGGTTTCCAGCTTCATCCATGTCCCTACAAAGGACATGAACTCATCATTTTTTATGGCTGCATAGTATTCCATGGTGTATATGTGCCACATTTTCTTAATCCAATCTATCATTGTTGGACATTTGAGTTGGTTCCAAGTCTTTGCTATTGTGAATAGTGCCGTAATAAACATACGTGTGCATGTGTCTTTATAGCAGCACGATTTACAATCCTTGGGGTATATACCCAGTAATGGAATGGCTGGGTCAAATGGTATTTCTAGTTCTAGATCCCTGAGGAATCGCCACACCAACTTCCACAATGGTTGAACTAGTTTACAGTCCCACCAACAGTGTAAAAGTGTTCCTATTTCTCCACATCCTCTCCAGCACCTGTTGTTTCCTGACTTTTTAATGATCGCCATTCTAACTAGTGTGAGATGTTATCTCATTGTGGTTTTGATTTGCATTTCTCTGATGGCCAGTGATGATGAACATTTTTTCATGTGTCTTTTGGCTGCATAAATGTCTTCTTTTGAGAAGTATCTGTTCATATCCTTTGCCCACTTTTTGATGAGATTGTTTGTTTTTTTCTTGTAAATTTGTTTGAGTTCATTGTAGATTCTGGATATTAGCCCTTTGTCAGATGAGTAGATTGCAAAAATTTTCTCCCATTCTGTAGGTTGCCTGTTCACTCTAATGATGGTTTCTTTTGCTGTGCAGAAGCTCTTTAGTTTAATTAGATCCCATTTGTCAATTTTGGCTTTTGTTGCCATTGCTTTTGGTGTGTTAGACATGAAGTCCTTGCCCATGCCTATATCCTGAATGGTATTGCCTAGGTTTTCTTCTAGGGTTTTTATGGTTTTAGGTCTAACATGTAAGTCTTTAATCCATCTTGAATTAATTTTTGTATAAGGTGTAAGGAAGGGATCCAGTTTCAGCTTTCTACATATGGCTAGCCAGTTTTCCCAGCACCATTTATTAAATAGGGAATCCTTTCCCCATTGCATATTTTTGTCAGGTTTTTCAAAGATCAGATAGTTGTAGATATGCGGCATTATTTTGGAGGGCTCTGTTCTGTTCCATTGGTCTATATCTCTGCTTTGGTACCAGTACCATGCTGTTTTGGTTACTGTAGCCTTGTAGTATAGTTTGAAGTCAGGTAGTGTGATGCCTCCAGCTTTGTTCTTTTGGCTTAGGATTGACTTGGCAATGCGGGCTCTTTTTTGGTTCCATATGAACTTGAAAGTAGTTTTTTCCAATTCTGTGAAGAAAGTCATTGGTAGCTTGATGGGTATGGCATTGAATCTATAAATTACCTTGGGCAGCATGGCCATTTTCATGATATTGATTCTTCCTACCCATGAGCATGGAATGTTCTTCCATTTGTTTGTATCCTCTTTTATTTCATTGAGCAGTGGTTTGTAGTTCTCCTTGAAGAGGTCCTTCACATCCCTTGTAAGTTGGATTCCTAGATATTTTATTCTCTTTGAAGCAATTGTGAATGGGAGTTCATTCATGATTTGGCTCTCTGTTTGTCTGTTATTGGTGTATAAGAATGCTTGTGATTTTTGTACATTGATTTTGTATCCTGAGACTTTGCTGAAGTTGCTTATCAGCTTAAGGAGATTTTGGGCTGAGATGATGGGGTTTTCTAGATATACAATCATGTCATCTGCAAAAAGGGACACTCTGACTTCCTCTTTTCCTAATTGAATGCCCTTTATTTCCTCCTCCTGCCTGATTGCCCTGGCCAGAACTTCCAACACTGTGTTGAATAGGAGTGGTGAGAGAGGGCATCCCTGTCTTGTGCCAGTTTTCAAAGGGAATGCTTCCAGTTTTTGTCCATTCAGTATGATATTGGCTGTGGACTTGTATAGATAGCTCTTATTATTTTGAGATACGTCCCATCAATACCTAATTTATTGAGAGTTTTTAGCATGAAGGGTTGTTGAATTTTGTTAAAGGTCTTTTCTGCATCTATTGAGATAATCATGTGGTTTTGTCTTTGGTTCTGTTTATATGCTGGATTACATTTATTGATTTTCGTATATTGAACCAGCCTTGCATCCCAGGGATGAAGCCCACTTGATCATGGTGGATAAGCTTTTTGATGTGTTGCTGGATTCGGTTTGCCAGTATTTTATTGAGGATTTTTGCATCGATGTTCATCAAGGATATTGATCTAAAATTTTCTTTTTTGGTTGTGTCTCTGCCCAGCTTTGGTATCAGGATGATGCTGGCCTCATAAAATGAGTTAGGGAGGATTCCCTCATTTTGTATTGATTGGAATAGTTTCAGAAGGAATGGTACCAGTTCCTCCTTGTACCTCTGGTAGAATTCAGCCATGAATCGATCTGGTCCTGGACTTTTTTTGGTTGGTAAGCTATTAATTATTGCCTCAATTTCAGAGCCTGTTATTGGTCTATTCAGAGATTCAACTTCTTCCTGGTTTAGTCTTGGGAGGGCGTATGTGTTGAGGAATTTATCCATTTCTTCTAGATTTTCTAGTTTATTTGCGTAGAGGTGTTTATGGTATTCTCTGATGGTAGTTTGTATTTCTGTGGGATTAGTGGTGATATCCCCTTTGTCATTTTTTATTGCGTCTATTTGATTCTTCTCCCTTTTCTTCTTTATTAGTCTTGCTAGCGGTCTATCAATTTTGTTGATCTTTTCAAAAAACCAGCTCCTGGATTCATTGATTTTTTGAAGGGTTTTTTGTGTCTCTATTTCCTTCAGTTGTGCTCTGATCTTAGTTATTTCTTGCCTTCTGCTAGCTTTTGAATGTGTTTGCTCTTGCTTCTCTAGTTCTTTTAATTGTGATGTTAGGGTGTCAATTTTAGATCTTTCCTGCTTTCTCTTGTGGGCATTTAGTGCTATAAATTTCCCTCTACACACTGCTTTGAATGTGTCCCAGAGATTCTGGTATGTTGTGTCTTTGTTCTTGTTGGTTTCAAAGAACACCTTTATTTCTGCCTTCATTTCGTTATGTACCCAGTAGTCATTCAGGAGCAGGTTGTTCATTTTCCATGTAGTTGAGCGGTTTTGAGTGAGTTTCTTACTCCTGAGTTCTAGTTTGATTGTATTGTGGTCTGAGAGACAGTTTGTTGTAATTTCTTTTCTTTTACATTTGCTGAGGAGTGCTTTACTTCCAACTATGTGGTCAGTTTTGGAATAGGTGTGGTGTGGTGCTGAAAAGAATGTATATTCTGTTGATTTGGGGTTGAGAGTTCTGCAGATGTCTATTAGGTCCACTTGGTGCAGAGCTGAGTTCAATTCCTGGATATCCTTGCTAACTATCTGTCTCGTTGATCTGTCTAATATTGACAATGGGGTGTTAAAGTCTCCCGTTATTATTGTGTGGGAGTCTAAGTCTCTTTGTAGGTCACTCAGGACTTGCTTTATGAATCTGGGTGCTCCTGTATGAGGTGCATATATATTTAGGATAGTTAGCTCTTCTTGTTAAATCGATCCCTTTACCATTATGTAATGGCCTTCTTTGTCTCTTTTGATCTTTGTTGGTTTAAAGTCTGTTTTATCCAAGACTAGGATTGCAACCCCTGCCTCTTTTTGTTTTCCATTTGCTTGGTAGATCTTCCTCCATCCCTTTATTTTGAACCTATGTGTGTCTCTGCACGTGAGATGGGTTTCCTGAATACAGCACACAGATGGGTCTTGACTCTATCCAGTTTGCCAGTCTGTGTCTTTTAATTGGAGCATTTAGCCTATTTACCTTTAAGGTTGGTATTGTTATGTGTGAATTTGATCCTATCATTATGATGTTAGCTGGTTATTTTGCTCGTTAGTTGATGCAGTTTCTTCCTAGCCTTGATGGTCTTTACAATTTGGCATGTTTTTGCAGTGGCTGGTACTGGTTGTTCCTTCCATGTTTAGTGCTTCCTTCAGGAGCTCTTTTAGGGCAGGCCTGGTGGTGACAAAATCTCTCAGCATTTGCTTCTCTGTAAAGTATTTTATTTCTCTTTAACTTATGAAGCTTAGTTTGGCTGGATATGAAATTCTGAGTTGAAAATTCTTTTCTTTAAGAACGTTGAATATTGGCCCCCACTCTCTTCTGGCTTGTAGAGTTTCTGCCGAGAGATCAGCTGTTAGTCTGATGGGCTTCCCTTTGTGGGTAACCCAACCTTTCTCTCTGGCTGTCCTTAACATTTTTTCCTTCATTTCAACTTTGGCGAATCTGACAATTATGTGTCTTGGAGTTGCTCTTCTCAAGGAGTATCTTTGTGGCGTTCTCTGTATTTCCTGAATTTGAATGTTCTTGCCTGCCTTGCTAGATTGGGGAAGTTCTCCTGGATAATATCCTGCAGAGTGTTTTCCTGCTTGGTTCCATTCTCCCCGTCGCTTTCAGGTACACCATTTAGATGTAGATTTGTTCTTTTCACATAGTCCCATATTTCTTGGAGGCTTTGTTCTAAAGCTTCTTAATAAACTTTCACTCCTGCTCTAGAACTTGCCTCAGTCTCTCCTTCTGCCTTATGCCACTTGGTTGAATTCTTCCTTCTGAGGAGACAAGAACTCCTCAGAAAGAACCCAACTCCTTGTGGGTTGCTGCAGACCCATACGTATTCTGTGCCCGTGACATGATCATCAGGCTCTGTTCCTCTTTCTGTCACCCTTGACCCAGAGGAAGCACTTGTCAGGTTTATCTCTTGGTGCTTGCTCTGCCTTTAACCCTTTCTTCTCACAGGGCCTTTCTTTCTGTCTTTCTTCCTTTTTCAGACAGAGTCTCACTCTATTGTCCAGGCTGGAGTGCAGTGTCACAATCTTGGCTCACTGCAACCTCTGCCTCAAAGGTTCAAGCAATTCTCCTGCCTCAGCCTCCTGAGTAACTGGGATTACAGGTGTGCACCACCATACCCACAGCAATTTTTGTATTTTTAGTAGGGACAGGGTTTCACCATGTTGGCCAGGCTGGTCTTGAACTCCTGATCTCTAGTGATCCACCTGCCTTGGCCTCCCAAAGTGCTGGGATTATAGGCATGAGCCACTGTGCTCAGCCTCACAGGGCCTTTCTTAGTGCTGGTTTCCCTCATTTTCCACCTTCTCCATCTTGCTTCTAGTTGAGCTCTTCTGTGACAATGCTGCTGCCACCTCAGGTAACCTGAGTGGAAGAAGGAGGAAAGCAATTCCATCTTCAGTGACCTGAGTAAAGCTGTCTTCCGTAGCCACATGTGGAGAATTGTTCTCATTATGACGATTTGAATGTCATAAATCTTTGTGCTTCTCCAGTGACATAGAGTAAAGCCTCATTAATTAAGGCCTCACTGAATTCAGAATTTAAGATAATTTGTTCATAGGCCAAGCTGAAATTTACATTTGCACTATCTATGAAAAAAAGGTTCATTAAGTAAATCAATAAAGTAAGGAAGATTGTAGGAAACCTGTTTAATCTAATTAAGAAAACAAACTATTTTCAAGCACTTTGTAATACCATCGACATATAAACAATGTGCTCATTACAAATGACTGTTATGGGATCATTAAAGCATTTTTGAGGAAGATTCCTGTTTGACACCTTTTTTTTTAATTGAATGATTACTTCAAGTAAATGTATTTAATCGAAGATAATGAAACTGCTTTTTAAAATAATTTGTGGTTTCAGTCTTTCCTGTAAGTGGACATATCAGTAAGGTATTGGTCAAGAGAGAAGTCAACCTGGGACTCTGGCGTTTGCATGTTGGCTCTCTGACTGTGAACTTGGGCAAGTCATTTCCTTCTATAAGCTATGATTTCGCCTTCTCCAAGCGATTTTGAGAGGATTCAATAAAATAACATATGTAAGGTATTTTTCACTGTCTTAGACATTGAATGATAAGCAACAAAAAGCAGCTGTTTCGTCTCAACCCATATAACAGAACCTGAGACAATTGTCATTATTCTCATTTTCCACATGAAGAAACATGGGCTCAGAAACATGGCCTCATTTTTCCAGGTAGTAAGTGGAAGAGCTGGGATACAAGCTGGGGCCAGCCTGGTACCATGCCTACCTCTCTCGCCTCGGTTCTCTGTGTCATATCCTGTCTGATGGCTCTCAGTGGGGTAACCTGTGTCTCGTACACACCCTGGAGATACTGGTGCTTACTGTTGCACAGGCTAACTCTATTATGTTACTTATTTATTTTTTCTTAAAGAGACAGGGTCTTGTTCTGTCACCTAGGATGGAGTAAATGCAAGAGGTACTATCATAGCTCACTGTATCCTCAAACTCCTGGGCTCAAGCAATCCTCTTGCTTCAGCCTCCAGAGTAGCTGGGACTACAGATGCACACCACCATGCCCGGTTAATATTTAGAATTTTTGGGGTTTTTTTTGTTTTTTTTTTTTGAGACAGAGTCTCACTCCATTGCCCAGGCTGGAGTGCAGTGGCATGATTTTGGCTCACTGCAACCTTGGCCTCCCAGGTTCAAGTGATTCTCTTATGCCACAGCCTCCTGAGTAGCTGAGACTGCAGGTGCATGCCACCATGCCTGGATAATTTTTGTATTTTTAGTAGAGGCAGGGTTTTGCCGTGTTGGCCAGGCTGGTCTCAAACTCCTGAGCTCAAGTGATCTGCCCACTTTGACCTCCCAAAGTTTTAGAATTACAGGCATGAGCCACTGCACCTGGCCATGAAAAAAAAAATTTTTAGAGACAGGGGTCTCACTATGTTACCATGGATGGTTTTCAACTCTTGGCTTCAGGTGATCCTCCCACCTCAGCCTCCCAAAGCACTGGAATTACCGGTGTGAGCTACTGCACTCTGCCAGCCATGATTCTGTAGCTGTTTTTCTTCCTTTTAGTGCAGTAGAAAAAATGAAAACCTTTTTCTGATGCATGTATTTTATTTTCAAATTTTAAAGCAGAATTAACTTGACAGTGAGAGGAAGGACAAAATTAAGGGTATCTGAAATGGGGCTTTTGAAAGATGCAGAAAATTTCTGGTATCTCAGAGAAGGGAGGGGAAAGAAAACCAACCATGTCGTCCTGAAGGCACCAGGCTGATCTCAGCCACGCACAAATCACTCAGAGGAGATCAAGAGCCGCTGCTTTTAATACTGAAGCCAGAGCTTCCAAAGTGATGGAAATCTATTGTTGACAAGAGGGAAGAAATATGGATTAAGCCTATAACTCTGTTTAGAGCATCAGGGGATGAATTAGCCTAATTGGAATATTAGTCTCAGTTACAGAGAGCAATCACTACAGGCTGCCTCTGTTTTTATTAGAAATTTAATTAAGTTTATCAATGTTTGGCTTCTCTGGCCTTCATTTTCCAGATTCTCTCTGGACAGCCCTATTGTTTAAGGGGAATTTTCTTTCATTTTTATATTGTTTCCTAGGAAGGGAGTTGGGCTGGGATCCGAGCAGAGATTTGGGGATGGAAAAGGGGTTGGAAAGACAGGAGGGTGATTCTTAAAGGTGCTGGCCCTTCTTGGGGAGCTCAGCTGACAGGCATCAATGGTGAGGGCTAAGGGCTTGGTTCTCACAGCACTGGGGGCTCACCAGCATTAAACAGAACTTAAAAGGGAACAGTCTAAGTCCAGGAACCAAGCATTTTCTAAATCTACTTGACAAAATGCCAAAGCATTTCTTTAGATGCCTCCAGTAAGAGCACAGGCATGGGCCTCCATGATTCTGCAATTTAGGCTTTGACAGGCAAATCTCCTCTAGGAAAATAGGTGATTTTATCTAATCACACGGTATCTGTGGCCACAATTTATAGGAAGCATTGTGTGCACAATGTAAATGCTTCTAAGAAGAATGTGGGTTTTTCAGTTCAGCAGAAAGTGTGCCTTCCTTCTTCCTTCTCTGTTATCTTCCTATTCTTCTCCTCCTTCTCTCTCTACCTTTCCCTCTCCTTCTCTCCTTCATCTTATCCTCCTCCTCCTTTTGCAATGAGTTTAGGTCTCTTCTCTAATGCAGACTTTTCTTTCTGCTTGTTGTTCTCTTCCCACCCTGACCCCAGCCACATCCAAACTTTTATTTTAAAAATGTTCAAATCTATGGATTGTTATTTTAGTATTTTTGTTTCCTTTCTACGTGTGTATGTATTTATACATATGTGTATAAGACTGTATATTATTTGTTTTTGCTGAATTATTTGAAAGTAATTTGAAGAAATGATTATACTGTACTCATAAACATTTTAGCATGTGAAAAGTCTTGTTTTGACATGAATTTTGTCATAAATGATTCTGAACATGGAGTGCAAGAACCCTTTCTGTGGAGGAAGAACACTTTAAATAGGGTTCTTTTGGGAGTCAGGGAGAAAGAGGCAACATGGTGGAATTAATTGCTGATGATAATTTGTAACAAATTGACCTAACAACATCTCCATCCCTACACCAAAAAAAGTCTTTTCTCCCACCCCAAAGAATAAAACCCAAGGCTTTTTCAGTATCTTTATTTCTTCTTGCGAATAAATTTATTTTTTTGGATAACTGGTCTGTTTTGTCTTTTTTATACTATTCCATGTACAGTTGTAAAAAGCACTGTGTTCTATATTCAGCTTTTAAGCATAATTCTCAGCTTTATTTGAAGGGCAATGTGACAATGGTTAAGCCATTTAATCTCTCCGGTCTTTAGCTTTCCCTGCTGAAAAATGGGGTGGGGGTTAAGGATCTTATGGGACCTTTAAAGAATTCAAATTTACTTATAATTTACTTATAATAAAATGAACCGATTTTAAGTATACAGTTCAGCGAATTTTGGCAAATGTATATGTCCATGGAACTCAAATCAATTCAGAACATCTCCATTACCTCCAAAATATTACCTAGGGCCACTTTGCAGCTAATCCCCATGATGCAGTCTTGACCCTAGGCAACCTCTGATTTGCTTTAGCATATTTTAGAATTTCATACAGTATATACTGTTTTGTGTTGGCTTTTTTGCTCAGCGTAATGCTTTTGAAGTTCTCCATGTTGTTGCACCTAGCAATAGTTATTCTTTTTTATTTTTAGTGTTCCACTGTGCAGAATCTGAATGGAATTTCCATTGTATGGCTTTTGCGTTATTCTTGCCATGCAGTTTTCTTCTACATACATTGTAAACTCCACAACATAATATTGTAATTTTTGCTTTTTAATTATATTGTAAAAATATTTTTAAAGTGAAAAAGTAATTTTTAAATTTACCCTCACATTTACCATTTTCAATGTTATTCATTCCTTTGTGTAGATTCAAGTTTCCATTTGGTACCATTTTCCTTAACCAGAAGACTTTCACATTTCTTATAGTGCAGGTCTGTAGATGGCCACACTTCTTAGCTTTTGGTTGTTTGAAAAATATTTATCTTTTTCTTGAAATATATTTTTATTGGATATACTAAATTGATCATTTTGTTTGTTTTTGTTTTTTCAACACTTTAAAGATATAATTCCATTTTCTTTTGTCTTACCTTTTTCCTAACAGAAACTCAGTATATAATTCTTATTGTAGTTCCCCTTTATGTAATGTTTTTTTCACTCTGATTTTAGGATTTTCCTTTTTATTACTGGTTTTAGCCACTAAGTATGGGTTATGTACTTCTATATGTTTCTTTATGTTTATCTTGTTCAAGGTTGAACTTCTTGAAAATTTTTCATCAAATGTAGCTTTTCTCAACTTTGGAAAATGTTTAGACCTTTAATTTTTTTCCCCATTCTCCCTATACCTTCTCTCCTTCTGGGAGATATTTACATGTATATTAGACTTAATATTGTCCTGTAAATCACAGAGGCTCTGTTTTTATTATTGTTGTTGATTTTTCTCTTGCTGATAGTTTGGCACTGTGTCCCCACTTAAATCTCATCTTAAATTGTAATCCTCATGTCTGGTGGGAGGTGATTGGATCATTGGGGCGGTTTCCCTCATGCTGTTCTTTTGGTAGTGATGGTTTAAAAGTATTTGGCAGTCCCACCCCTCCTCCTCCTGCTGCCATGTAAGACGTGCCTGGCTTCCCCTTTACCTTCTGCCGTGATTTTAAGTTTCCTGAGGCCTTCCTAGCCATGTGGAACTGTGAGTAAATTAAATCTCTTCTTTATAAATTACCCAGTCTCAGGTATTCTTTATAGCAGTGTGAAAATGGACTAATACACTTGTCAGTTTTAGTATTTATTGCTGTGGTCTTAGATTTACTGGTTATTTCATCTGCAGTGTCTAACTTGTATATCTCATTAAATTTTTTTTTTTAAATTCAGACATTGTACTTTTCAGCTTTAGAAGTTTGAGTTTTGTGACTTCTAGACTATAGACAGTGCAAGGATTCTTGAATCTGTGAGCAGAGTGGTGCATAGGCTGGATACAGTCTGTTGTGGTAGAATACAGTTGAGGGTACCACATTGCATTTAGTTGATTTTTTGTTTGTTTGTTTCCCTAGCGCTTAGCACAGAGCCTGGCAATAGTAAAAATACAATGAATGTTGGGTGGCCAAGACAGGCAGATCACAAAGTCAGGAGTTCGAGACCAGCCTGACCAGCATGGTGAAACACTGTCTGTACTAAAAATACAAAAATTAGCCAGGCATGGTGGCACATGCTGTAATCCCAGCTACTCAGGAGGCTGAGGCAGGAGAATTGCTTGAACCCAGGAGGTGGTGGTTGCAGTGAGCCAAGATCACACCATTGTACTCCAGGCTGGGTGACAGAGCGAGACTCCATCTCAATTAAAAAAAAAATGGAGAATACAAAGGAAGATTAGAAGCATTTCATGCTCTCCTCATCCACTTAGAAGACTCAAAATCCTGTGCAGGCATAACACTTTGAGTATATTATCCAAGAGAGAACATGAGAGTTCAATAGAAAACACCAAAAACTAGGAAGGAGAAGGAAAAGAAGCAGCCTGCTTGACTGGGACTGTCCAGGAGCTTGGAGTGACTCTCCAATATGGGGAGAGTATGAAGTGAGAGTCTCTACAGTCTACTTTACCTCTGGGGAATTGTCCAATCTAGGCCATAGGAGAGTACCTTAACCCTTCCAAGCTCTAAATCTAACTTGGGGAGCTACTGGGAGATTGTGAGAAAACACTGCTCCAGGGAGGAGCTTGCCCTGGGTCTCACACATGCCCTTTCTGAAACCTAACTGGTTACAACAAAATGCCATTTTGATCTTAGCTTTTAATAGCATCTAAAGTGTTCTGGAATCCAATAAGGTTGGTCGTACACATTAAAAAAAACCTGAGCTGTTGTTTGCAGAACTGGGGCATAAGCAGCAGGTGGGCTCCTACTGCCAGGAAAGAGAAGTGAATGTGTCATGGACTGCAGCCACAAATGCTGGTGCTGGGAAGTGGGTGCCACCCCTAGGACTTGAGCAGGATGTGATAATTGCAGAGGCTTGGTCCGGAGCTGGGCAGAAGCTCCTATGGCTCAGGGCTGAGTTGCAGGTTACGTGTGTGCTGGGTCTGACAGATTAGCTAGGTCTGCTAATTAACAATCTGATGATGCACCTCAAGAAACTAAAAAAGCAAGAACAAACCAAACCCTAAATTATCAAAAGGAAAGAAATAACAAAGATTGGAGCAGAACTAAATAACATAAAAACAAACAAAAAATATGAAAGATTAATGAAAAAGTTGATTATTTGAAAAGATAAATAAAATCGCTAAACTACTAGCTAGACTAACCAAAAAGAGGCAAGACCCAAATGAATAAAATCAGAAATGAAAAACGAGACATTATAACTGATATCACAGAAATACAAAAGATCATCTGAGACTATTATGAATAGTTATATGCTCACAAACTGGAAAACCTAGAGGAAATAGATAAATTCCTGGAAACATACAACCTACCAAGATTGAACCAGGAAGAAATAGAACTCCTGAACAGATCAATAACAAGTAGCAAGATTGAATCGGTAATTTAAAAAACTCCCCCAAATGAAAATCCAAAGACCAGACAAATTTACAACCAGATTCTACCAAACACAGAAAGAACTGGTACTAATACTCCTGAAACTATTCCTAAAAATGAGGAAGAAGGAAAATTCCCTAACTCATTCTACAAGGCCAGTATCACCCTGTACTAAAGCCACACAAGAGCAATGAGAAAGAAAACTACAGACTAATATCCCTCATGAACAAAGACCCAAAAATTCTCAACAAAAAACTAGCAAAATGAATCCAACAGCACATTGAAATGATAATACACCATTATCAAGTGGATTTTTTACTGGGGATACAAGAATGGTTCAACATATACAAATCAATAAATGTAATACATTGCATAAACGGAATCAAGGACAAAAACCATATGATTTTCTCAATAGACGCAAAAAAAAAAAAAGCATTTGATGATTCAACATCCCTTCATGATAAAAACTCTCAACAGACTAGGCATGGAAAGAACATACCTCGAAATGATAAAGGTTATTTATGACAAATCCACAGTTAATATCATACTGAATCGGGAAAAGTTGATAGCATTTTCTCTAAGAACAGGAGCAAGATAAGAATGCCCACTTTCATCACTCCTAATCAACATAATATTGGAAGTCCTAGGCAGAGCAATCAGGCAAGAAAAAGCAATAAAAGTCATTCAAATTGGAAAAGAGGAAGTAAACTTATTTCTCTTTGCTGATGATATGATCTTATATCTAGAGAAACTTAAAGACTCCATCAAAAACTCACTTAGATTGATAAATGAATTCAGTGAAGTTTCAGGACACAGAATCAACAAATAAAATTTAGTATTGTTTCTATATGCTAATAACAGTCTTACTAAGAAAGAAATCAAGAAGGCAATCCATTTACTATAGCTACAAAAAAGCCTAGAATAAATTTAACCAAGGAGACAAAATATTTCTACAAAAAAACCTACAAAACACTGAAGAAAAATATTGAAGATGACACAAATGGAAGACCACCTCATGCTTTTGGATTGAAATAATTAATATCATCCAAATAACTTTACCGCCCAAAGCAACCTACAGATTCAGTGCAATCTAAATCAAAATACCAGTCATCTTTCACAGAATTAGAAAAGACAATCGTAAAATTCATATGGAACCAAAAAAGTCACAAGTAGTCAAAACAATCCTGAGCAAAAAGAACAAAGCTGATGACATCATGTTACCTGACTTCAAATTACATCACAAGGCTATAGTAACCAAAACCGCATGGTATTGATAGAAAAAGACATATAAATCAATGGAACAGATTAAAGAATCCAGAAATAAAGCCACATATTTACAGCCAACTGATCTTTAGCAGAACCAACAAGAACTTACACTGGGAAAAGGATAACCTCTTCAATAAATGGGGCTGGGAAAATTGGATTGCCATATGCAGAGGAATAAAAGGACTCTTATCTCCCACCATATACAAAAATCAACTCAATATGCATTAAAAACTTATATTTAAGACCCAAAAGTATAAAAATAGTAGAAGAAAAGCTAGGGAAGACTTTTGTGGACATTGGACTAGGCAAAAAAACTATGACTAAGACCTCAAAAGAACAGGCAACAAAAACAAAAATAAACAGGACTTAATTTAACTAAAAGTCTTTGCACAGCAAGAGAGATAATCAACAGAGTGAAGAGATGAACTGTTAAATAGGACAGAATGTTTGCAAGGCATTTATCTGACAGGGGACTAACATCCAGAATATGGAAGAAACTCACATGACTCAACAACAACAAACCCAAATAATTCCATTAAAAAGTGAGCAAAGTATACGGATAGACATTTTTCAACAGAAGACAGGAAGAGGGCCAACAATGTATGAAGAAATGCTCATCACTAATCATCAGAGAAATGCAAATCAAAGCCACAGTGAAATATCATCTTACATTAGTCAGAATGGCTATTAAGAAATGACAAAAAATAACAGATGTTGGTGAGAATGTGGAGAAAAGGGAACTCATACACAGTTGGTGAGACTATAAATCAGTACAGCTTCTATGGAAAACAGTATGGAGATTTTTCAAAGAATTAAAAATAGAAATACCATGTGATCCAGCAATCCTACTACTGGTTATCTACCCAAAAGTAAAGTAATCATTATATCAAAAAGATACCTTCACTCATACATATGTTTATTGCAGCACTATTCACAATAGTAAAGATATAGAATCAACCTAAGTGTCAATCAACAGATGAATAAAGCCGGGCGTGGTGGCTCAAGCCTGTAATCCTAACACTTTGGGAGGTCAAGGCGGGTGGATCACTTGAGGTCAGGAGTTCGAGACCAGCCTGGCCATCATGGTGAAACCCTGTCTCTACTAAAAAAATAACAAAAATTAGCCAGGTGTGGTGGCACACGGCTGTAGTCCCAGCTATTTGGGAGGCTGAGGCAGGAGAATTACATGAATCCAGGAGGCGGAGGCTGCAGTGAGCCAGGATCACGCCACTGCACTCCACCCTGGGCAACAAAGTGAGACTCTGTCCCCCCCCAAAAAAATAATAAATCAACAAAACACCAGATGAATGGATAAAGAGACTATGGCACCCACAATAGAATAAAATTCAGCCATGGAAAGAATAAAATCATGTCTTTTACAGCAGCAACATGGATGGAACTGGAGATCATTATCTTAAGTGAAACAAACTAGACACAAAAAGACAAATAACTGCATATTCTCACTCATAAGTAGGTGTTAATAAATGTATTCTTGTGGACTTAGAGAGTTGAATGATAGATAATGAAGACTCAGAAGGGTGAGGGAGTGGGACAGGGGAGGATGATGAGAAATTGGTTAATCAGTGCAATGTATTTTATTTGTGTGATGAATACCCTAAAAGCCCTGACTTGGCTACTATGCAATCTAGGCATGTAACAAAATTGTACAGATAAGCCCATAAATTCATACAAATAAAAAGGGAAAAAAGGCAGTTTTCTTTTAAAAAATCAACTTTATTGAAATATAATTATGTACAATAAATTGCATCTATTTAAAATATACAATTAAATATATATTTTCTTCTATATTCATGTCTTTCTATTCTTAATTATATTTCTAATAACTATTTTAAAGTTCGTTTCTGTTAATTCCTTTACCATTCACTGTTATTTCTAGGATGCTTCTATTGGTATGATTTTGTTCTGGCCATGGGTCAAAATTTCCTGCATTTTTTGCATGTTTAGTAATTTTTGATTGGATTTTGGATATTTTTATGTCGCTGAGTATCTGGATTTTTTTTTGTCTTCCTTTAAATAACTTGAGTTTGTTTCGATAGGCAGGCAAGTTATTTGCATATGATTTGATTTTTTTAAAAATACTCATCTGTAAGTTTATTAAAGGCTGAAGTGTAGTATTTGCTCTATGGCTACTCTAACCTTACTACTAAAGCCTGATTGAGTATCTTTACTGAATGCCCTGGATGTTAATGAGATCTCTTTTTTTCTGACTGGTGGGAACTTGAATGGTATAATACTTCTTTTCCCTGCCTCATAGAGTTTCTGTCTATATATGCATAGCTTAGTATTTAGCAACAGTCTTATGAGGTTTTCCTAGGCAATTTTCTGGGTCTCATTTTTTGCATAACTCTCTCCTTGCCACTACCATGTCTCACAAATTTCAGCTGCCTCAATCTCCCTGAACTCCCATCTCCATCTTCTCACCTTCTTAAGACTTCTGTGCTCTGTCTGCATTCCTCTTCCCTGAGAAACAGACTAGAAAGTGCCATAAGAGAGAAAGCGGGGGCAATTGTAGGACTCACCTCATTTGTTCTCTTTTCTCAGGGATCACCATTCTGTGCTGCCTGTTGTTCAATGTCTGAAAACTCTTGCTTTATATATTTTGTCCAGTTTTCTAGTTTACAAAAGGCAGAGTGTCTGGTGATAGTTACTCCATCATGATCAGAAACAGAAACTTTCCTAATCCTTTGTAATCTCCAAATTCCACCACTTCTAGACCTAATCATATGGATTAGTCTTCGTATCCTGCAGAACTTTATTTTTTGTTTGTTTTTACAAAAAATGAAAGCAAACACAAACAAAAAGCCCCAAATATAGAATCAAGCTTCTGGAATGAAGAAACACATGGTAGCTTCTGATGTTCCCAAAATCTTTTCCCCCAGTTCTTTTTTTTGCTGACCTGTGTCTACTCTTTTCTCTAGTGGCCTATTAAAATTTATGTCCATATTTCTGTATCAATAACCATATCTAAATTTGTATCTATATTTGTGTCTTTATTTGTATTTCTATATCTACATTTTATTCTTATTTATGTGTATATCTGTTTGAACCTGTATTTTTACCAATTTTCCTTTTCATCTATGTTAATATGAGATGTAGAAAGGCCGTCTAGCCTGCTATTTAAGAGCAAAGACACAGGATCCAAACTCCTTGGATTTGAATCTTATTCCACCAAATGTTGTGTGTCTCTGGGCAAGTTATCTGATATGGTTAGGCTTTGTGTCCCCACCCAAATCTCATGTTGAATTGTAATCCTCATCATCCCTATAATCCCCACATATCAAGGGAGATACCAGGTGGAGGAAATTGAATCACCGGGGTGGTTTCCTCCATGCTGTTCTCGCGATAATGAGTGAGTTCTAACAAGATCTAATGGTTTTATAAGTGTTTGGTAGTTCCTTCTGCATGCACCCTCCTTCCTGCCACCTTGTGAAGAAGGTGCCTTGCTCCCCATTTGCCTTCTGCCATGATTGTAAGTTTCCTGAGGCCTCCCCAGCCATGCTGAACTGTGAGCCAATTAAATCTCTTTCCTTTATAAATTACCCAGTCTTGGGCAGTTCTTTATAGCAGTGTGAAAATGGACTAAATAAAACATTATCTAATCTTTACGTGCTTAAGTTACTTCACCTGTAAAATGGGGATAATATTAGCATCTACAAGTTTGTAGCAAAGAGTAAAAGAGTTAATATACGTGAAGCACACAGAATAGTATCTGGTATATGGTAAGTGCTATATAAGCTGTAAATGTTATTAGCTATGTCTGATTATGGAGAAAGGTCTTACTGAGTTCCTGGGCTAAATGCTTACTAGCATTTTTTTTGAACCTGCAGCACTTGGGCTTGCTTTCAGAAACATTTGGAGGTAAATTTGCTTTTTCCTGAAATGAATAGAAATGAATGTGACTTGGAAAAAAAATGAAAATTTCTATTCAAATCAAGTCATATCTTCTCAGGAGCAGTAGCCTTTCTATGTAAGCAGCCTGGTGCCTAAGAAGAATCATGCCAGAGGGCATGTAGAATACCTAATAGTGATTCTATAGGGCTTTCTGAGGCCCTTTTATTTACAACCTGATGTGGTGGAATTCATGGTGTAACCCAGGAATCAGTTGCCTCTTCCTGAAGCCTCTTTTCTCTCTCCACACCAGGCTTACCACTCAGCCACTGCAATTTCAGTTTGTGCCTTACATGGTCTTCCCCAAGGCCTCTCAATCTACTACAACTTGCTTATGCAGAGCAATTTATCTCCTTTCCTGTTCCTATTTCCTCATTTACATGTTCTCCCTGACCACATTTCTCATCAAAAAGGTTTCTTTAATGTAAAGTGCCACCTTCCTTTTAGCTCAGTGAGGAATGATTAATAAATAGGTTTTTAAAAATTACATTAGTACATCTATTTCAGAAATAATAAAATTATTAGGAATAACAATTCCTGAAGGAAGAAAGAACATAATCAGGGTCACACAGCTGGTATTATAGGTTGCAGAACAGGAATTGTATTTCAGCTTGCTTGTCTCCAGATCTGAGTGTTTTTCCCCCACATCACACAGTTCAGATGGTTTCATTAGGCCTGGAGGAATCCAGTCATCTAGGAGAATCCAAAGAAGTTGAACCCTACTTTCAGCCTTTGTGTGGGTGTGTGACAACTTTTTTTTCTCACCACCTGCCTCATGTAGAAGTCACATTTGCAGAATCATATTTTCTTTGTTTCTTCTGGTTACTATAAAGAGAGGAAGCTAGAGTTTTATATTTCTCTCTGTCCTTGAGTCATCAGAGTGAATGCCCAAGGCAATGGAAATTGTTTCTCCTTATTAAGGCTGCTGGACACCAAGTAAGTGGCTATTTCCTTCTAGTGTCTTAATTTTGGTGCTGGTACTCTCAAGATACTTTTCTCTTAGTTGAACCTCACAGAAGAGAATAAAGGGATGGGAAAAAATGTTAGAATTTTTCAATCCATTGCCTGCAGATATTTAGAATCCTGAATATTTTTTCCACGTTACACTGAGGACTTGAAATACAGCCCATTTTCCTGTCTATGATGTGGGTTGAACATATGTGTATTAGAATCATGCTATTTTTAATGCAGAAATCAACCCATTCTGTGCTTTTTCTGAGGGTTATAGGGTTTTGCTTTATGCAGTCACAATGGTGAGAAACAACTGGAAATTGGACTTGTCCCAAAATACAGAAAGGTGACTGCTGGGCCCTGACAGGTTCACTGTTGCTTTCAAATCCTGTAAATGACATTGCTTATGTATGGGGTTTGTAAATGTAGACAATTAAATAATAGCTAACATTCCCCTATTTTAAAATTAGAGTCCATGATTGACTGTCTTGTGTCTGACTTTGGCCCTGCCAGGGACCAGAGAGGGAACTAATGTGAATTGCATTTAGTGTTTGTCAGATACGGTAAGCTGGTCTTGGTTGAAAAGGTAAAAATATGTGTCTATTTTATAGTAAATGCTTTACTGTAAGCAGATATTAAAAGATGACATTGTTGATCGATCTTCCTGGTTCTCTAACAGTAGGACATATGCATCATTGGGATTCATCTTGTTAATGTTGGGGTCTGAGGGTGGCACCTTACTTTATCATCACACCTTAAAAACCTAATACATATGCACAAATATGCGGCATTGCTTAGCATTTGTCATTAGAGCAAAGGGGCCTGGCAGTGGCTATATACCCTGATGCGTTGTCTAAATTAATCCATTGAGGGATATTGAATCACTTAATCACAACACAGACTTGCTGCCTTGGTAGGCACGCTCTCCCTTCATTAGATTTAATATATTTCTCATTATACAAATCTGCCGCTGTGACAATAAGTCTTGTTCACAAATCAGTTTGCCCTTTTGCTTTGCAGATGTGGAGAACTTTCATCAAACAAGACATAAATGGGGCCTGTTAGACAGGAGGTCAGAGCAGTCACTGTCAGATATTAATATCTATTCATTAAGATGATTTTTAATATCATGTTTTAATGGGCAGAGGTAAAACAATTGTGATTCTAACTTCTTGCTTGCATTGTAAACAAGAAAAAGGAAATGTCGTGACAAGGAATACTTGGAATTCCTCAGGTAAGTCACAAAACTTCTTCCCCTCATTCCCTCTGAATGCAAACCAAATGCATGGGGACTCCATTTGTACATGTGGTCTTTCAGGTTACTGCTGATTTGAGTCTAGTTGATTTAAAAACCAAGGCATAAAGAACACTATGCATATAAAGGTAAGCAAAGTGTTTGGAAATCAATTAAAAATGGATATTAACCAGTGGAGCTAAAATTATAATTATTGATTTCAGAAAAATATCTACCTTTTTTCTTTTTTTGCTTTCTATGGTAGTATAGTGCTTGGTAGAGTAGAAAGTTTGAATAGCATTTTTGTAAGTCAAATTCTAATTTATTGCACATTTAGTATATATCCTGGCACATTATTTACCTCCTTTCTTATTTTCTTGATCGTATTCTCCAAAGGATTATCTCTGTTATTGATCTTTCCAAGAATATGTTTTCTTTCCCGTTGATCCTTTCACTTGTTTTCATTTTGTTATTATTTTATTTTGCTAATGTCTATTTTTATCTTTATTAATCTTTCTTCCTCTCCTTTCTTTGGATATTGTTCTTTTATTAACTTTTGTGAGTTGAAAGTTTATTTTTTAATTTTCTGTTTGTTTTCTCTAGATTTCAGATGCACAGAAGTGAATTAGTTGCAGTTTTTGGTTCACGACATACCATCAACTCATATTTCTTTGTTGATGACTTATTTAATGTGAAAAGAACACATAAAACTACTATTCAAAACAAAATGTAGAACTGTGACATTATCTTCATTTAATCATATGGACTCCTATGCTATTTTTCTTTCTCCCTCTTGCTGTTGATGTAAACATTATCTTGAGTTCCAGATCTATCTTTCCTTTTTATATAGTCTTATTGCATCTATATGTAAACCTAAAATTACATATTTTAACTTTAGTAGTTGTATACTTTATGAGAAGAGTATCATGTTGTATGTAATCTTTTGGGACTTTTTTTTCCACTTCATGTAAGAATACGTATCAACAATGGTCTGGATACAGTGCTTTGTATGTATCAATCAAATCATGTGTATCAATACTATCATTTAAACCTTTTCTACTTTCAGTGACTTTTTTCTTCTTAATCACTTACAAGAGAGGTGTGTTAACATCTCTCACTCAGATTATGGGTTTGTCTACTTTACTTATTTTTTTTACTTTATGTATTTTTAGGTTATGAATGCAAATTCAGAATTGTCAAATTTTTCCAAGGTAAAATGGATCACATACCATTAAGAAATATCTCTTTATTATTTCTGGTAATTTTTTGTCATAAAATCTACATTGTTTGACATCCATATAGCAATATTAACTAAAAAAAAGACTGAAACTGTGATTTTTAAAAAGTCAAAAGACATAAACCGACATTTTACAGATAAAGCAAGGCAAATATCATTTAAAAATATGAAAAGATTTTAACCTCGTTCATAAAAGTAATGCAAATAGAAATTCTGCTGAGATACCACTGCTCATCTAAGATACTTTAAACAATTCAAACACTTACAAAACAGTGTGTTGACAAGACTATGGAGAAACAGGCACTGCTACATGGCAGGTGATAATCTCAAAAGGTAAAGTACAACTCCTGTGGTGGGGGATTTAGCAATATCTAACAACATTGCATATGTATTTATTCTTTGATCCATGGGTCTACCAGTCTATCCTGAGACTACTCCCAAAAAATATAAAGAACACATGCAGAAAATTATTTACTACAGCATTATTTGTAATAGCAAAAGATTAGAAACAACACAAACCTCCATGAATAGAGGGCTGTTTGAATAAACTCTATTATATGGCCAAAAGAGTGCTATGCAGCTGTTAAAATGAAAATGAGGAGGATCTCATGAGCTCATGGCTAGTGATTTCTAGGAGAGAGAGATATATATATATGTATCATATAATATAAATATATAAATATAAATTAATATATTAATTTATAAATATACTATATAATTATATATTGTATAATTATATGAAATTATATAATACATAAATTATTATATATAATATATCTATTATATATTAATATAAATATATAATAGATATATTATGATTTATAAATACATTACTTTATAAAGATAAATAATAAATATAATATGTGAAATATATGTTATATAATATATAATATAAATATATATAAAATATTTATTTTATATACATATAAACATACATTTTTTCATTTCATTCTTTTTATTTTGTTTTAATTTTTGGGACACGAAGTCTTCCTCTGTTGCCCAGGCTGGAGTGCTGTGGTGTGGTCATAGCTTACTGCAGGCTTCAACTCTTGTGCTCAAGCAATCCTTCTGCTTCAGCCTCCCGAGTAGCTGGGACTACAGTTGTGCACCACCACACCTGGCTAATTTTTAAAATTTTTTAATTGAAATGGGATCTCACTATGTTGCCCAAGCTGGATTCAAACTCCGGGTTCAAGTGATCGTCCTCCTTTGGCTTCCCAAAGTGCTGGGATTATAGGTGTAAGCCACCATGCTTGGGTGAAGATTTATTATTAAGGGAGAAAACCAAGTTATAGAGTGAAGCATATGTTATGCTGCTTTTTGTGTAATAAAGGAGAGGAAATATGAATAAATATATAGATTTGGTCATTTTCCACCAAAAGAAACATAGCAAGGATAAATTAGCAACTAATGAAATGGTTACCAATAGGGAGTTGAAGGGATGTGGTAGAGGGGCTGAAAATTGGCTGAGCTTTCTGGAGAATCAGTTTTGACTTTTGAACCATGTGTGTTTTATATATTCAAAAACTTAACTAAAATCAAACATAAATAGAAGAAACATCTATATCAAAATGATAAAGGGGAAAGAATTATTTCAAGTAACTTCTGAATTCACTCCTTTGTATACCTTTAGTAGAGCACATTTTAAAGTACAAAAGGACTGCCAAGAAATCTTAAATTTTACACTGGAGTTTATTGTTAGCAGTAACAATTGTAACTTGGAGGCTATTTTTCATTTTTATATTGTAGGCTAAAGTAAATACATAATTATATTGAGGTTTTTATAGGAGAATAAAATGTAAAATTAAAAAACCCTGTAACCTGAATTCAAGTTAGAAATATCAATATAAAATTGTATTTAAAAAACCCCACATTTCCAACCTTTGCCATTGAACATGCCTGGGAACAATGACCTTTGAGTAGCATTGAGCACACCAAACGTCTAGATTTGGGTTCTAAATGTCATTCTTCATTAAAAGCAACCAGGGCTCCTTGGAGAAATGGCTGATTTCACATCTGAGCTGGGAAAGAAAAACACGGTCCCAGGACTTCTTCTTGTGCTACCAAATAAGGAAGTGCTCAAACGCTAATGAGATTATGTCTAAGGGACACAAAAGTCAGCTTGAAGGACCTCTCACTGAGTACATTTGCGATGATATGAACATAAATAAAGATTATAATTGATTATGATACATGAAATGAACAATATGTCATGAGTTGATTACGATGGAATGGGGTAAGGAAAGGGAGAGGGGTGGTTCTGACTCAATTACAAAGGAATGTTAGTTAATAAATGTAGAAGTTATAATAGAATTAGAAAATCGCCATTTTTCAATTCCCAATAAATGATTCACTGATTCAGGTGAGCCTCAGCAATCAATGCTAAAGCCATTAGACAAAATGTTGTTTGGAAGTGGGAATATTCACAAATGGCTGAAGTGTCACCACACAGATTAATCACTGACTATAGTATAGCAAAGGAAAAAATGCACTTTTACAATACAGAGAGCTAGTGGTTATTACTGTAACCAAATAAACAAAGCTACCATCACTCATAGTGGGATGCTCTGACTGTGTGAGCTTCTTGATCTTATGCAATGCATATTCCACCCTTGTGAGATGCACTTGCCAAAAATGTGTAACCTGAATCTGTTCAAGGGTCCAAACATAATTTTTAATTAAAGGCAAAATTTAATAACACCATGAGAAAACAATTAGACAAATACAGGCTATGAGACATCCTGAAAGACAATGGGTTTCAACTTTTCAAAAAAATCAATGAAAAAGTTTAAAAAAAGGGAAGATTGAGGTACTGACTGTTCTATGATAATCTGATAACCAAGGCAATGCCTGAACCTTACTGGATCGTTTTTTCTTTTTAAATAGCTATAAAAGACATTTTGGGTGCAATTGGAGGCATTTAAAAATGGACTGGCTATTAGTCAATATTATGGAATTGGAATTATTGTTTATTTTCTGAAGTGTAATAATTGCATTGAAGCTATTCTTAGGAGATGCATGATGGAATATTTATGAGTAAAGTATCATAATGTCTGCAACTTCATGTGGCTGGAGAAAATATATATATATATAGAGAGAGAGAGAGAGAGAGAGAAAGAAGTGGAAACAGAGAGAGGGAGGGGGTCAGAGGAAGTGGGAGAGGAAGAGATGGGGAGAAGAGGAAAGGAGGGGTGAAGGTTGGGGAGAGGCAGGAGGGACAGAGAAAGAGAGAGGAGGTTTGTGGGTATAGAGAGGGGATAGAGAGGTGTGAGGTGTAGACATGGTAAAACATTAATAGTTCTTGACTGTAGTTGGTATGAATACAGATTCATCATATTATTTTTCCAGCTTTTGTGTGTTTCACGTTCAGAGTAAAATTGGGGAGGCACAGGGTTGCAGCTGAGAAAGAAAACACACTCGCACAGCCCTCTTGAAAGCAGCAGCTGTATACTTGAAGTGTATCCCAGATACCAGGGACTAGAATCTTGGTACACAAAGAACAGACTGAGAATCAGCAGCATCAGCAGCTTCTTGGAGTTTATTAGAAATGCAAAATTTCAGGCCCTACTCCGTACCTTCTGAATCAAAATCAGCATTTTAACAGGCTCTCCAGGTGATTCACTTGCCTATGAAGTTTTGAGAATACTAGTGAATAAGGCAAAATAACCATTGAATTTTCCGTGAAACACATCTTCTAATTGTCCAACTACTTTCTTGATGCCACAGCTATTACTATCTGAATTTACACTGTCTTTGTAAACTTAAACAGCAGGACATAATATAACCCCTGGATCTTTTATTTTTTTTTTTTCTTCTGTGGAACATAGGAGAATTGCTCCATAATTATATTTGTCTCAGGGCAGGTGGCCTATGAGTCAATAAACAATAAGGCTGCAAAGATTCAGATTGTCTTCTGCTCCATCTACTTCTGTATTTCCTCTCATCAGATACAATTATAGGAAAATAAAGAGACTTCCTAAAAGGCAGAAAACAAATGTTCCTAGGATTCTGTTTTGGATTTCCTCTGCCAGCTCAGTATTTGTGGACTGCATTTCAACACTGATATGGTTTGGCTGTGTCCCCACCCAAATCTCATCTTGAACTGTAGCTCCCACAATTCTCACATGTTGTGGGAGGTAATTGAATCATGGGGGTGGGTCTTTCCCATGCTGTTCTCATTATAGTGAATAAGTCTCATGAGATCTGATGGTTTTATAAAGAGGAGTTCCCCTGCACATGTTCTCTCTTTGCCTGCCACCATGTAATATGTGACTTGCTCCTAAGGAGCAAGGGCCTTCCACCATGATTGTGAGGCCTCCCCAGCCATGTGGAATTGTAAGTCCATAAAACCTCTTTCCTTTATAAATTACCCAGTCTTGGGTATGTCTTTATCATCAGTGTCAGAACAGACTAATACAAACACCTTCTCTGCTCTGTCTGGATTAGAAGCCTGACCAGCAAAACTGGATTGTCAACAAGTGAAACCCCTTCTTCAAAAACAGTGACTGAATAATGGCTATGGAAACCCAGGGCCTCAAAAAGGTTTTCTCAAACTCTGATTTATGAGGACTTTTATTCTTGTTGTTCCTTATCCACCTGAGGAGAAATGTTTTACCATCTCCTTTTTTTAAGATCTCTTTGCCCTGAGATGTCTAATTTGGGCTTTCCAAATCTGTAACACTTCTTGGGTATAATAAGATCTATGTTAATTCAGGGTAACAAGAATCACTATTGTCTTCTGCTTATTGTTTCTGATCTACACATGAATCTAAACATAATTTGGTGCATTTCTGCCCATTTTCTGGCCCAGGCAAGAAATGGGTGTGTCTTCATCCCTTGAGTCATTTATTTCCAGATAAATATGGTCCAGCTGCTGAAGTTTTCTGTGTTTTCCACACTTCATATAAACCAACCAGACTCCCCGAGAGATTTGGACAATAGTTGCCTAGCACAGATAATAAGGCTAGTAAATAGCTCCCTATTTCTGACACTTTTGAATGCAATTAAGAAGTGATAGCTCATCTGAGCATGGGTAACACTCTAGGGTTTGGTGGTGAATAAGCTCTAGATGCTTTGCTTTTCATCTCTCATATCTTTCTTGCTTCCTGTCTTAATCTGGCTGTGGTTTTCTAAGGGATCTTCGTATGAATTATGCCCTTGGCATTCAACTCTTCCCTATTTCTTGCTGCAAAAGGAAATTGGCCAGATGGGATTTGATGCCCCCTCCCAATGAACAGCTTACTCCTCAGTATTTGTACTTTTGAATACACATAGAAAGTACCAGATGTCCTTTTTCTTTCCCTGGGAAAAGAGGCAGGGTGGTTACACCTGTTTCCCTCTTTTTTTTTTTTTTTTTTTTTTTGAGGTGGAGTCTTGCTCTGTTGCCCAGGCTGGAGTGCAGTGGCATGATCTCAGCTCACTGCAAGCTCCGCCTCCCAGGTTCACATCATTCCTGCCTCAGCCTCCCGAGTAGCTGGGACTACAGGAGCCCGCCACCACGCCTGGCTAATTTTTTGTCTTTTTAGTAGAGACGGGGTTTCACCGTGTTAGCCAGGATGGTCTCAATCTACTGACCTCGTGATCCACCCACCTCAGCCTCCCAAAGTGCTGGGATTACATGCATGAGCCAATGCACCTGGCCACCTGTTTTCCTCTTTTTCCTTTGTCTTCTTCTACAGTCATTATTGATTCTTTGACCTTGTGAAATGCCCTCTTCTCAATTGAAAGCCTTTGTTATCCTGAGTGAATTTAAACTACTGAATTATGCATATGGAAATCATAGCATAGCAAAACAAGATGGAAGTCGTAGATTCAAGAACTGAATTTTTCAGTATTCTTATAAATTTTGGAAATTTAATTTCTTGGTGCTCCAATTTTCTTGTTTTAAAACTGGAGTGGATGAGGCTTCCTGACCTACTTCCCAAGGATATATTGAGGAGCTAATGTACTTGAAAGTAGACTGCTCTTTTATAATTCTTATTTTGAAATAATTGTAGATTCACATGCAGTTGTAAGAAATAATACAGAGGTATCCTCTGTATCTTCACCCAGTTTCCTCCAGTGATAATTCTTGTGGAACTAAAGTACAATATCACAACCAGGAAATTGACATTGATACACATCTCACCTTATTCAGAGTTTGCCAGTTTTGCATGCATTTATTTGTGCACACGTGTGTATTTACTTCTGTTTTAATTTCTCAGGGTTGCTGTAGTGAAGTACAACAAACTGGGTAGCTTAAAACAATAGACACATATTCTCTCTAGTTCTGAAGACTAGAAGTCTAAACTCAAGGTGCTGGTGGGGCCATGTCTTCTCCAGAGCCTCCAGAAGATGACCCATCCTTTCCTCTTCTAGCTTCCAGGTGTTTCTTGGCTTGTGGCAACATAGCTCTGATCTCTGCCTCTGTCATCACATGACCCTCTTCTCCCTGTGTGTTTTCATGTCATCTTTCTTCTTTGTGTGTGTGCCCCAATTTCCTCCTTCTTATAAAGACACCAGTCATATTGGATTAGGGCTCACACTATTCCAGTCTGGCTTCCTCTTAACTAATTACATCTGCAGCAGCGCTATTTCTAGATAAGGTCACATTCTAAGGTACTGGGGGTTAGAACATCAACATATCTCTTTGGGGGTCACAATTTGCGCAAGAAATTCTATACAATTTTATTACACATGTAGATTTATGTGCCCACTACTACACTCAGGACATAGAACAATTCCATCACCACAAGGATCTTTTTATAGTTGTAGATACCTTCTTCCCTCTCCTTTGCCCTACCCCCACAGATCTTTGGAACACCACTCATAAGTTCTCCATCTCTATGATATTGTAATTTGAAAAATGTTATATAAATGGGATCATACAGACCACTTTGTAAACTTAACACCCTGCACTCGTATACATGTATATGGTGGTGTAGTTGTACACAGCTGGATTTTCTACATCATCAAAGGGCAGGTAATGTAGAGTTTGGTTTTTCCCAGTTATGTTTTTCTGAGCTCATTTTTAATTCCTTTTTTTTTTTTTTTTTTTTTTAAAGAGACAGGGTGTCACTTTGTCATCCAGGCTGGGATGTGCAGTGGTGTGATTGTAGCTCATTACATTCTTTACCTCCTAGGCTCAAGTGTTCCTCTTGCCTCAGCCTCCTAGGTAGCTGGGATTACAAGTGTGAGCCACTACGCCTAGCTAAGTTTTCTTTTCTTTCTTTCTTTTTTTTTTCTCTAGAGTTGGGGTTCTCACTATGCTGCCTCAGTTGGTCTCAAACTCCTGGCCTCAAGCGACCCTCCTGCCTCACTCCTGGCCTCAAGCTACCCTCCTGCCTCAGCCTCCCAAAATGCTGGGATGACAGGCATGAGCTACCATACCTGGCCTCTTCTGGGCTCTTTGTTGGCTTGTATAGAATGTTGGCCAGCACTTTTTTCTTCCTCACCTTCTTTGCCAAAGAAGGGTTGGAGACTATGGGAAATGTTTGCTCTGAGTGCATTTGGCCTCTGCTGTGACCCTGCTCCTCCATGGGAGACCTGTGCTTATTGCAGCTGAAACTCAACTTGTATTTGCAACATGCCGAAATGCTGTAAATTTTAAGACATGAGCGATCATAAAATTCCCAAGGGCTATTGATAGACAAATATGTAATGTACCAGAAATTGAATCCTACAATGTTAGAGTTGTATGGGAACCTGAAAGCCATTTTGTTCCTCCTCTCACCTTTAGGAAGGATGTGCTCAAACAGATGCAAATGAGACACATTGTGCTGCAGCGTAGTCAGTTGTGCTCCAGACTATACTTGGGACCTAGGAATGTTCTGAAAAAGTTGACTGCTCTTTATTTAGGTTTCTTCCCCAGTGTTGTCCTTTCACATGACTTGGCTGTTCTGACTGCCTACCAGTGTATTTTTCCTGAATTAGGACAATTCATATGTATTTGCCTTATTTCTAGGAATTAAAATATAATTGTAAGCTAGACAATGTACTTATTCAAACTCAGAATGTCTAAGCATAAGGAATCAAATTATATTTCTAAAGTGAAAGCACTAAAGCAATTTTTGGATGCCTCTGAATGAAGCCAAAGGTTGATCACTCATGTAGTTCCGAATTGCCAAACCATTTTCTTACTGGAGAGGAAGTGGGACCTCTCTCAAAGCTTCTTCATTGTCCGACACAAAAGAGCTGTCCCATATGGCTATTTTTGTCCCTTGCAAATGTTGTAGCAGTTTAGCAATCTATCGACTTGACTTTTTTCCATAAACATGCTGCCTGTTAGATGCATAATTCAAATTCACACACAAACGGTGAGATGTTTGCTTAGCAAGAGCTATAATTTAAACGTAACCTCTGTAGAAAGCCATTCAGCAGTGCCTGTGTATAAAGTGCAATTTAGTCTGTAGAAGCAATCTTCCCCTCTACTGTTCTAATATGTGAGCTTGTTTGCTAAATAATCATTGTAGCGTTTTGCTCAAAGCGGTGGTTTTATGTATTTTTTCCTCGCCACTCGTAAATGTTGCCAAGGTAAATGAGAGTTCTTTGGAAACTGTTACTGTCATGTAGTTTTCATTTGAAAATGTCACAATAAAGCAATGTTCTTTGATGCCAAGAAGCATGGAACATTGGAACATGATAAACATAGTGCCTAAATATAATAAAATAACATACCACAGTGGCTTGCTTCTCGCTTAAAATGAGAGGCTTTTTGTTGTTGTTATTCTAAAGGGTCCAGTTTGAGGGACAGAGCTGGAAGTAATACGGAATGTATAAGGAGTTACTAAGGTGAGAGTTTAGAGGAAATTATTATTATTTGCATCTTGGGCCAAATGGAAAGGAAAAGAAATTTGGAAGAAAAATGTACTCCAAATAGGTGAAATGGAGATTATAGTCCAAAATATGCCATTAACACCAAGTTACAAAACTCTTTTCAAGAGCCAGGTAGAGGCACAAAGTCAAAGCAAAGTTTTAAAGGTGTAATTTGAATAGTCAGTGGGGAAAATACAAATAGAAAAAAAAAGATAAAAATAAAGAAGAAAGATACAGAGGCAACCAGAAAGGGGAAAGACATTATTTTCTAAGTGCATGTTCGATATCTTTTTCTTGTTCTGCCTACTACAATGTTAATGAATACCAAGCATAATTTTTTGTGTTAGAGTCCTAAAAAATGTCTAGGCAGTAAAATTTGTTAAATCTCAGTGGTAAATCCATTGATGATTGTTACATTATTTTTGCACTTTTGTATTTTAAAATTATGACAATTTCTAAATTATGAGATTGGGAATTCAAGTCCATTAAGGAGATTATAGAAATGGCAAACAAATGACATCATGAGATAGTAATATGGGAAATTCTAGTTGCATTACTTTCATATATTTGAAGGCATAATTATAATGGAAGTGATCTGTTTTATTCTCATTCTTCAAAAGCTTATTGAAGTTGGGTGTGGTGGTGCAGGCCTGCAGTCCAAGCTATTCAGATGAGATTCAGGAGGTTCGCTTGAGCCCAGGAGTTTGAGGTAAGCCTGGGCAACATAGTGAGACCCTGTCTCTGATTAAAAAAAAAAGTTTATTGAGTGATTACTATATGCCAATCACCATGGTGGGCATGAAGCATTTAAAAATGAAAGATTTTGCTTCTCGCTGTGGAGGACCCAATATCCTGCAACATTATTATGGTATGTTTCAGGGGGGCCCAGGAGGCCTTATTTTCCTCCCGAATACTTCCATGTCTAATGTGTTTAAACTTATTAAGACACAACTTTTCTCCTTATCATTTGTCATCATTTCATGAACTCCAAAAAAATTAATCTTTTTCAATTATAGTGCATCTTGCTTCTGACTACTCACCTTGGACAAAAGTTATTCATCATCATGCCCTGTGATTGCTTCCAAGCACCAATTGCCACTATAGGAAGCTTTCAACCTTTAAGAAATTTTGAAGAAATGGGCCTACTGCTCTCAACCCAATTTTAAAGCAAAAAATTTTTAAGCAATGACAACGTTTCTAGAATAAATACATTCATAATCACCACTTTGAAGAGAAAAAAATTCCTTTAGGTGCCGATGTTCTGATGTGTTTCCCTTTTAAAAAAAGTTTCTTTTCCACATGCACACGTATGTTTATTGCAGCACTATTTATAATAGCAAAGACTTGGAACCAACCCAAATGCCCATCAATGATAGACTGGATAAAGAAAATGTGGCACATATACTCCATGGAATACTATGCAGCCATAGAAAGGAATGAGTTCATGTTCTTTGCAGGGATATGGATGAAGCTGGAAACCATCATCCTCAGAAAACTAACACAGGAACAGAAAACCAAACACTGCATGTTCTCACTTCATAAGTGGGAGTTGGACAATGAGAAGACATGGACACAGGAGGGGAACATCACACACTGGGCCCTGCTAGGGGGTGGGGGGAAAGGTGAGGGAAAGCATTAGGATAAATACCTAATACATGCGGGGCTTAAAATCTAGAGGGCGGGTTGATAGGTGCAGCAAACCACCATAGCACATGAATACCTATGTAACAAACCTGCACATGAAAGTTCACCTACCTATGGCGATTATCCCTGGTTACCATTTAGCTGTGTCTTAGTCTGTTTGGTCTGCTATAATAAAATACCATAAACTGTGTGGCTTATAAGCAATGGAAATGTGTTTCTCATGGTTCTGGAGACTGAGAAGTCCAAGATTCATGGAGCCAGCAGATTCAGTTTCTGGTGAGGGCCTGCTTCTTAGTTGGTAGACATCTGTTCACTGCATTCTCACATGGTGGAAGGGGCAAGGCAATACTCTGGGGTCTCTTTTATAAGGGCACTAGACCCATTCATGAGGGCAGGCCCTCATGACCTAATCACCTCCCTAAGTCCTCACCTCCCAATGCTTTCACAGTGGGGATTAGGTTTCAACATGTGATTTTTGGGAGGACACAAACATTCAGACCATAGCAAGCTGTTGCTGGACACACAGAGCTTCACCTAAAAATTCAAAGGTTGTCTTGGGGGATAATAGGCACTCTTGTGTGGTGGCATTACCTTTTGGAATTCCCAGGGTGGTCTTGCTCACCACTCTTCATTTCCAGCTTCCTTCTCCCAAGTGAGTTAGGCCGTTGCTCCAGGCCTCCTGATGGTCCGTTCCCATTGCAGCACTTTCCTGGTCAACTTCCTTTTCATTCAAGTTGCTCTCGCTGTGATATGGTTTGGCTGTGTCCCCACCCAAATCTCATCTTGAACTGTAGTTCCCATAATCCCCACATGTCATAGGAGGGAACCAGTGGGAGGTAATTGAATCATGGGGGCAAGTACTTCTGTGCTGTTCTTGTGATAGTAAGTGAATTCTCATGAGATTTGATAGTTTTATAAGGGGATTTGCCCCCTTTTGCTGGGCACTTCCCCTTGATGCCACCATGTAAAGAAGGTTGTTTGCTTCCCTTTCTGCCATGAATGTAAGTTTGGTGAGGCCTCCCCAGCCATACTGAACTGTGAGTCAAACCTCTTTGCTTTTTAAGATACCCAGTCTCAGGTCTGTCTTCATTAGCAGTGTGAGAACAGACTAATACACCCTGGCTAAGGACTCTAACCTGACTCTGACATTGTTGCCCTGGGCTTTTGAAGCTGTATCCCAGCTGATTCCTAGAAACTAATTCTCCCAAGGATATTGGTGCTTCTCAGGAATGAGAATGGAATTTTGCCCCAGCACTTGGAAATGCTTTCACAGGAGCAGTAAATGTCTCTCTTGTATAAATAAAATTGCCTGGGCTTTGCACTGCTCTCGGCTCATTTCCATTTTGCCTCCTCTGTGACTAGCTCCTCCTTATTCTCAGAGTATCCTAGGGACGGCATTTTGTCGTAGCATACTATTATTTTCTCTGAAGGAGGGTACATCAGAAAAGGGTTACTTTGAGTCACAAAGTATACACAAAAACTCCAGTTACCTAAAATACTCTTGGAATGGGATTTTCTCATTAGTAGAAATTTCTACTTAGAGTAAGACAAATTTATGTCTATTATTATCAAAATATAAAGCAATCTTCAGTAGTAATGTAGTTAATAATAGCAAACATTTACCAGGCATCTACTATATGCTAGGCGCTGTCATTACACTTACTCCCAATCTCATTGAAGTCTACCAACAACTTTAAGAGGCAGAATGGTAATTAATCCCACTTTATTGATGAGAAAACTGAGTCACATAAAGGTTAAATTACTCATCCAATGTGACATAGTTAATAAATTAGTAAGAGGCAAAGTAGGGATTTGGACCCAGGAATGTTACACGTGAGAACCCAGGCTTTAGGTTTATGATATTACCTCCACACAGACAATAGGCAGTCTCAAAACTTCTGAGATGAGTTTGTGTTTGTAAGAGTTTACTTTTCAAGGATACCCTCCTCTTTTCATGTTAACACTCTCAAACCGCTCCTTATATACCCTGTTATACAAATCTCACTCCTTTGAGGTCCTTGTTATTCAACTAAACTGTCATCCCTCTCTAGTGACTGTCTAGTCCCTCTCCTTCACCATCCCAAAGGGAATAAATCCAAGTGAGTAAGTTATCTCCTGTCAGATCCTTAGTCTTCTTGTTTCCAGTGAGAGTTGGAGTACATTTTGCAGTCTACTTTGCAGTCAGATGAGACCCAGTGACTGGGTTCTGTTCAGTTGCACTCAGGCCATGATGATGTAATGTTGCCTCCAAGCCAGGGCTGGAAAATCACCCAAACACTCCTTCTAGGTCTCTTTCTTTGTTCTTTGGCTGGCCTCATGCCATGGGCAGTGGTCACTAGGGGATGGTTTACCCAGGCTCTGCACTCACTGTCTCCCTTCCATCACGAGGTCTTTGTATGCTCTCCTCCTCAAAAACTCCCTTCTTCCCTCTTCATCCAGGTGAAAGCTGTTCTCTCTTTGGCCTACAGCTTCCTCAAGAACACCCTTCCTATCCTGCTAATTAGGTCACATTAACCAGTATGAGTTATCAGAGCACCATGAGCCTCTCCTTCTTAGCTGTTACAGTAGTAGATGATCCTTTAATTGTACAGTTTTACTTTAAATGCCCAAAGGGTTTGCTTCTTTCTATTTTGTCCACCATTAAATCTCTGACATCTAGTACAGTGTCTGATACAGAGCAGGTACTAGTTATGTATTGAATGAATGAATGGAGGAATAAGTGAATAAATACAAAATTTTCTTTTTAAAAAATTTTCCATTTTAAGAGATCAGAGTCTTACTCTTTTGCCCAGGCTGGAGTGCAGTGGTGCAATCACAGCTTACTGCAGCCTCAAACTCTTGGGCTCAAGGGATTCTCCTGCCTCAGCCTCCTGAGTAGCTAGGACCACAGGTGCACACTTCCATGCCTGGCTGATTTTTCTTATCTTTACTTTTGTAGAGATGGGGTCTTGCTATGTTGCCTAAACTGGTCTTGAACTCTGGATGTCAAGTAATCCTCCCACCCCAGCCTCCCAAAGTGATGGGATTACAGGCATGAGCCACTGTGGCTGGCCACAAAATTTTATTATTATATATTCTCCTATTTCCTGAAAAGGAGGCACACAGATATATTTTCTCCCGCAATTAAAAATATGGATAAGACAGAATTTTGTATGGTTCCCCTCTTGGGATCTTAGTTTTATGTGAATTATTTTGCAATGTTTACTCTTAATTTTTCTAAAGTTTTCTTTTCTACTAAACTAGAATGTATAGTTATAAGTTTGGTATCACAGGGATTTCAAACACAGCAGGGTTGTGTTTTTGAAATTTTTTTTGTTCACTGCTACCTCTTTCAGTGTATCTTAGTTCTCCAGAGTCCATGAAATTGTAGAGAAAAAGGGAAGTTATTTACACTGGTTTATTGCAATTTTTTTTAGTTTTTTCAGTGGAATAAACAGTAGTTGCCAGGATGCTTTATTCCTGAAACTAGCCTGACAAAGTGTGAAATTTCATGCTCATATACAAGTTCTTCATAATGATTTTTGTAATTTACATTCTTTTTTGTCTAAGACTTCAGGCTTTTAGCTTTTTGCTGCAAAATTCTGAGTTCTTAAAGAGTTGTTAGTTTCTGCTTGTGATGTTAATTCCTAAAAAAAAAAAAAAGAAAGAAAGAGAGAAAAGGCAGTTTCTTTAGAACTGGCCACTTGATTAGTGAGAAAAGTACAAAGGTGGTAATCATTATGAGTAAGACTCAATGATTGTATGAGCCTATAAATGTGAAGTTGATGATTGCACAGACATACGTAGAATTAATGGCCCTGATAATATAGAGGGACTTGAGCATTCCTGATTCAGTATATTTCCTTCCTATTCTTTCGTTTGGAATCCTGAATTGCAATAAACTGTCTTGAAGGTATTTCCCAGTTCTGTGATTCTAACCTGCACAGGTGAGCACTAGCTATACATTAGGATATGAAAGTAGATTAAATTTGTAACCCTGTGAAGCCTTATCTAGTAACTCTAAAAGCACTTACGTTTCCTTCTGTTCTTCTTCTATTCAATTTCTATCACCCACCCTTTTTTTGGCCCTGTCATCAGGAGCCATACAAGCACCTTGTTGTTCCTAGTCTCATCTTTTTCCCCACCCATTAACTCTTTAGGATCCTAACTTGATTCCAAGGTATTAAGAAAATACACACACACATGCACACACACACACACACACACACACACACACATACATATATATATGTTTTTAATTTTTGTACACAGTAGGGGTATATGTTTGTGGGATACATAAACTATTTTGATACAGGCATAGAGTGTATAATAATCACATCAGGATAAATAGAGTATCTATCACCTCAAGCATTTATCCTTTCTTTGTTTCACAATCCAATTATATTCTTTTAGTTATTTTAAAATGTACAATAAATTATTGTTGACTGTAGTCATCCTGTTGTGCAAATACTAGATCATACTTATTTTATCTAATTATATTTTTGTATCCATTAACCATCCACACTTCACTCCCCCCAACCCTTCCCAGCCTCTGGTAACCATCCTTCTACTCTCTATCTTCATGAATGCAATTGTTTTAATTTTTAGCTCCCACAAATAAGCAAGAACATGTGAGGTTTGTCTTTCTGTATCTGGCTTATTTCACTTAACATATGACCTTCAGTTTCATCCATGTTGTTGCAAATAACAGGATATCATTCTTTTTATGGCTGAATATACTCCATCATATATGTGTACCACATTTTCTTTACCTATTCATCTGTCTATGAACACTTATGTTGCTTTCAAATCTTGGCTATTGTGAGTAGTGCTGCAATAAACATTGGAGTGCAGATTTTTACTGATTTCATACTGAAATCAATGTACTGATTTCCTTTCTTTTGGTTATATACCTAGCAGTGGGATTGCCGGATCATATGATAGCTCTATTTTTAGTATCTAGAAGAACCCCCAAAATACTAAAAATACAGCTACCATATGATCCAGCAAAAAGGAACATTTAAAAATTTTTAAAAATGTTCCTTTTCACAAAAAAACCCACCATGCTATTTGCAAATAAGGAAACTGGGGCCCAAAGAGGTAACGTCAATTGTCCAGTTATAGAATCATTTAGTGAAAGAGCCAAGTATATATGACCAGCTCTTAACTCTTAGCTTGATATGTTTTCTAGTACATTATCTTAATTATTTCCATTGGGCTAACAGTTATCTTAGCCTCACAATTAGTAATGGAAACCAAATCAGCCTTGGGCAGAGGAATTACCTATGTTACTTTAGAATTAAAATATCTCTTCTAAATTGTAGTAAATAATTAAAAAGTTATTTTTCTTGTGTAAATAAAAAGGAAAAAACTTGGGAAATTGGGAGAACAATACAATATAGTCCAAAGGACAGGGGAGAGAAAAATAAAAAGGGCATGGAGAATGTGGAAGTGATGTTTCCTGAGAGGAGCAGGGAGGAAGTTGGAAGGTGAGAAATAGATAAATTTCTGACCCTGTGAAACTCATAGTCTGTCAGACAAGACATGATGTGAGATAACTTGGATTTTAGTGAATTATTTTCTTCTAAAAGAACAGTTTTAAAAAACAAATACTCCATAAATGTTACTGATATGCAGGAAGCAGCACTAAAGTACTGGCAAAATTATCTTGCTCAGTCCTTCCTACATTCACCTGAGAGGTAGATGCTGTTTAATCCCTATTTTACCTATGAGAAAACTGTGGCTGAAAAAGTTTTAGAGACCTGTTCAAGGTCACATCACTAATAAAGATTTAAAGATTATCTGAATTTCTTTCTGGTCTTTTAAACATGATCCAACACAGGCAAAGATTCATTGACCTCTCAATCTCAAAGGTAGTTTGCAGTGCTGTAAATTTTTATCATCACAGATAACCCTATTGCATCAATTAGAATTCACAAGATCATGTAGCCATACTTAGTAATTCTCCAAGGTATCATTATTCTTCATTGTACAAATTGAGTTCTTACTGTGAGCTAGGCATGCACGGTGCATTGGGAAATCAAAGACAAATAACACATAGTCTCGTAGGAAAGAGAAAGCTGAATTCAAGTTATCAGCACACAGTATACTAAACACAGTGATGGAAAAACCTCAGAGACACCTGTGAGAAACCATGTGATGAAATCTCTGCTGAGTTGGGAGGCTATGAAGAGAATATCAGTTTTCTGGGGCTACCATAAAAATAAAATACCACAGTCTGAGTGGCTTCAACAACAGAAATGTATTTTCTTACTGTTCTGGGGGCTGGAAGTCCAAGATCAAGCTATGGGCATGGTTGGCTTCTTCTGAGGTTTCTCTCTTTGGCTTGCAGATGGCCACCTTCTTGCTGTGTCTTAGCATGGCCTTTTCTCTGTGTGGGTGCACCCCTGGTATCTCCCCTGTGTCCTGATATTTTCTTACAAGGACACCAGCCATACTGAATTAGGGCCCACCCTACTAGCTCACATTAACTTAATTACCCCTTTAAAGGCCTTATCTTCAAATACCATCACATTCTGAGGTATGGGGATTGGGACTTCAGCGTAGGAATTTCAGGTCTGTAACAAAGGCCAGCTGAGATGTTAAAGGAATTACATGGCTCTTGGAGTTGTGTACTAGGAGAAGCAGGCCTCCTGACCTACCCCCTGCTCAGAGCAGTTCTTTTCTCATATGAGCATTCAGAGAATCTCTTGGAGGCCTCATGAAAACAGATTGCTGATTAGTTTCTGATTCAGCAATCTAGCTTGGTCCAGGGTAGGGGCTGATAAATTGCATTTCAAAGAAGTTCCCTGGTGCTGCTGTTGCTGTTGCTAATCTGGCGATCACACTTCCAGAGTCACTGCTTTAGAACACAACCTCTGATCCAGCCCATACCAGAGACCCTGCTGACCCCTGGAGGGTGTTGGAGCAAATTCTGGAATGAGCTTTGCAAGGACTGGCCTGGCATTTTCTCTTTTTTTAGGCTGGTTGTAGAAGCTCTTTTTTTTTTTTTTTTTTTTTTCTGACTGCCATCTTTAAAAAGCTCATTTTGTTCACTGGAGATAAATATTGCCACTGCTTCTGCCTCTCCCCACCTCCTTTCCCTGCTATTTTTCTGAGCTGTTTGCTTCAGATAGGCTCGTCATCTGTCTGAATTGTGGCTATGTATTCCCCTCATAGCATGGTGATTTCTGGCCATGCAGAAGACAGTAGCTCTGGGATTTGTTGTAGTTAGGCATGTTTTATATTTCCTTAATATGACTAGTTGCCTGTGTCCTGAACTCTGTGTATGTGTATGGAGTAAGGCGGAAGAAGCAGGTTTGTCTTATTTAGTGAGTTTTTCATCATGGGACTCCAGCATATATTTACCCTTAAAGAATGCTTGTTGAGGGTTGTAGCCTTTCAATGCTGTCTTGAAGCTGGGTAGTTACAATTTAATGCTAACTACGACCAATAATCATAAAATTAAAAAACAAAGAAATTACGATTATAACATTCTGTTCTCCAGGCACTAAGTTGGCTACAAAGGCATTCATTATCATTATGGATATTAGTGTTAAGTGGGCGCATTCATATTTTATTTTGTATTATCACAGTTGAATGATCATAAACACTAGCAGGAAGAGAACTGAGAATGTAAGGCATCTTTTATTCATTACTCTTTTGCCTGTATGTCCACTTATGTGATGTGCACATGGGTCAAATCAGTCATTTCAGCCAGCTCCGTGATCCGTTTGGATCTCTCCATGATCAATCTGGCCCAGACAGTTGGTAGCAGAGAGGGGGACAAAGGAAATAAAGGATCCACAGTAGCTTGTTCAAATGCCTGCTGGAGAGACATCACTTCTGTCTGCCTTACAAGCTTTGTTTCAGAGTGTCACATAACAGAACTGACACTGTGTGTGTGTGTTTGTGTGTTAACTACATATGTCTGTGACAGTGAACAGCATAAAGTCAAAAAGATTACACAAATGAGTGTCACATAACAGAACTGACACTGTGTGTGTGTTTGTGTGTTAACTACATATGTCTGTGACAGTGAACAGCATAAACTCAAAGAGATTACACAAATGTTTAGAGCAGGTACAAGAGCAAAAGAAACAAGTGAAAAGGGAATCATTTCTTTTCTCATTAACCCTTCATTGGTCTGGGTTGTTGAGATGCCAATCTTCCAAAAATGTAAGTCCTTCTTGAAATGATTATGCTGATCATCCATTCACTCAGCGCACATTTACTAAGTGCCTCTATGTGTCAGACATTTGTATTAGCAGCTGTGAACAGAGCAGTCAATAACACAGACATAGTCCCTCTTCTCATGGAGCTTCCTATATACTGAAAGAGATAAGTAATGCACAGACAAATAAACAATGGAATAATGGCAGAGTCTTGGGAAATAAACGGATGATGTGTTAGAAGGGGTGGTTAGGGAAGTTTGTATGGGAAGTTGACTTTTAAGCTGAGACAGGAGAGATGAGAAAGATCTATACTTGCAAGGGGAAGAGAGCCATGTGGGCAGAGAGGATCACATGTGGGAAAACCTTCAATTACAGATATCATAATCAGATTGTCTCCTAAGATCTATGTGATTGAAGGAATGTGTGTTTTCAATGATGAGTAAAAGTCAAAGGTAATTTTGGATATAAGTTAGCATTAGGTGAAGCAGAATTTGGTGGGCAGTTGGTGGCCACTGGAAAGCCATAGCCAGGGGGAGGAATAAACGAAGTGTGGCAAAGACACATTTCTCTATTTAGCAATTCTGTGTAAAATATTTTAATGCCAATAGGAGGCTGTGTGCTACAGAAAATTTGCCCCAGAACAGCATCCTCGGAGAAAGGGCAGCATTCCTTAACTCTTGGCCTCTTCACATTTGTCTGGCTAAGTGTGATGGCATACTCATGGAGACAGGTGTTGTCTCACCTGCTTGCCTGAGCTGTGAGCACGGTGGGCTAGGTTCCATCTGTATAAATAATCTAGGCCTATTTAGAATTGTCCATAAGCTCTGCACTGCACCTGCACTGGCTGTTCAGCAAAAGACAGGAGTCCGGTCTTGTACTCTATATTAGGCTCAATGCAGCAAAACCACCCAGTTGAAGAGTGAAAAATTTATTCAATCAACCCATTGTTTAGTGTTCAAAACATTTTAACAGTTTGGGCATTTAACTAAATTGGCCATAATTTGAATGGGCATCAAAACTGTTAAAACTAGCCAAAGTGAAATGGAGGATCAAGACAATTATTGTGGTCTAATCATTCATTCAACAAGTAATGAAAGCCTAACACATGAAATTGAACCCATTTCATGAACCTGGGGGAGGGAGAGTTTTGAGAGTCAGAAATGCTGTCATACAGTTGAGTCTGCTTGACTAGGGGAAACTCATCCCAGACTTAATCACATTCCTTTGTCACCTTAGAGATGGAGTTTGCAAAGGCATCACCATATATGCCCACAGCAAAGATTCAATTAAAGCCTGATTTTTAAGTGTTTTTCAAAAAGTATTAATAATATCTACTATTTATTAAGATAAGTGGAATTTTGCAAACTAGTTAGGAAGCTGTCTAGACAGACAAAAATATATTTTGGGTCTTGAGGTTGGGGAAAAGTTTAGTATGTTCAAAAATGGTTATTCTTTCTCTATGCTATTACACAGGACCAGTGGGAAAGAATGATGAGAAAGCAAAGGTAGTTGGAGCAAGTTTACAAAGATGTTTACAAACACCATTGCTGAGAAGCATGAACTTATTTTTTAGGCTAGTAGTTCTTAAAGTTTAGTGTGCTTAAGGATCATGAGGCATGCAGGATTGCTTAAAATGCGAATTCCTAAGATTTACTTTCTGTGATGCCAATTCAGTTGGTCATGAGTAAGACTTGAGTGAGAACAAGTCTTTTGAACTTGTGTTTCATGTGATTTGGAAGGAGGAGGTCCAAGAATCACCAAATCACCATCTGAGATGTATCGCTGAGGGTAATAGGAAGCTTTTGGAACGTTTGAATCCAGAGAGTGTCTTATAAGGTTGCATTACTCTGATCTAGTTGAATTCTTCCATTAATGTGCTAATTCTCAGCATTACTGATGCTATGTTAGATACCTGGTTTTGTGTACTTCTCCACTGTCATGTGGTACCCACAGGAGATTAATATTAATGATAACAAGAAGGCAAAGGTTCTTTGGTGCTGTAATGCACAATGGCCTCCCATAAAAAAACTTCCATGAATTGAAATATATAGTCATGATTCAATTTAGAAATCTCCCCAACCAGAAGTTGGGAAGATTTAAGTTTTATCTAAATTTGTGTGGCGGTTTTTTTATGGTATCTAGCACTTTGTGGCAATTCATTGGCTAATCCAAATGTCTTTGTCAATCTAATTTCCTGCCACTAAGGCCATTCAGAGTCCTCTGGGGTCTCTGGGAGTAACCTTCACCATTCATTACTGCAAGAGCCTCTTAGCTGATCTCTGACTCCTGTCTTCTTCTTCTCAAATCCATTTTTCATATTATTGCCAGTTAATTTTCTAAAACTTGAGTAAAGATCATGCCACTTCTTTTAAGAACTTTCAATTGTTGTCCTGGCTGACTACTTGCCATTCTTAGAACAACTGCACAGTTCAAGTTGGTTTTGTTTTACTTGCCAAGTTGCCTCTTTCTTGAATGTCCTTAAATGGTGGGAAACCTACTAATTTTTGTACCTCCTCCAGGAAGAGTTTCCAGATTCTCCCAGTCATAAATAATTGCTCTACTTTTGTTTCCACAGATTATTTTTTTGCTCTTGCTATAGAGCTAATCTAATTTTGCCATATGACATGTAATAACATATATCATCATATTTTATAGTTGTTTCTTTGTTCTTCATCTTCGCTGATCCCTCTCCCCAAAATTATATAGTATGCTTCCTATTAGCAGCTAGGAATATAAAAATGACTTAAGGTTTGGCCTTCTTCAAGCTAATTACAGTGCAGTACAATTAACATAGATATTTCTCTTACCAGTTTGTATTCATCAGGGTAGCCTCAGAGCTGTAATAAGCAACTCCCAGTTCTCAGTGAATTAATAAAATTTTATTTATTTTTTTGCTTATGTCATGGTCCAGTGTAGATCGGTGGAGAAGTTCTGCTCTACACAGTCACATTCATGAACCCAAGTTTCTTCTTTCTAGAGACTCAAGCATTCTCCAAGATCTTGAAGTCCTCTGGAATTTTTTGCATCAGACTGGCAGGCAGGGGGAGACAAAGACAAGAAGGATTGCATGGGCTCTTTTATAAGCCAGGCTTAGTTATGTCAAGAGCCCTTGTACCATGTCCCTTTGTCCAGAGTCATGTCAAATGGCCCCTTCTAATTGCAAGAGTCTTGGAAATGCAATTTAGCTGTGAGCCCAGTATAAGAAGAAACAAGTTTGATGAACATTTTGTTAAATTCTTCCACACAGACCATAAACAGCATGAAATTTCCTTAAAAGCCATGTTGCAGCACATAGTTCAAGAGGGGATGGACTTTCTTGGAAAACCAATGGTATAAGTCAAGTCACTGAGATGTAACAGAACATCTCAGGCATAGGAGATTGGCTAATAATATTCAGTAATAAGCATATGCTGGTTACTCTGATGGAGCCAAGATCCCAGTCTTACCAGGCCGGACACTCAGACCCAAGCAAGGAATCTGTTTCTTCAGTCATGTTCCGAGAGCACAGGGCAACATGAATTGAAATGTTCCTCTTTAGAACTGAGTGGCACAGGCTTCTGCTTTCATTGGAATGAGATTCATGGGCCTGCCTCCTCTATGCAGGTGGAAGCTGAGTGAGGCAGCCCCTGTGCTGTTTTGTTAAAGGTGGAGAGGGACACCAGGGAAGTCTTACAGTTGATTGATCAAACTGGTTTTCTTCAGAGTCTCATCTGACACACCTGTCTCTTGCTTCTCACTCAATCCTCCTCTTTCCCTAAATCCTTTACACCATTGGGCATTTTTGAGTTTGACAAATTGCACTGTCTGCATGGAGATAAATGCGAGGAGCCTGATTCTTATTTAAACCCAGAGAATCTGTGGGAACCAGATGTGTGTCCCAACAGACAGCAACACCTGGAGCCCAGCAGAAATCAGATAGGAATGGGGGAGGACTAAGAATGAGACGGATGCAGAGAGCAGCCCAGAGGTCTTGAAGAATCATTTTTTGAACATTCTGGGGAAAGGGATGGGATTAGTTCTGATGCGCTAATCATCTAGAATTTCCAGTAATGACAGCAGTTCATTTGGGCCAGATCCAGCCCAGTAATACTGTGGAAATGAATTTTTTGTTTTTTTTCCCTTATAGAACACAGGGGCCTCTTGAATGTCCTCATTTCTCACATTTATTTGTTTAAAAGAAGGAGTTTGCTGACAGTGCCCCCATTAAGATGACTCTCCTTATCTATCAATCCTGCCATGCTCCCTGATAGAAAGGGGATTTGGTGCTTTTAAAAATAAGTTTTCTTCCCAAATGAAGCAAAGCATGGAGAAGGGGGAAAGAAAAGTAAAATGTGAGACTTGTCATGTGAAAGCCAGTTTCATTATTTGTCCTTTAGCTGCTTTTGTTTCCCCTCAGGGAGTGTTTGGGTCTCTCTCCAATTTGCTAAAGATGAAAGCCCAGTTGTCCAAGCATAAATGACAGAAAAGGACAGACGGAGGAGCGGATTTTTCCAATACTAATCCTTGGTCTTCAGACTGAAAATAGGATCTGGGGACCTGTTGTTGCTAAGTATATGTAGGAATGTGCCAAATTAGAGTTCCCAGGCTTTGTCTCCCAGAAAGGTCTGTTAGACACCTAAAGTTCCTGCTGGTGAAAAAACAACATATTTTAATAGAGATTTTATATATGATTCTTATTTTGTATTATTATTATTGATACATAATAGATGTTTATATTTTGGGGGTACATGTGAAATTTGATACTTTCATATAAGGTGTGAAGATCAAATCAGGGTAATTGGAATATTCATCAACTTAAATAATTATCTATTCTTTATGCCAGAAACATTAGAATTATTCTCTTCTGGCTATTTTGAAGTGTATAATATATTATCATTAACTATAGTCACTCTACTGATTATTAAACATTAGGTTTTATTTCTTCTATGTAACTGTATATTTGCACTCATTGATAATATCATTTGTATAGACGGGTTTTTTTTTTTATTTTTTTTGAGACAGGGTCTTGCTCTGTCACCTAGGCTGGAGTGCAGTGGTGCAATCTCGACTCACTGCAACTTCTGCCTCCCAGGCTAAAGCGATTCTCCCACTTCAGCCTCCGCAGTACCTGGGACTACAGGCACACCACCACGCCAGGTTAATTTTTGTATTTTTTGTAGAGACGGGGTTTTGCAATGTTGCCCAGGCTTAGATTTTTTTTTTTTCTCAAAGTTCCTTTTCATCTCTAATCTTGCTTATTTAGGGCAGTTTTCAATTCTGAGCTCAGACCTTCTTACTTCTTTTTTCCGTGAGATGCCTCAGAGACAATAACCTGCCCACCATCTCCAAGCCCCACTCATTCTGGGGACACAGTCACCCATGTGGGAATGGGATGGAGACCAAGCTAGAAGGATGGACCAATGTCTGCTAAATACTGATAAATAGAGTTTTGCAGTAGATGTAGCACTGGGTCAGAAGGGAACGGAAACCCATGGATGGGTCCTGCCTTACATATTCCCAACTCTATGGTCATAGATAAAGTGTTTCAATAATTTGGACCTTATTTCCTAAACTGTAAAATGTGGCTAAAGTTCTGTTGGTTACTTTACCTCTATGGTTCCTTTCTGCTTCATGAATATGGGTCTGCAAAGTCTTTTGTATCTGAACACTCCTGGCATTTATAGTGATTCAAATAAAGAAATTTGGATAATTTGTTAGCCCTCAGACAAATATGGCCTACGTTTTCTCATCTTATTTAATTTAATTTTTTTAATTTTTATTTTTATACACTTAGAGGTACAAGTGCTGTTTTGTTACATAGATATGTTGGGTAGTGGTGAAAAATTTTTTATTTTAAAAAATGAGAACAATAATAGCATCTACTTCATAAAGGTGTGAGCATCAAATGACAAAAAATTTGGAAGGCATTTACCATGCCAGCTATATTGTCAACAATCAATATATACTAAATATTATTTCTGCATATTCTCACGAGTAAGTGGGAGCTAAATAATGTGCACACATGGACATAGACAGTGGAATAATAGACACTGGAGACTCAGAAGGGTGGGAGAATGGGAGGCAGGTGAAGGATGAGAAATTGCTTACTGGGGCAATGTACACTGTTTGTGTGATTGTTATACTAAAAGCCCAGACTTCACCATTACATATCATTTAACAAAATGGCAATTGTACCCCCTAAATCTATAAAAATAACAAGTACATGCTAGGCCAGGCACAGTGGCTCACACCTGTAATCCCAGCATTTTGGGAGGCTGAGGCGGGTGGATCACTTGAGGTCAAGAGTTCGAGACCAGCCTGACCAACGTGGTGAAACCCCATCTCTACTAAAAATACAAAACTAGCCAGGCGTGGTGGCACATGCCTGTAATCCCAGCTACTTGGGAGGCCGAGGCAGGAGAATTGCTTGAACCCAGGAGGTGAAGGTTGCAGTGAGCCAAGATCATGCCACTGCACTCTAGCCTGGGTGACAGCTCAGACTACATCTCAAAAAAAAAAAAAAGAAAAAAAAAAAAAGGACATACTAGATATTATGATCCCTCTACTTCACAGTCATAGGAAATAAATGATAATTTTGAGGTATGTTATCAATGTTTCTCTTGCAAGTAGAGTCTGTGTCATTGGCTACACAGGATTTCAGGGCAGAAGTTACATCACGTAGGGAAGGGAATGCATTACTCTTGGAGGCCATGCAATATCTCGCTCCTGGGTGAGGCCTGTGAGGGGAGGCTGAGATGTGTTTGCTTATTATAACTCTTCACACCCCAGAGCTCCATCTGTGAAAACTAGCTGTGGCAGAAAGGGAAGGTCTAGGCTCCTCTGTCAATATCCTTGGTATCCATGGAGAGCCGGGGGAGCCCCAAATGGATCATAATTTTAGGTAGTTTTAAATGGAAGACCTGGGAACAGGTTTTAGAATGGGGGCCACAATCAAATGGGCTTTGACAACCCCATGATGAACCATGCAGCTTCTCAGATGCAAGCATTTTCCCTTTCATTTGGGTCTATTTGTGAAACCAGAGTGATGACGAGCAAGGAGATTATTATTAAGCATCGACTGGGTGCCAGGCACTTAATACATGTGATTCCCTTGTCTTTCCAGCTCTTCAGCCCAGTCCCAACAGGTAGAGACTTGCTCAATCACTTCCTCCAGTTAAGCAGGGAAAGTGGAGTAAGACAGGACCCCTGCCTTGCCACTGTGCGATGGTGTCCCTCCCCAGGGGTTCAGACTCCCTCCCTGGTTTTAGGTTAGCTATACTAAATAAATTGACTAGGATATGGCATTCTATTTCTCTTGAATTATAGATAAAGATTTGATTAGGTTGTTGATTAATGATTTAGTAAAGCCCCATGTTTTCAGAAGGCTGATGAGGTCTCCTCAGGGTGCTTAATGTTTAGCATTTTCAGAAAACCCAGTTGTCTCGCAATCCCTGTATTTAAATACGCTTTCAAGTGATCCAAAACCACAGATAAAAGATACAAATGGAAAAAAAATTAGCATATTTTCTTTCAAGTGTAGGTGGGCGCATATGTAAATGTGTATTCTGCTGCTCTCAATGTGTGTTAACATAGGAGTGTGTGAGTGAGTGATGGATGAGAGAAACAGTGACAGCAATTTAATTAATTCTACTGACATTGTTATGCCTTCAAATGCAAGTAAGAATGGAGATTGTAGCAACCTAGAAATCTCCATGGCTGCTATTGATCTTACTCTTCTGTTCAGTAAAAATAGAGCTGCAAATTAACAAAACAAACCAACCCCTGGCAACTGATGGCTTACTGATGATGAAATCTCTGAGGAAGTTTGTGGAATGACCTTCTTGTTCAGAAAGGAGGGACTTCTCAGCCTCTATCCCCCTGTGCAAAAAGAGTAACAAGGCTTTTCAGCTCAAGGAAAAGGAGAAAGATTGGCATTGTGGGAGTCACCTAGTCACCTATTTGGTTTCATATATCTCTGTCATGTCACCATTGCTAATTAGTGAAAATGCATTTCCTGACAACCACTATTAGAAACAATTTTATCCACGAAAGTTCTGAAGAATGAAACCTTAAAAAAAATGGAAGGATACAAAACTGGGTCAACTTGCTGTGTTTTATTTGACTTGTCTGCATATGTGAATGAAGCTTTGGAAACTAATTAATACCCCTAGAAAATGTTTAGTTTTTAAATCATTTATTGTAATGGTCCATGGAGATGGTAGGTTTGTATATAGCCGTTGACAATGCCACTAACTAGTTGAACTTCAGCAAGTCACATGATCTCTTTGAGAGGTGCTTCCTCTTTTGAAAAGTTAGATTGCAGGATTGAATAGGTTTTAAAGTCCTTGTCAGTGCTACGTTCCATAATTCTCCCTCTATAGGGCAATAGTTCCTAAGTAAAGGGGAGAGGGACAGAGAGGAGTGCTTTGTCTCCCAGGGGAGATTTGACAATGCGTAGATTTTTTTTTTTTTTAAACTTTCATTTTAGGTTCAGGGGTCCTTGTGCAAGTTTGTAATATAGGTAGACTTGTGTCACAGGGTTTTGGTGTACAGATTATTTTATCACCCAGGTAATAAAGATGGTACCCAATAGTTATGTTTTCTGATCCTTCTCCTTCTCCCATTCTCTACTCTCAAGTAGGGCCCAGTGTCTCTCGTTTCCCTCTTTGTGTCCATGCATTCTCATCATTTAGCTCCCACTTATAAGTGAGAACATGCAGTACTTGGTTTTCTGTTCCTGCATTAGTTTGCTAATGATAATGTCCTCTAGCTCCATCTATGTTCCTGCAAAGGACATGATCTTGTTTTTTGTATGGCTGCATAGTATTCCATGGTGTATATGTACCACATTTTCTTTATTCACTCTGCTGTTGATAGGCATTTAGGTCGATTCCATATTTTTGCTATTGTGAATAGTGCTGCAATGAACATACGTGTGCATGTGTCTTTACGGCAGAACAATTTATATTCCTTTGGGTGTATACCCAGTAATGGGATTTCTGGGTTGAATGATAGTTCTGTTTTTAGCTTTTTGAGAATCACCACACTGCTTTCCATAATGGTGGAACTAATTTACATTCCCACCAAGTGTATAAGTTGTTCCCTTTTCTCGTGTGGAGATATTTTTGGTTGTCATAACTGAGGTAAGGGAGATGAACTGGGGAACTGCTACTTGCATCTCATCAGTGGAGGCTTGGGATGCCACCAACTACCCTACCAATGCACAAAACAGGCCCCCACAATAAAGAATTGTCTGGCCAAAATGCCACTAGTGCTGAGGTTGAGAAATTCTGCTCTAGGAGCATAAACAGTTAACTTATATCCTTGATCCCTCTACCATTGAAAAATTATAAACAATTCAATTTCCTGATTGTATTAGTTCATTCTTATACTGCTAAAGGACATACCCAAGACTGGGTAATTTATAAAGGAAAGAGATTTAATTGACTCATAGTTCTTTGGGTTGGGGAGGCCTCAAGAAACAATCTCTGTATTAAGAAATACAAATCATGGTGGAAGGGGAAGCAAACACATCCTTCTTCACATGGTGGCAGAAAGAAGAAGAATGAGTGCCCAGTGAAGCAGGGAGCCCCTTGTAAAACCATTAAGTCTCCTGAGAACTAACTCACTATTACAAGAACAGGGTGTGGGAAATCAGCCCGGTGATTCAATTATCTCTACCTCTTCTCTCCTAAGACACAAGGGGATTATGGAAACTACAATGCCATATGAGATTTGGGTGGGGACACAGCCAAACCATATTACTGATGATTGACATCCAACATTTCATATGCTGGTCTTCAGAGGCTAAACTTAGATCTAAAGACAGATGGCAGCGGGGCATTCCCTAAAGATAAAAGCATGGTGCTTAGGGCTTGGGAAGAGACTGTGCAAAAGTCTTGAATAGTTTAGGATTGCATTAGATAAAGGTATTCCCAATCATCTCTTATATTTAGTGCTGTTTTCCATGATGTACTTATTGTATAAAAGGGGTAAAAGATAAAATAGTAACTAGTTCTTCAACCTGCTGATAAGCAAATGCTTCTATACCTGAGCTGTTTATACAAAAACTGATAATCAGGTATCCTTTACCATCAAAACAGATTTTCTGTTGCTGCTTAGATAAATTACCACAAATGTTGTGACATTAAAAAAATACATTTATTATCTTAAAATTTGATGGGTTAGGAGTTCAACACAGGTATCATGGGCTAAAGCCAGACTGTCAGCAGGACTGCATTCCCTTCTGGAGGCTCCAGGGAGGAATCCACCTGCTTGCCTTTGTCCAGCTTCTGAAGCTTCCTATATTCTTTGTCTTGTGGCCCCTTCCTCTATCTTTTAAGTTAACAACTTCCGTAGTCACATCTTCCCTTGACTCTAACCTCAGCCACAAAAGGTTTGTTTGTTTGGTTTCAAAGAATGCATATAATTAGGTTGGGCACCCTGAACCCAGGTTCAGGATAATCTCCCCATCTCAAGGCCTTTAAACTCAATCACAATGGCAAAGTCCTTTTTGCCATGTATGGTACCATGTCCCCAAGTTGTAGGGATTTAGATATGGGTATTTTGGGGCCACTTTTCTTTCTGCCATAGCAGGACTGTCTGTTTTGGATGCTGTTGTGCCATCGAGATCCACCTTCAGAGCTAAGGCGCCCATTTCTTCAGTTGCAGGGAGTGTGGGCCTTTGACAACTTTCTGCTGAGTTGCTTTCTGGGGATGTCCTCAACTAAAGAAAACCACTGCTCTCAAACTCAAGCCTCATCCCAGAGGCAGCCCATAGACAATGACTGGTCGATGCAGGGATGTAAAATTATTGGTCCCTTGTCTAAAAACATGACAACTTTGATGGGCCATTCCAGCTCTAGAGCTTATAAGAAGATGGGCTGAAGCCTTTGCTCTGAGTGCATCAGAGTTCAGCTTCTCCCGGTTCTCAGTCTTCCTTCTTATAGCTTTTATTGATGTTGGTTCCTAGGACACTTCCCAATAAGCTTCCTGCAAGAAAATATTCATCTCAGAGTCTGTCCCTGAACTGTTGATGCCAATAGTTGTATGATGAGGCATATTCTATAATAGGCCTTTGGAGCTGGCAATGAAGACCCAATCACTGTGGAAGGTGGAACATGGATAGCTTCCTGCATGATGTGGTGTGATTGTAAAAACCCACATGGGGGATGTGGGTGGGGGCAGGAATTGCAATCAGGTACTGGTGGAAACTCTTAGTGGAGGCAGTGTCTGAGATGTTTGGGAAGTTTGAGAGGGCAGTGATTAAAAAGACTGTAATTTCTGGAGGCAGTCTATGTATTAAGAAATACAATAGTAGGTTGGGATGACTGATAACCAATTAAAGGCTAAGTGTGAATGCCAGAAGGCCTTCCTTCTTTGCAACATGTAAGGAGTTTGCTCCAGCCAGAGGATAGAAAAAGCTGGAGATCATGCCCAGGATTTAATTATAAGTGTGGCAGAGCTCCAGAGGAGGCTGAATTTTCAGCCTCAGCAAATTTCCTCTGCATGAGCAGGGCCTTTGTCAGACTTGAGATGAGGACATCTGAGTTAATGCACTTGAAACTCTTAAATTTCCAGATCCCTCTGACCTGTCTAGGCCCACAGATGTGACCTATTCCTCCTCACTAAATGCTAATCTTTTATTCTTGAAGATAATGCAGAGGTCTCTGCCTTGCAAAGCATATGCATCCCACTCATTACCTACCTTCTCCTCCCATCCTGATCACCAGTCCAATAAATAACTAGGATTAAATCAGAACATAACTTGGCCAGGGAAGTTCTGGGCCAGCTAAGAGAGGTTGAAGGATTTGCAGGACCTACGTACTATGTACTTACATGAGCTGGAACATGTATGGACCGGGTCTGAGATGCTGGATCAAGATACAAAATGAAATACCAGGTTGGATAAGGGAGAACTTATCAATATGGAAGAACCTCATGATATAGGATTTAACAAACTGGCAAGGACCTTAGGGGATGATATTAATGTGCTGCTAGGTTAGTATAATGTTGGAAGCTTGGAGAAAGTGTTAGGTTCCCTAAATAAACTAGAAATGCCAGAGCTGCTGAGAAAGATTGCAGAAATGTTATCAAGAGGCTCAGATAATTTGGTATGCTAGATTAAATATAGTGTGTAACCCACCAGTCAACTCTGTTTCCTGGAAGAGTCTAGGAGGCATTCTGTTTATCAAAGTGGTAAAGAGCTAACTGGTTAGAGGGCTTTCACATTTGTTGTGGGGCTCAGCAGTGACTGATCTCCACAGGCCAGGGACAATGGTAATGGATGCTGTGCCAGAATTTAGCTTATTGAGAGGAAAAGAGATGATACAACGTTGAAAAAATAGAAGCCAGATGTCAGTGCATAACTGCCAGAAGCAAGATGGGCACAATTATCATAGTAAGTGGCACTGTTGGAGTGGTGGCTGGAAGGCCTGTCCCACCAAGAACTATGAAGGTGGTTAAAAGAACACAGTATTCCTAGAGACAGTATAAAGGGGAAGTCAACAAGATATTGTTTGATCTATAGAATTAAAAGGAAATCAGAGAGATCAGGAGATTGAAGGCAGGCATTCCAGTTAAAAGTTATGATCCTTTGACCAATTTTCTGGCCCAGAAACCACTGATGGAAGGAGAGACCAGTTCCCCAGGAAGAATGAACACCATAGTAATTATATATAGTAATAATTCTTCTAGTAGGTTCCCAAATGGGTGTATGATCATTTACTTGGATAACATTAAAGAAAAAAAAAGATATTCAAACCTATCAAAGATCTCAGTTGATATAGATGCGTGGGGACCTAAGGTGTCACCATGGGCCCCCATATGGCAGCAAGTGGGGGCCATGTAATAAATGGTGTCCTGGGCCGGGTTGACCCACAGCCAACCAGTGGTCATTTTTATAGGCCTGAATATTTAATTGGGTGGGTATACTTTGGAATTGGCAAAAGCCCTACATTGATTCCATGGCTTGTGGGGTAAGAGTAGAGAGGAAGACCAAGTGGAAACCTCCTAAATACCTCATAAACCAAGAGAGTAAATAAAAAGCAATATTGCAATATTTATGGCAAAAAACCAATAAATAAAGTAAATGGCAGAAATTATGGGCACTCTTTACATTGTAAAAGGGTGTAGAGATGATGGTCCACATTAGATGACCATTTAGTTTACTATTTTGGCCCTTATAAAAATGATGCAATTAGCTGGGCATGGTGGCATGGACCTGTAGTCCTAGCTATTTGGGAAGCTGAGGCAGAAGAATCTCTTGAGCCCAGGAGCCTGCTTCTTGCAGTAGGAAATTAATCTCTCTGAAAACAGGCTTTTGTGTGCCACAGGGGTCTGGGAGAAACAGAGTGCCTGATCAAGGGATACCAACTGTCCTAGGTAGCCAGAATTGCCCCTCATGACCTGGATTCTGTCAGATCCATCAAATCATAAGATTGGGTGAACCTGGTAGCAATCTATCACAGGAAGGAAGTGGTAAATTTGGGATCAGGCATGAGCAAAGCCAGATGGCTCAAGTCAGCTTCATGTGCCAGACCCACATGTGTTCCATCTCTGTCAAAATGATGTTTCTCCCTCTCCTAAAATCTATGACCACAGGATGAGCCAACAACTACAGCTTCCACTTACTAAACTCCATCAAGCTACCATTTCTGCCAGTAGCCCAACTTGCTGGCCACAGGACCAAAGCTTAGCCCCCAGTATGACACTAGCTTTCAAAAAGACTGACTGGTGATAAGGAGACAATGGCCATTATATGGCAGTATGTTATTTGTGGGTCATATACACAAGTTTAGAAATCAACGGGTAGAAGTTAGATCTGAATGTGTAACTATCTTGATAGACTTGAGAAATTTTCATTGATTATTTTATTAATTAAATTTTCTAAAGTTTTTGATCTCTCTCCCCATTTTGGAATACTGATAATTCATAAATTCGGTCTCTTTACATATTCCCAGATGTCTGGAAGACTTTGTTCATTTTTTAAAATTCTTTTTTCCTTAGTTTTGTCTAACTGAATTATTTCAAAAGACCTGTCTTCAAGTTCTGAGATTCTTTCTTCTGCTTGGTCTAGTCTATTATTAAAGCTTTCATATATAGTTTGTATTTCCTTTAATGAATTTTTTATTTCCAGGCTTTTTGTTTGGTTTTTAAATTTCAGATAGCTATCTTCTTAGTAAATTTTTTATTTATATTCTGAATTGATTTTCTGATTTATTTGTATTGGGTTTCAGATTTATCTTGCCTATCATTAAGCTTTTTAAAAATCAATATTTTAAATTTTTTATCTGGCATTTTGAGGAATTCTTTTTGATTGGGATCTGTTGCTGGAAAATTGTTGTAGTATCATATGTCCCTGCTTTTTCATGTTTTCTATGTCCTTCCCTTGGTATCTGCTCATCTGTTCTAGCAGTCACTTGCTTCAGTTTTCTTTGAAATTGCTTTAGTAGGGGAGAATTTTTCCTGAGGATGTATGTGTATTGTTAACTGAGCGGGATACTTTGGCTGTGATTTTGGGTGCTGAGATAGTGTGATCTTTGTATGATTTCTTCAGGAGTACATAGGGTTGGTGGTACATGTGATTTCCTCAGTGACTTAGGGTACAGCCATTAGTCGAAGTTGTGATGAAGTTCAGCTGAGGACTTGGATTCCATCTCAGTTAATCTTTGGGCCCTGGTGGTGGCAGCAGTGGGGTGGATGTCCCTATTTTTAAGGCTCAGAGAAATTTACACCGGCTCTGGTATTAGTGAGTCCTAGAGGGCTGACTTTTGGGCCTCCAGGTGGCTTGCTAAGAAGCTAGCAGTGGGAATGGTGGGCCAGGTGTGTGGGCAGGTTCTCAGTCCCCTGGGCATCTTGTGTGGTGTGGATGATGGCAGTAGTGGTGATGGAGCAAGCCACTGGGGCCCAAGCAGTCCGTGCTGGTATTGCTGGTAGCTATGATGGGTTGGGTAGGTTAGTTCCTAGTCCCACAGCCACCCATAGCAGGGTGGTGGGTATTGTCCTAAGTGTGTTTAGGAGAGCTTGGTCTCCCCTGTTCCTCCCCTGGCTAGGTGGAGGCTGCAGCCACATCTCTCAAACTCAGCCTAAGGGTGGAACAAAGCTCAACGCTAAATTCTCAAAATTGTTTCAGTTGTTGGCTTATGACCAGAGATGACAGAGTCCCTCTCAAGTGAGAAGCATGGACAAGAAGCTGTGGGGAATGCTGTCTACTGGAGTCTCAGTCTCACAGCAGCCTGTAGCAGGGTGGTGGGTATTGTCCTATTTATGTGTAGGACAGCCTGGTTCCCTGTCCCTCCTTGGCCAGGCAGCGGCTACAGCTACATCAACTCAAACTTAGCCCAAGGGTGGGCACAGCCCAGTGTTAAGCTCTCAAAATGATGCCTTGGACCTGGGACCAGGGAGGGGAGGGTCTTCCTAAGGCAAGCAACATGGGCAAGAAGCTGTGGGGATTGCAGTCCGTTCATGTCTCAGTCTCAAAGGCAGCCCAAAGCAGGGCAGGGAAGTAGGGACTCTCCCATGAGTGAGAGGGAGTGTCCAGTCTCTCCTCTCCCTCTTTGGAGCAGTGCGGTGGCAGCAGCCATTTCTGTAGATTCCCAGGATCTAGGCTCTCAAAATGGCACCTGGCTGAGGCTGCACTAGGCTTGGATGCTGTGAATTCCGTGTGGGTTGCCTTCCTGGAGCAATGTCTCTGTAGTCTTTAGGCAGCTCCATATGTCAGGCCTGAGGCCCTAGTGGTTCAAGGGTTTCTTCCATAGCCAATATTGCAAAAGCCCATTTCAGTGCCCTGGGGATTTCTCTTTTACTGTTTCCCCGTATCCAGGTGCCTTTCCCAGCTCAGTCTCCAGTTGGACAAATGCCCTCCTTACTTATTTCTGGTGCTTCCCATCTCTTCTCTGATGAATCCCAGCATTCTCTCCTGGACAATCTGGTCAAAATGGAAGGGTCTACTTAGTGTTTTAGTTTCTTTCTGTGGAGGAGGCATATGTCACCTGCCATCTTTCTCAGCATTTTTTTTTTTAAATAATAGACTATTTAATGAGTGCCTTTGATAGACACTCTCAATAATTTTGCATGTAGTATTTCATATAGTTACTGTAATTGTCCCCATTTTACAGATGAGAAAATGAAAGTTTAGAAAAGTTAATTATATGTCCAATGTCCTATACTAATCAGGGAAGAAAACCAAAATATCTTGAATTCAGGTCTAGTTAAAAACCATTCTGTTATTTGACAGGTAGAACCCTCAAATCTTAGTAACATAAATCTAGAAATTTCAACCAATCCATTATATAGAAGTAATAAATGAAGTAAGAACTAATTACTCCTTAAGAATTTATAGCTGATTTCTAGAGAAACTTGGCTTGGTGATAACAAATCTCAATTACCCTAAACCTCCAAAATTATCTATTACTTAAATGATTTTATGTGACATTCTATATATAGCTTTCTCTTCAACTAGTTAAAATTTTTTTTTCTGGTTCATTGAAATTTATTGACATTACAATGTACTGCTCAAAGAAATCAGAGGTGACACAAACAAATGGAAAAACATTTCATTCTCATGGATAGGAAGAAGTATCAATATTATTAAAATGGCCATACTGCCCAAAGCAATTTACAGATTCAATGCAATTCCTATCAAACTACCAATGAGAGAAGAAGGGTGGAGAAAGATGGCAGAATTGAAGTCTCCACCGATTATTCTTCCCATCCGCAGCAAAGACAGGAACTCTTTGCCAGTTCCTATGTCCAGAATGGTATTGCCTAGGTTGTATTCCAGGATTTTTATAATTTTGGGTTTTGCATTGGACTCTGTAATCTATTTTGAGTTGATTTTTGTATATGATGTAAGGAAAGGGTCCAGTTTCAGTCTTCTGCATATTGCTAGCCAGTTATTCTAGTACCATTTATTGGAGTCCTTTCCCAATTTCTTGTTTTTTTTTTTTTTTTCTTTTTGTCAGTTTTGTCAAAGATCATATGTTGTAGGTGTGTGGCCTTACTTCTAGGCTCTCCATGCTATTTCATTGTTCTATGTGTCTGTTTTCATACCAGTATCATGCTGCTTTTGTTACTGTAGCCCTGTAGTGTAGTTTGAAGTTGGGTAATGTGATGTCTCCAGCTTTTTTATTTTTGCTTAGGATTGCCTTGGCTATTTGGGCCCTTTTAGCGTTCCATATGAATTTTAAAATAGTTTTTTTTTCTAGTTCTGTGAAGAATGTGAAGCTAATTGTTAACTTGGTATCCTTGCAGGTGGGGAACAATTAGTGGAGCCTTCCATTCTGCCATATTGCTCCACCCTTCTTCTCTCATTGGTAGTTTGATAGGAATTGCAGTGAATCTATAAATTGCTTTGGGCAGTATGGCCATTTTAATAATATTGATTCTTTTTATCTATGAGCATGGAATGTTTTTCCATTTGTTTGTGCCATTTCTGATTTCTTTGAGCAGTACTTTGTAATTCTCATTGTAGAGATTTTTCACCTCTCTGGTTAGCTGTTTCCTAGGTATTTTATTCTTTTTGTGGTAACTGTAAGTGGGATTGTGTTCCTGATTTGGCTTTTGGCTTGCCTATTGTTGGTATATAGTAGTGTCAGTGATTTTCGTATACTGATTTTGTAACCTGGGACTTTGCTGAAATTGTTTATCAGCTGAAGGAGATTTTGGGCTGAGCTTTTGGGTGTTTTCTAGATATAGAATTATGTTATCTGCAACCAGGGATACTTTGACTTCTCTTTTCCTATTTGGATGCCCTTTATTTCTTTCTCTTACCTGACTACTTTGGCCAGGACTTCCAATACTATGTTGAATAGGAGTGGTGAGAGAGGGCATCCTTGTCTTGTGTCAGTTTTCAAGGGGGGAATTTTTCCAGTTTTTGCTTATTTAGTATGATGTTGGCTGTGGGTTTGTCATAAATGGCTCTTATTATTTCGAGGTATTTTCATTCAATACCTAGTGTATCGAGAGTTTTTAACATGAAGAGACAATGAATTTTATTGAAAGCCTTTTTTGCATCCATCGAGATTACCATGTGGTTTTTGTCTTTGGTTCTATTTATGTGATGAATCACATTTATTGATTTGTGTATGTTGAACCAACCTTGCATTCCAGGAATAAAGTCCAAAGCCTGCTCGATTGTGGTGGATTAGCTTTTTCTGATGTGCTGCTGGATTTGGTTTACAAGTATTTTGTGGAGGATTTTCACGTCAATGTTTATCAAGAATATTAGCCTGAAGTTTTCTTTTTTTGTATGTGTCTCTGCCAGATTTTGGTGTTGGGATGATGCTGGCCTCATAGAATAAGTTGGAGAAGACTTCTCAAAATTTTGGAATTGTTTAGTAGGAATGCCACCACCTCTTCTTTGTACATCTGGTGGAATTCAGCCATGAATTCTTCTGGTCCTGGGTTTTTTTTATTGGTAGGATATGTATTACTGATTTAATTTCAGAGCTCATTCTTGGTCTGTTCAACGAATCAGTTTCTTCCTGGTTCAGTTTTGGGAGAGTGTGTGTCCAGGAATTTATCCATCTCTTCTAGCTTTTCTAGTTTGTGTGCTTAGAGGTATTCATAGCAGTCTCTTATGGTTGTATGTATTTCTGTGGGGTCAGTGGTTACATCCCCTTTGTGATTTCTAATTGTGTTTATTTGGAACTTCTCATTTTTCTTCTTCATTGGTCTAGTTAGTGGCCTGTCTTATTAGTTTTTTTTAACCAACTCCTGGATTTGTTGATCTTTTGTATGGTTTTTCATGTCTTGATCTCCTTCAGTTTAGCTCTGATTTTGGTTATTTCTTGTCTTCTGCCAGCTTTGAGGTTTGTTTTCTTATGCTTCTCTAGTTCTTTTAGTTGCAATGTTAGGTTGTTAATTTGAGATCTTTTTAACTTTTTGATGTAGGTATTTATTGCTATAAATTTCCCTCTTAACACTGCCTTAGCTGTGTCCCAGAGATTCTGGTATGTTTCCTCTTTGTTTTCATTACTTCCAGAGAACTTCTTGATTTTTTGCCTTAATGTTATCATTTACCCAAAAGTCATTCAGCAGGAGGTTGTTTAATTTACATGTAATTGCATAGTTTTGAGCAATTTTTACATATTTATTTCTATTTTTATTTTGTTGTGCTCTGAGAGTGTGTTTGGTATGATTTCAGTTCTTTTGCATTTGCTAAGGATTGTTTTATGTCCAATTGTGTGGTCATTTTTGAGTGTGTGCCACATGGTAATGAGAAGAATGTATATTCTGTTGTTTTTGGGTGGCAAGTTCTGTAGAAGTCTATTAGATTCACTTGGTCCAATGTTGAGTTCATGTCCTAAATATCTTTGTTAATTTTCTGCCTAGAAGATCTGTATAATACCATCAGTGGAGTGTTGAAGTCTCCCACTGTTAAGGGAGTCTCAAATCTCTTTGTAGGTCTCTAAGAAATTGCTTTATGAATCTGGGTGCTCCTGTGTTGGGTGCATATATATTTAAGACAGTTACGTCTTCTTGCTGAATTGAATATTTTACCATTACGTAATGCCCTTCTTTTTTTAATTTTTGTTGGTTTAATGTCTACTTTGTCTGAAATTAGGATTGCAATTCCTGCTTTTTTCTGATTTTCACATGCTTGGTAGATTTTCTTCCATCCCTTTATTTTGAGCCAATGGGTGTCACATGTGACATGGGGCTCCTGAAGACAGCATATCATTGGATCTTCCTTTTTCTCCAGCTTGCCACTCTGTGCCTTTAAAATGGGGCATTTAGCTCATTTACATTCAAGGTTAGTATTGATATGTGTGGATTTAATTCTGTCATTGTGTTATCAGTTGGCTATTATGCTAGCTTGTTGGGGTGGTTGCTTTATAGTGTCACTGGTTTGTGTGTTGAAGTATGTTTTTGTATGAGCTGGTGGCAGTATTTCCCTTATATATTTAGTGTTCCTTTCAAGATCTCTTGTAAGGCAGGTCTGGTAGTAACAAACTCTCTCAATCCCAAATACGAAAAGGATCTTATTTCTCTTTCACTGAGGAAGCTCAGTTTGGCTGTATATTAAATTCTTGGTTGAAGATTTTTTTTTAAGGATGTTGAATGAAGGCCCCCAATCTTTTCTGGCTTGCAGGGTTTCAGCTGAGAGGTCTGCTGTTAGCCTGATAGGGTTCCCTTTGCAGGTGAACTGCCCTTTCTCTCTAGATGCTTTTAATATTCTTTTTCTTCATTTTGACCTTGGAAAATCTGATGATTATATCTTGGGGATGATCTTTTTGTGTAGAATCTTGCAGGGTTCTCTGTATTTCCAGAATTTGACTGTTGGCCTCTCTAGCAACGTTGGGAAAGTTTTCATGGATGATATCCTGAAATATATTTTCCAAGTTTTTTTGCTTTCTCCCTGTCTCTTTCAGAGATGATAGTGATGTGTAGATTTGACGTATTTACATAATCTCCTATTTCTTGGATGTTTCATTTGTTCCTTTTCATCCCTTTTTCTTTATTTTTGTCTGCTGTCTTATTTCAGAGAGCCAGTCTTCAAGTTCCAAGATTCATTCCTCAGCTTGGTATATTTTGCTGTTAATACTTGCAATTGCATTGTGAAATTCTTGCAGTGTGTTTGTAAGCTCTATCAGATTAGTTAGGTTCCTTTTTATACTGGCTATTTTATCAGTCATCTCCTGTATTGTTTTATTTTGATTCTTAGTTTCCTTGTATTGGATTCTGCATTTTGCTGAATCTCAATGATCTTCATTTCTATCCGTATTCTGAATTCTATTTCTGTCATTTCAGGCAACTAAACCTAGTTAAGAACCCTTGTTGGAGAACTAGTGCATTCATTTGGAGGATTAGTACAGTCATTTGGAGAATATAAGACACTCTGCCATTTGAGTTGCCAGAGTTCTTGCATTGGTTCTTTCTAATCTCTGCATGTGGATTTTCCTTTAACTGCTGGGATGCCTCTGATTGAAGTAGTTAGGTGGGGCCAGGATGATTGTGCTGCAGTCCCATGTTGGGTGGCCCTGCCTAGTGAGGAGGCATGAGGACTGCGACCTGCATGGAGAATAGTTCACCCACTTTTCCATGAAGTGAGTGCTCTGTGCTGGGGTCTGAATCAGCTCCTGGTCCTCATGGATTCTCCAGAGCCTGGAGACAGCAAGGGTGGGGCCATGAGACTGCAAAATGGCAACCCCCACTCCTACTGGGAGCTCTGACTCAGGGAGTTGCAGGGCTTCTACTGGAGACCCAGGCTGTGAGATCCTACCCAGTGAGGAGATATGAGATCAGGGACAATTGTATCTCCTCAGCAAAGTCTGACCACTTTGCTGCAGGGCTGCTGCATTATGTTGGTGTTCTGCTCCAGTCCCTAGCCACCGTAGATTTTTCCAGCACCTGAAGGTATCAACTGTGAAGGCTGTGAAATGGCAAAGTCAGCGGTCTGCTCCTCCCTCTGGGAGCTCCATCCCAGGGAGGTACATATCTGTTTCCAGCCTGAACACACCGGCAGTGGTAGTTGTAGACCTCGGTCAGGAGATCCCACCCAGTGAAGAGAAATGGGATCTGGGACCCATGTGAAAAAGCAATCTGGCCAATTCTCCATGGAGCTGCTGTGCTGTGCCAGGGGGACCACTCCAGTCCCTAGTTGCCTCAGATTCCCTAGATCCCAAAGGCAACATTGACAAAGGCTATGAAACAGCAAAAATGGCAGTCCATCCTTCCCCCTGGGAGCCCTGTGCCAGGGAGTCTTGGAACCACTGACAGCTGGAAAACACTGGCAAAGGTTGCTGGTGACCCTGGTCAGGAGGTCCCACCAGGTGAGAAGAAGCAGGTTTGGGGATTCACATTTAAAAAGTGGTCTGGACACTTTTCCACAGGGCAGCTGCACTGAAGGCAACAACCACTAAGGTTGCAAAATAGAAAAGATGGTGGCTCACCCCGTCCTCTGGGAGCTCTGTCTCAGGGAGGTGTAACGTTGCTGCTGGTGGCTGGCTGCAGTTCCAAACTAGTGGGTCTTACCCTGAAAGGTGCATGGAGGCAGGGCCTGCAGACCATCACCGCTCAGCCCCCTGGATTCAGCTCCTTTTCTAGCAGTATGAATGGGAGTCTAACCTCCCACTTTGCCTGAATTGTAGCCACTTTCTCTGGGAAGTGCAGATATCTAAAGCTTTTGGGGCTCCTCGTGTGCCTGAGTAACCAGCTGCTTCGCCAAGACTCCATGTAGCTCTGCGTGTCAGACTGCAGGCCCTCGTGGAATGGGTTCATGAGGGGATCTCCTGACCCAAGGGTTGCAAAAATCTATGGGAGAAGTGTGGGTCCCTGGGGTTGCTCATTCACTTACCACTTCCCTTGGTGGGGGAGGCTCCGTTGGCTCTGTGTTGCTTCTGGGTGGGTGGTTGTCTTGTCTTGCTTTTCTCCATTCTCTGTGGTTCAAGGAATTTTCTTGATGAATTTCAATGTGTGCACCTGGGAGTTTCAGTTGAAGGAACTGAATTTACCCACCTCTTCTATTTCTCTCCATGAGAGCAGTGCACAGTAACTGCTTCCAGTAACTGCTTCCAGTCAGCCATCTTGGTCAGCCTAAAATTCTTTTTTAAGAAAAGCTGTGGAAACATCATTTTAAAGCTGAGGACATTTGGTTCAAAGCTCTATCATATCTGTGCTTTTGAAGGGCAGGGACTATATCCCCCCAAATAAGCATAGTGTCAATAACTTAGTTTTATCAGCTCACTGTTGTATGCCTGGTGAGCTCCACAGATATTACTTACCTTTTCCCAAGGTTGGATAGTATGTTTGTGCCAATGCAAAATTGAGTCCAGTTTTGTAATTACTTCTTTTTCTAAGATCTTTCCTCTACATTTACTATTCCTTGGTTCACTGAGAGATCAAATGTAAATAACCTTAAGATATGAGCTCTACATTAACACTTAATGTGAAAAATGGTCTGTTTTCACCTTGGGTTAATGGAATTCCATGAGGAAAATAGATGACTTTTGGCTTTTGGCTAAATGCAAGAGGATCTTTCAGGTATCTCCAAAATACTGCCTCCCTGATTGGTGATTTCTTCATTTGGCTTACCTGTGAAAATTCCTGCATGCTTTGGTGGTGGTGCTGGTGATCTTGGGGGAAAAGCCAGGGAAAAAAGGAGAAAACAGGTGACTCTGATCTTTTACTGTGTGCAGCATAGTGATGGTTCCAGCTCCTGTCCCTTTTGATCTACTGCAACATCCATGCCAACCTCATGTTTCTGTGGGCTGCTCCCAGCTGATAAGTGAAGATGGCAAAGATTTTATGGCAGGCTTATTTTGGCAATATTAAAGAATTCTTCCAGCAAAAGACTTTGGCTTTTGGACATCCATCAGGATTTTTTTTTTCTTTCAATAGTGCTGTTGTTGAAGTTTCTTTCTGCTAAGTTCTCCTTCCATAGCTGTCAGACCTACATTGTAGTCCAATAGCACCTTGTCCCATTTCTTTCTAATAAACCCTCTGCACTCCTAACCCTGTTTTGGTGTTTGCTCCTCAGAAGACCCAACCTAATGTGTTAGTGAGAGTGCTCCAAGACAGCAGGTAGTAAGGTGGAGATTTGGAACTGGCTAACCCACTTCCTGGGGGCAAAGAGAACATCATCCTGAGTAGTGGGTTGGCCATAGATGCCCGTGGTACAAGGTAGTAGTCTAATTGCAAAAGAGTTCACTGGTGAGACTGAAAAATGTTTGGGTGGTGGGGAATGCGATTACACATGTGAGTGACAGTGAAGGTGACTGATAGCTGCTAAATTCTATTAACCCATTTCCCGTTTGCCCTGAGAATACTTGTGTCTAATCCTAATGTTACATCACATAATTTCTGTTACATTAGGATTAGAGACACGTTCTGTTTAGAAAGCACTCCAAGAACAGTTTTTATATTTTATTTTCACATTGAAAATCAGTCAGATTTGCTTCAGCCTCAAAGAGTGTGCTTATGTAGAATCAAATGAGCACTGGCAGCAAGCTGCACTTTTTTTTTTTTTCTAAATGAGAAACGGGTTAAAGCCTTGAAGAAGGGTAATGAGAAATAGAGGGCCATGGAAAAATAGCCCTGAAAATAGAAGAGGAACCAATTTTGTGATTAGTTAAGAATCATAGAAACCAAACCAAACCAAACACAAGTTTACCAACCACACCACTTTGTACCTAATAATGGGTTTTTGTTTAATTAGCTTCTGTATGTATATTTGTGTATATATGCAACCCACATATGTATACACAGACACGCAATCACTTCTCAACTTACATAAATAGACTTACTTCCCACTAAACCATCATATGTTGAAAATATTATAAATTGATAATATGTTTCGTACACCTAACCTACTGAACATCATAGCTTAGCCTAGTCTACCTTAAAGGGGCTCAGAACACTTAGATTGGCCAAGAAAATTACCTAACACATTTTAAAATAAAGTACTGAGTACCTCATGTAATTTATTGAACACTGTACTGAAAGTGAAAAACTGAATGGTTGTATGGGTAGTTGAAATACATTTTCTACTGAATGTGTGTCACTTTTACACTATTGTAAAGTAAAAAAATTGTAAGTTGAACCATCCTAACTCAGGCACTTTTGGACCCAAAATTAAGGCTGGCAACAGAAGGTAGGAAGAAATGGACATTACATTTCTGTATAACACTAGCGTCTCCTAGACAGGGAGGTTAGTTCACTCAGTGGTGAATTGCACTTGTTTCTAATCTTAAAATGCACAGATGGCATTCATTTACATCTTAGATTTGCATAGTATTTTTCCTCCAAATGATTCAGAGCCTGTACAATATAGAAAAGCATGGCGCACTTTGCTTAAAAACTTTGCTAGAAAAACTCACTGATAATTAAAGTATGGTTATGATAAAATGGGTGATATGAAAGTGGCAAGTTTGGTGTAAAAGAAATGGGACTCAGGACATCATATGTTGTGTTTTTCCTGTAGTATTTTGATTCCATTTTCCTTTGATTGAATGATTTCTAGTCTTTACTTTCTCATTCTTTCTTATCCTCTGCCTAGATTGAGCAAAGGATATTTCCTCCAATCCTGATTGCTCTTGTTACTGAATTATTTTCTCAACTGCCTGAAAATGTTTTTTCCCTTTGTTTTGGAGGCAACTCTCTTTTTGTTGTCTCTTTAGTACTGAGATCACTGATATAATTTTTTTTTTCAGAGTACAACAACATTTATTTTTCATTTCTTCTTTTTAAACTTTTTATTTTGAAATAATTATAGATTCACAAAAAGTTCCAAAAATAATGGTACAGGAGACCCTGTACCCACTTCACCTAGCCTCCACCAGTGGTAATATCTTACATAACTATAGTGCATTATCAAAACTGGGACATCAACATTGGTAAAATCCACAGAATTTGTTCAGATTTCACCAGGTTATATACACTCACTGTGTGTAATTTTTTTGTAATTGTATCATATGTAGATTTTCTTTTTATTTTATTTTTATTATACTTTAAGTTTTAGGGTACATGTGCACAACGTGCAGGTTTGTTACATATGTATACATGCGCCATATTGGTGTGCTGCACCCATTAACTCGTCATTTAGCATTAGGTATATCTCCTAATGTTATCCCTCCCCCCACCCCCACCCCACAACCGTCCCTGGTGTGTGATGTTCCCCTTCCCGTGTCCATGTGTTCTCATTGTTCAATTCCCACCTATGAGTGAGAACATGCGGTGTTTGGTTTTTTGTCCTTGCGATAGTTTGCTGAGAATGATGGTTTCCAGCTTCATCCATGTCCCTACAAGGGTCATGAACTCATCATTTTTTATGGCTGCATAGTATCCCATGGTGTATATGTGCCACATTTTCTTAATCCAATCTATCATTGTTGGACATTTGGGTTGGTTCCAAGTCTTTGCTATTGTGAATAGTGCCACAATAAACATATGCGTGCATGTGTCTTTATAGCAGCATGATTTATAATCCTTTGGGTATATACCCAGTAATGGGATGTCTGAGTCAAATGGTATTTCTAGTTCTAGATCCCTGAGGAATCGCCACACCGACTTCCACAATGGTTGAACTAGATTACAGTCCCACCAACAGTGTAAAAGTGTTCCTATTTCTCCACAACCTCTCCAGCACCTGTTGTTTCCTGACTTTTTATGATCGCCATTCTAACTGGTGTGAGATGGTATCTCATTGTGGTTTTGATTTGCATTTCTCTGATGGCCAGTGATGATGAGCATTTTTTCATGTGTCTGTTGGCTGCATAAATGTCTTCTTTTGAGAAGTGTCTGTTCATATCCTTTGCCCACTTTTTGATGGGGTTGTTTGTTTTTTTCTTGTAAATTTGTTTGAGTTCATTGTAGATTCTGGATATTAGCCCTTTGTCAGATGAGTATGTTGCAAAAATTTTCTCTCATTATGTAGGTTGCCTGTTCACTCTGCTGGTGGTTTCTTTTGCTGTGCAGAAGCTCTTTAGTTTAATTAGATCCCATTTGTCAATTTTGGCTTTTGTTGCCATAGCTTTTGGTCTTTTAGAGGTGAAGTCTTTGCCCACGCCTATATCCTGAATGGTATTGCCTAGGTTTTCTTCTAGGGTTTTTATGGTTTTAGGTCTAACATGTAAGTCTTTAATCCATCTTGAATTAATTTTTGTATAAGGTGTAAGGAAGGGATCCAGTTTCAGCTTTCTACATATGGCTAGCCAGTTTTCCCAGCACCATTTATTAAATAGAGAATCCTTTCCCCATTGCTTGTTTTTGTCAGGTTTGTCAAAGATCAGATAGTTGTAGATATGCGGCATTATTTCTGAGGGCTCTGTTCTGTTCCATTGATCTATATCTCTGTTTTGGTACCAGTACCATGCTGTTTTGGTTACTGTAGCCTTGTAGTATAGTTTGACATCAGGTAGTGTGATGCCTCCAGCTTTGTTCTTTTGGCTTAGGATTGACTTGGCAATGCGGGCTCTTTTTTGGTTCCATATGAACTTGAAAGTAGTTTTTTCCAATTCTGTGAAGAAAGTCATTGGTAGCTTGATGGGTATGGCATTGAATCTATAAATTACCTTGGGCAGCATGGCCATTTTCATGATATTGATTCTTCCCACCCATGAGCATGGAATGTTCTTCCATTTGTTTGTATCCTCTTTTATTTCGTTGAGCAGTGGTTTGTAGTTCTCCTTGAAGAGGTCCTTCACATCCCTTGTAAGTTGGATTCCTAGGTATTTTATTCTCTTTGAAGCAATTGTGAATGGGAGTTCACTCATGATTTGACTCTCGGTTTGTCTGTTATTGGTGTCTAAGAATGCTTGTGAGTTTTGCACATTGATTTTGTATCCTGAGACTTTGCTGAAGTTCCTTACCAGCTTAAGCAGATTTTGGGCGGAGACGATGGGGTTTTCTAGATATACAGTCATGTCATCTGCAAAGAGGGACAATTTGACTTCCTCTTTTCCTAATTGAATGCCCTTTATTTCCTTCTCCTGCCTAATTGCCCTGGCCAGAACTTCCAACACTATGTTGAATAGGAGTGGTGAGAGAGGGCATCCCTGTCTTGTGCCAGTTTTCAAAGGGAATGCTTCCAGTTTTTGTCCATTCAGTATGATATTGGCTGTGGGTTTCTCATAGATAGCTCTTATTATTTTGAGATACGTCCCATCAATACCTAATTTATTGAGAGTTTTTAGCATGAAGGGTTGTTGAATTTTGTCAAAGACCTTTTCTGCATCTATTGAGATAATCATGTGGTTTTTGTCTTTGGTTCTGTTTATATCCTGGATTGTGTTTATTGATTTTTGTATGTTGAACCAGCCTTGGATCCCAGGGATGAAGCCCACTTGATCATGGTGGATAAGCTTTTTGATGTGTTGCTGGATTCGGTTTGCCAGTATTTTATTGAAGATTTGTGCATTGATGTTCATCAAGGATATTGATCTAAAATTTTCTTTTTTGGTTGTGTCTCTGCCCAGCTTTGGTATCAGGATGATGCTGGCCTCATAAAATGAGTTAGGGAGGATTCCCTCATTTTGTATTGATTGGAATAGTTTCAGAAGGAATGGTACCAGTTCCTCCTTGTACCTCTGGTAGAATTCGGCCATGAATCGATCTGGTCCTGGACTTTTTTTGGTTGGTAAGCTATTAATTATTGCCTCAATTTCAGAGCCTGTTATTGGTCTATTCAGAGATTCAACTTCTTCCTGGTTTAGTGTTGGGAGGGTGTATGTGTCAACGAATTTATCCATTTCTTCTAGATTTTCTAGTTTATTTGCGTAGAGGTGTTTATAGTATTCTCTGATGGTAGTTTGTATTTCTGTGGGATCAGTGGTGATATCCCCTTTGTCATTATTTGATTCTTCTCTCTTTTCTTCTTTATTAGTCTTGCTAGCGGTCTATCAATTTTGTTGATCTTTTCAAAAAACCAGCTCCTGGATTCATTGATTTTTTGAAGGGTTTTTTGTGTCTCTATTTCCTTCAGTTGTGCTCTGATCTTAGTTATTTCTTGCCTTCTGCTAGCTTCTGAATGTGTTTGCTCTTGCTTTTCTAGTTCTTTTAATGGTGATGTTAGGGTGTCAATTTTAGATCTTTCCTGCTTTCTCTTGTGGGCATTTACTGCTATAAATTTCCCTCTACACACTGCTTTGAGTGTGTCCCAGAGAGTCTGGTATGTTGTGTCTTTGTTCTTGTTGGTTTCAAAGAACACCTTTATTTCTGCCTTCATTTCGTTATGTACCCAGTAGTCATTCAGGAGCAGGTTTTTCAGTTTCCATGTAGTAGAGCCGTTTTGAGTGAGTTTCTTACTCCTGAGTTCTAGTTTGATTGCACTGTGGTCTGAGAGACCATTTTTATAATTTCTGTTCTTTTACATTTGCAGAGGAGTGCTTTACTTCCAACTATGTGGTCAATTTTGGAATAGGTGTGGTGTGGTGCTGAAAAGAATGTATATTCTGTTGATTTGGGGTGGAGAGTTCTGTAGATGTCTATTCGGTCTGCTTGGTGCTGAGCTGAGTTCAATTCCTGGACATCCTTGTTAACTTTCTGTCTCGTTGATCTGTCTAATGTTGACAGTGGGGTGTTAAAGTCTCCCATTATTATTGTGTGGGAGTCTAAATCTCTTTGTAGGTCACTCAGGACTTGCTTTATGAATCTGGGTGCTCCTGTTTGAGGTGCATATATATTTAGGATAGTTAGCTCTTCTTGTTAAATCAATCCCTCTACCATTATGTAATGGCCTTCTTTGTCTCTTTTGATCATTGTTGGTTCAAAGTCTGTTTTATCAGAGACTAGGATTGCAACCCCTGCCTTTTTTTGTTTTCCATTTGCTTGGTAGATCTTCCTCCATCCCTTTATTTTGAACCTATGTGTGTCTCTGCATGTGAGATGGGTTTCCTGAATACAGCACAGAGATGGGTCTTGACTCTTTATCCAATTTGCCAGTCTGTGCCTTTTAATTGGAGCATTTAGCCCATTTATGTTTAAGGTTAGTATTGTTATGTGTGAATTTGATCCTGTCATTATGATGTTAGCTGGTTATTTTGCTCGTTAGTTGATGCAGTTTCTTCCTAGCCTGGATGGTCTTTACAATTTGGCACGTTTTTGCAGTGGCTGGTACCGGTTTTTCCTTTCCATGTTTAGTGCTTCCTTCAGGAGCTCTTTTAGGGCAGGCCTGGTGGTGACAAAATCTCTCAGCATTTGCTTGTCTGTAAAGTATTTTATTTCTCCTTCACTTATGAAGCTTAGTTTGGCTGGATATGAAATTCTGGGTTGAAAATTCTTGTCTTTAAGAAGTTGACTATTGGCCCCCACTCTCTTCTGGCTTGCAGAGTTTCTGCTGAGAGATCAGCTGTTAGTCTGATGGGCTTCCCTTTGTGGGTAACCCGACCTTTCTCTCTGGCTGCCCTTAGCATTTTGTCCTTCATTTCAACTTTGGTGAATACGAGAATTATGTGTCTTGGAGTTGCTCTTCTCGAGGATTATCTTTGTGGTGTTCTCTGTATTTGCTTAATCTGAATGTTGGCCTGCCTTGCTAGATTGTGGAAGTTCTCCTGGATAATATCCTGCAGAATGTTTTCCAAGTTGATTCCATTCTCCCCATCACTTTCAGGTACACCAATTAGATGTAGATTTGGTCTTTTCACATAGTCCCATATTTCTTGGAGGCTTTGTTCATTTCTTTTTATTCTTTTTTCTCTAAAGTTCTCTTCATGCTTCATTTCATTCATTTCATCTTCCATCTGTGATACCCATTCCTCCAGTTCATCGCATTGGTTACTGAGGCTTGTGCATTCATCACTTAGTTCTTGTGCCTTGATTTTCAGCTCCATCAGGTCCTTTAAGGATTGCTCTGCTTTGGTTATTCTAGTTATCCATTCGTCCAATTTTTTTTCAAAGTTTTTAACTCGTTTACCATGGGTTTGAACTTCCTCCTTTAGCTCGGAGTAGTTTGATCATCTGAAGCCTTCTTCTCTCAACTCGTCAAAGTCATTCTCCTTCCAGCTTTGTTTCATTGCTGGAGAGGAGCTGCGTTCCTTTGGAGGAGGAGAGGAGCTCTGATTTTTAGAGTTTGCAGTTTTTCTGCTCTGTTTTTTCCCCATCTTTTTGGTTTTATCTACCTTTGGTCTTTGATGATTGTGATGTACAGATGGGTTTTTGGTGTGGATGTCCTTTCTGTTTGTTAGTTTTCCTTCTAACAGTCAGGACCCTCAGCTGCAGGTCTGTTGGAGTTTGCTGGAGGTCCATTCCAGACCCTGTTTGCCTGGGTATCAGCAGTGGTGGCTGCAGAACAGCAGATATTGGTGAACCACAAATGCTGCTGCCTGATTGTTCCTCTGGAAGTTTTGTCTCAGAGGAGTACCCAGCCGTGTGAGGTGTCAGTCCACCCCTAATGGGTGGTGTCTCCCAGTTAGGCTACTCTGGGGTCAGGGACCCACTTGAGGAGGCAGTCTGCCCATTCTCAGATCTCAAACTGCGTGCGGGGAGAACCACTACTCTCTTCAAAGCTGTCAGACAGGGACATTTAAGTCTGCAGAGGTTATTGCTGTCTTTTTTTGTCTGTGCCCTGCCCCCAGAGGTGGAGTCTACAGAGGCCGGCAGGCCTCCTTGATCTGTGGTGGGCTCCACCGAGTTCGAGCTTCCTGGCCGCTTTGTTTACCTACTCAAGCCTGAGCAATGGCGGGCGCCCCTCCCCCAGCCTCGCTGCCACCTTGCAGCTTGATCTCAGACTGCTGTGCTAGCAATGAGTGAGGCTCCGTGGGCATAGGACCCTCCGAGCCAGGTGCGGGATATAATCTCCTGATGTGCCGTTTGTTATAATCTCCTGGTGTGCCGGGATATAATCTCCTGATGTGCCGGGATATAATCTCCTGTTGTGCCGTTTGTTAAGCCTGTGTGCCATTTGAAAAGCGCAGTATTAGGGTGGGAGTGACCCAATTTTCCAGGTGCCGTCTGTCGCCTCTTTCTTTGACTAGGGAAGGGAATTCCCTGATCCCTTGTGCTTCCCAGGTGAGGCGATGCCTTGCCCTGCTTCGGCTCATGCATGGTGCGCTGCACCCACTGTCCTGCACCCACTGTCTGGCACTCCCCAGTGAGATGAACCCGGTACCTCATTTGGAAATGCAGAAATCACCCATCTTCTGCATTGCTCACGCTGGGAGCCGTAGACTGGAGCTGTTCCTATTTGGCCATCTTGGCTCCATCCCCACTGATATAATTTTTTAAGTGGTGACTTATATATCTTGGTTTTTATTTATTACCATTTGACCTTTTAAATTTTTGTCTAAATAATAAAAAAACTTTATCAGAAATGTTCCACAAAAATCTAAGTATAAATAGTGCAGTCTTAAGTTATTGCCACAAGAGTGGTTCTTAGTGATAAGTATAGGAAGCAAAAGACTTCTGGTCAATGTCACAATGTTGGATGTATATTCTAGTTCACACTTGTCCTTTTGTTAATAAAAAAATTGAAGTCTAGATATGTTAAAACTGGTGGTCAGCTTTATCCAGGAACGAAAAGAGAAAATTTCACCATTTGGGGCTCTTACCTTACTCTTTTTAATAGAATTATAATATAAAATTACAGCTAGATAGGAGGAATAAGTTATAGTGGTCTATATCATTGTAGGATGACTATAGTTAACAATAATATATTTTATAGTCTCAGACAGCTAGAAGGAGGATATTGAACATTCCTAACACAAAGAAATGATAAATGTTTATGATGATGGATTTACTGATTATCTTGTTCTGATCAATATACATTATATGTATTGAAACTTCACTATGTACCTGATGAATATGCACAATTATTATGTCAATTATAAAATGAAATTGAATTAAAAATAAAAATATTATGGTTAACATTTTTTAAAAATGGAACTATGAGTTTAACACATTCCATAATGTACCTCTCTTTTGAAAAGAATCAGTTTAGAATTTTGTAACCTTTTTTTTTGTGGTTTTCTTTTTAATTATCTTTAGTCTTGTGATCACACATAATTTTAAAATTTGTGCATATCTCCGTTACCTTAATCCTTTTAAGTTGGCAAAAGCACCATTCCCAATCACATATACCCAGTTCTACAGTTTTATATTTCTGAATGGCTGTTTAAAGACAATCCTAAAGTATAACTTAGTTTGACTTAGATTGTAAAGAATTCAAGAGTGAAGTTTAACTTGCTACTATTTTAAAAGCATGTGACCTTAGAGATCTTTAAGATGTGAGAGGTGTTGAATAATCTTTAATATTACACATAAACCACACTAAAATGCCTTTCAATAAGTAAAGGGAACCATTTTAAATACAGGGAATTATAATTAGATTGGCGTAGTTAAGACCAAAACTATAGACATTGCTACCATATTTATCTTCAACCCTTGCCTTTAAGAGGCAAATGAACACAAAACACATGTGAATCTTGCTTGGTTCTAAGACAGTGAAGGAATTTCCCCAGTATTTAAATATATTCACATAACCAGTTATATAAATCTAAATATAAAACCAATCTCCAGTATAAGTTTTAAGATGGCACTCATCATCTTTGTGAAAAGTTGAACATTACTAATGAAGTCTAATCATATCTTTAAAAGGGGTAAACAGTGATAGCATTTACTGAATTGGAGTTACTATTAAAATTCAAAAACTGAACATATTCATTTAACCACAAGCCAGGCTTAGTTTTAAATCAGGACTGCCCAATAAAATATTCTGTCAGTCATTCATGATCTGAATTCTGGTGTATGAGATCCATTAAAGGATGGTACACATAAAAAAGTCATGAGACATTTCTGTCTTGTAATAAATAAGGCAGTGGCCAATTATTACTCATTAGTAGCTTTTTTGAGATAAGCTATCAAGTCTGCCCTTTCTTCCTTCTTCTTAATGCTGACAAAGATCATTTTTGTTCCAGGGATGTACTTCTTGGGATTCTCCAAATACTCCATCAGTGTATCCTCTCCCCAGATGATGCATTTGTTCTTATTGGCGGCTGTGTAAGAGTATCCAGGGGCCTGACCTGTCTTCCACCTGAAAAGACCATGGAGATTTGGCCCAATCTTGTGCTTTCCTCCCTTTTCAACAGTGTGGCACTGGGAACACTTCATAATAAAAATCTTCTTGCCTTTCTCAACATCACCCATATTTAATTCTCTTTTTAGTCACTGGCGCAATGAAGACTCCCACTGCGAAACTGGACGTCCGCACTCTCTGAATTCTGTAACTTTTAACTGACTTTTTTTGGTAATGTAAAAAAGAATTATTCAGGATAATATTGAGGACTACTTAAGGGAATAAATAGCAGATGACACCTCACCACCCAAAGCACAATTGCCTGAGGAGAGGGTGGATGGGAGATGCAGACTTGGGATAATGATGGCTCTCTTGAATATATTGTCCAAATTGCTGCATTTGCAACAAATATGTAAAAGATATGTGCTGTCATTACATTTTGAGTGCCATGGTGATGGGATGTCAGAGGAAGTAGTGTGAAGATGAAATGGGAGAGTTCCCTGTACCCTTTCATGGGACTTGCAACAGGAGTGTGGCTCATTTGTTTGGCTGCCACATGCTCAAACCCCTTACAGGATGGGGAGCACATAGGTGAGCAGGTGCAGGAGCCAGGGTGAGTGCTTTTGGGCCCTTGCCCCATGGCAGTGTCTAGGAGTATTACAGTGCTCTCTTAGTCCTGCTGTCTGGGGATGGCTTAGGTGTTAAACCGCTCAGTGAAGAGTCAATGTGACAGCCTTTTTGGGTTCCCACACTCAGTGAATCCTGGATTCTTGTCCCGCATCCAGTAAGAATCAGGTCACATGGACTTAAGGATAGTGAATGTGGGGATTTTATTGAGTGATGGAGGTGGCTGTCAGTGGGATGGGGAGCTGGAGAGGGGATGGGGTGGGGTGGGAAGATTATCTTCCCCTGGAGCTCGGCTGTTCTGTTTGGTCGATCTCCTTTCCGACCATGCTCAGGTGAACTCTCAGTGTTCAGATGCTTCCTCTTTTCTCTCCTTGTCTGCTGCTCTGCTGCTTGTGGAGCCTGGGGTCTGAGGTTTATATGGGTACAGAATAGGCAGGTATTTTGGGCCAAAAGGCAACATTTGGGCACAAAAACTGAAATTCTTGTTCTCACTTAGGGCCATGGTCCAGGCTTGAGGGTAAAGCCCTCTCTCCAGGGACCCCACCCTCATGCCTCCTGTCCATATCAAATAGACGACTGCTGGACATAAAATAAATATATATAAATAGCCTACAGGTGGTGCCATTTTGTGTGTGTACTTTTTCCAACAACACACTGCCCAGGCCTCATTTCTCTACTGACCTTTGCATGCCCCCGAAACCTGTGACTTCTTTCAACTCCCCTTCCCCTATTCCCACACCTTGATAAAAACTTTTGAGTTAAAAATGCCCATTGTGTACTTATTTGTTAGGTTGTTATATTTCTTAACCTCCTTAAATATAGAAGAGGAATTAGGAGCTGGCCAAATCTGGCCTGCAGCCTATTTTATGGTAAATACATTTTTATTGGAACACAGCCATTCCATTTGTTTAAGTATTACCTATGACTTTAAGAGTTGAGTAGTTGTAACCAAGATGACATGGCCTGCAAAGCCTGAAATATTTGCTATTTGGTCTTTTACAGAAAAGTTAGATAAACTCTGATATACAAAGTCCCCTATTCCCTTTTTACTGCACGTTGACTTATTGAAGAAAGTAGGCAGTTTTCTTGTAGAGTGACTCATATTTTTAATTTGTTCTGGATTTTTTATTTTTTGGTGGAGGGGTGTTGTTCAACTTGTTTCTTCACCTCCTTGTTTCTAAAACTGGAAGTTAGGTTTAAAATCTTTATTAGATTAATGAAAATTTTTAAAAATCTATAAATTTTCTCATTATCTCAATAGCCTCCTTTTGCCCTTATTTAATTAGGCAAGAATTTCTTAGGAGAGGAATAAAAATAAAAATAGTTAATGTTTATTGCATGCTTACCATTTGCCAAATGTACTTGTCAATGTTGAATAGACAATAAAGATGCAAAGGGAAATCTATTATATAGGTGAAGGGAGGCACCAGGCTTATTTATTTAGTAGAAATAAACGAATTAAGAAATCCAGGGGAAGGTAGCCGTTCAGCAAAACCTTGAAGAAAAAACAAAAAGGAAAGAAGGAGGGGGCAACTGAAGAATGTTTATATTCTTGTTATTTCAAAGAAAGATGCATACCACACATAGTGGGAATTTAACAAACATTACTAAGAGTCTCAATAAAGACCAAAAGTAGAACGATGTATACAACTTTTGGTTGTCCTATAAAAAGAGACCCTGTGTTGGCTATTCTCTGTTTCATCCCCACCATTCTGAATTCATTCATTACTTTTCTGCCCTGCTCTTTGCTACAGGAGGCTGACTTCTACAATCACCTAGCTCCCTTGCCTTCTGGCTTCCGATTGGGGTAGGTCAATGGATGACATCCACAGCAGATCTATGGTGTCGGCAGAATAGGAGTAATAGGGACAGGCTGTTTACTCAACATAATTCTATGGATATAGGCTAGAGGTTCAGATAAGCCAGGTGGTGGGAAGTTTCTACCTAAAGAAGTGGTGTTATTTAGAAATGTGAGAAAAGATAAAAATAACTAAGGAAGAATGGGGGATGTACCGCTGGATGAGCAGCAACTTGAAGCAGTCTTGGCACTAAAAAGGGACAGGGTTGGAGCGGAGCTGTGGGCAAAGGGAGTGCTAGGTAGGAGAGAGGCAGAGTCCAGGTAAGGATGCTCAGATGATGTCATGAAATGCTTGATTTTCTGGTGATTAGAGGTAGTCCTCAAATAAATTTTCCACTAAAGAGATCTTAGACAGTATCAGTACAACACAGCACCTTATAAAGAAATTTATCCTTCAGTATTGAATATAACCAGTCTATTTTGATTACCAGGTTTGTCTTTCTCCGTTAAATAGCTATCCTGGGTAACTAGTTCTTTTTAAGTTGATCAGTTCCCTTTTCTCCCTGGAGAAACTAAGAAAACAATACAATACAACTAGGTCTGCCACTTTTCCTTCCCTTTCCAGAGGCAAAAGTGCCTGATTCCAGCTTTCAAGGGAAAACTTTCATACTAGTGAGTGACTATTTGGAGTGTGCAGAAACACTTCAAAGATTTCTGAAAAATTGCAAAGAAAAGCTTGATTACCTTGAGCCAAGAGAAGAGGAGACATTTGCATTGGAAACAGATTCAATAGAACTGCTGGTCAGCAATTAGTCTGCTAATCATGGCTCTTTTAAATTTATTTAATAATTGCCAATTAAGTAATCCCACCTGCAAAGCTGGTGCTTGGCTCTGAGAGAGACAGCAGCAAACAAATATTTACATGGCACCACATTCCCATGCACAAGGGAATTTTAAGTGGACCATTGATTTTCTTAAATAAGAAAGTCACTGGAGGTGAGACACGAAACTATTTTAAATGGTGAAGCAGCTTTCTTTGGATAATGTGCCAAATTTCCCTTTCGCATATGCCTCAGTCACTGTTGTCCTCTCTGCTGATGACTGACTGTTTGGTGATGGTTAGGGGCAATAAATATAAAAACTTGATAGTCACTTCTTTTAAAAAATCAAAGAAGGCCGGGCGCGGTGGCTCACGCCTGTAATCCCAGCACTTTGGGAGGCTGAGGCAGGCGGATCACAAGGTCAGGAGATGAAGACCATCCTGGCTAACACGGTGAAACCCCGTCTCTACTAAAAATACAAAAAAATTAGCTGGGTGTGGTTGGGGGGGCGCCTGTAGTCCCAGCTACTTGGGAGGCTGAGGCAGGAGAATGGCATGAATCCGGGAGGCAGAGCTTGCAGTGAGCCAAGATTGCGTCACTGCACTCCAACCTGGGGGACAGAGCAAGACTCCATCTCAAAAAATAAATAAATAAATAAAAATAAAAAAATAAAAAATCAAAGAAAATAAATCAAATGGAAAGAAGTATCTCAATTTTATTAGATTTCTATGGCTACTGTAACAAATTATCATGAACATAATGGTTTAAAACAGCATAAATTTAGTATCTTACAATTCTATGGTTTAGAAGTCCAACATGGGTCATACTGGACTAAAACTGGGGATCTTTAGAGCTGTGTTTCTGGATGCTTTAGTGGAGAATTCATTTTCTTGCTTTTTCCAGTGTCTAGATGCCACCACATTCCTTGGCTTGTGGCCCCTTCCTTCTTCTTCAAAGAAGCAACAACTGGTTAAGACTTTCTCATATCAGTTCAGCCTCTGTAGAAAGTAGTTTGGAGATTTTACAACGAGCTGAAAATAGAATTAGCATTCGACCCAGCAATCCCATTACTAGGTATATACCCAAAGGAAAATAAATTGTTCTACCAAAAAGACACCTGCACATGTTTACTGCAGCACTATTTACAATAGCAAAGACATAGAATCAATCTAGGTGCCCGTCCATGATGGATAGGTTAAAGAAAATGTGGTACATATACACCATGGGATACGATGTGGCCATAAAAAAGAATAAAATCACGTATTTTGCAGCAACATGGATGCAGCTGCAGGCTATTATATTAAGCTAATTAACACGGAAGTAGAAAACCAAATACCCCATGTTCTTACTTATCAGTGGGAGCTAAACTTTGGGGGCACATGGTCATAAAGATGGAAACAATAGACACTGGAGAGTACTAGAGCAGGGAGGGAGGTAGGGAACTTGGGTTGAAAACTATCTATTGGGTGTTATGTAACTATTTGGGTGTCAGGTTCAATTGAAGCCCAAACCTTAGCATCATGCGATATACCATGTAACAAATTTGCACATGTACCCTCTGAATCTAAAAAAAAAAAAAGCCTTTCTCATATCATGTCGTCTTGACCCTTCTATCTTCAGTTTTCCTTCTCTGGCTGTGACTCCTTTTCTGCCTCCTTCTTTTTCTTTTAAAAACCTCAGGAATTGGCCTAGCGCGGTGGCTCACGCCTATAATCCCAGCACTTTGGGAGGCCGAGGCGAGCGGATCACGAGGTCAGGAGATCGAGATCATCCTGGCTAACAGGGTGAAACCCCATCTCTACTAAAAATACAAAAAATTAGCTGGGCGTGGTGGCGGGTGCCTGCAGTCCCAGCTACTAAGAGGCTGAGGCAGGAGAATGACGTGAACCCGGGAGGTGGAGCTTGCAGTGAGCGGAGATCGCGCCATTGCACTCCAGCCTGGACGACAGAGTGAGACTCCGTCTCAAACAAAAACAAAAACAATAAAACACCTCAGTAATTACAGTGGGCACAATGGAATAAACCAGAATAATCTTCCTATCTTACGGTGGCTTACTAGCACCTTAATTCCATCTGCAACCTTCATTCCTCTTTTCTATGTAATATAACATATTCACAGGCTCTGGAATTTACGATGGGCACGTCTTTGTGGTTGGGGTGGGTCATTATTCTGCCTCTTACTTTAACCAACAATTAGTGATCTTTGGTGAGCCTTTGGTATGTTACTATGTCTGTGCTGGACACTCTGAAAGATGTAAGAGATGAATAAGGCAAGATGCCTGTTCTTCTTTAACATAGACACCAATTAGTTGCAGAGCAAAGATGAACACATACAGAACAATAAGTGGATGCTGTGGAGCTCACACATTGGCAGCCAGTACACTAAATGTGTGTTGTATGTGTGTGTGTTTGTTTGGTGGGGACATGGACCTCCTGATTCCCGACAGTCCTCATGGAGCTGATACCTGGAAAATTTTACTCATCTATACCAGGAGGCTTACCTTCAAAAGCATCTGAGATCTCCATCATGATTAACAAATCGCATGCATTCTGTGTGCAGGCATAGTTTTGAAAAGAAAAGAAAAATGAGAGAAGGCATTGTAAAAACAACTCCAGTCAGTTCTTTTTATTTCAAACTATTGATTACACCCCCCCCCATTAAATCATTGCCCTTCATAATCAGGTGTTTGGAAATGTTTCAATCACGTGGCCTCAATCAAAATTGCTATAACAATCCGTTGTGAAGTTATTTTTTGATGTTCTATCAATTTTTCATTTTTCTCTTACCTATTTTTTCCTAAATAAAAAAATTAGCTATTTACTTCAAGTTAATTTCTAAGAAATAGGTTAAAAATCAAGTGTGGATATTGGCGAGCCTAGAATTATCTGGGAAAATAACCATCTGTCCCTCACTAGCAGTTAGCTTCTTAATAAATGCTAACACCTGGAAACATTTTCTAAATATCAGTTACTCAAAGGACATATAGATGGTACAATCCTAAGGAGAACAGAATAAGCAAGACTCATGGATAATGGGACAGGGCTGTCCCTGCACTTCAATAACAATCTTTCCAGCAAGCTCGAGAAGTTGTCTACTGTGTGGAAGGGTTAAGCCATTAACCTTAACAATGCCAATGTGTTCTCATTTTCAAATCCCACTTAATTAGTATCCCAGGTAATATTTAAGAACAAATTTCTTACAGAGGAACAAGTGAAAGCATTAGCTGCTCGTAAACATGATAGTCTTTTGAGACACAATGAAGGAAAATGATGCCAGGCAGAATATAAACTGTTATCGATGTAAATGGTAAGGAAATCTGAGCCAAGAGGATATATTGCCAGCAAGGTAGGTCACGTACTATAGTGCAGCGTTGTCCTGTATAGCAGACACTCCTGCCAGTGATGACTGGACCCAAGCATGCCCTGAGATGACCTTTACAGCAGACACACCTGCCGTAAAGATGAATGTGTGGTCAGAATGAGTTAGGGAATCCAAGATTGGCCAACATGGAGATCCATTCCTTAACTGTGAGGAACATCTGAGCCCCCGGCCCTTCTGTGAGACGGAGACCTTACAGGGCATTGAGGCGCTTTGTTTTGGAGTAAATGAAGTTTGTCAGGTGGAGATTGTTAGGGGGAAAGTGTCAGGTGAAGATGCTGTATAAACTGCATGCCTTTCGCAAGTGGTTGTGTTTCTCCGCCCAGCCCACTGCCACTTGGCTGTGTGCTTCTCCTATCCAACCCACTGCTAGCAGGCTCTGTCTCCTGTATGTAAGCCCTTGATAAAACCCATAACTTGTTTGCTTATCTGGGTCTCTTCTTTGGCCATTTGAACCTGGATTGAATTGGATATCTACCTCAGAAGAAGAAATGTTTCGTGTTGGGAATGTGAGAGTTAAAAAAAAATTTGGAACCTGCCTCGTAAAAAGGTAGGTATCCAAATACGTATTTTAAATGGTGGGGGTGGGGTGGGGGTGGGGGAGTGAGTGCTTGTGGTGTATATGTCTCATTTGAGTTGGGTGAACTTTATATTATAGTAATGACTACTTCTGATGATTGAGTCTAATGAAAAATTTTGTCTTCTGATTTATAGTTTATTTCTGTAAAGTGTTGCCAAGATGTATAAATAGAAGCACATTGGCTGTGTGTTTCATTTATTGCATATACTGAAATGAATACAATTGCATGAAACTCTGGTTGTCTTATAGAATACCTGCTGAGTGATCATCATAGTTACTTTAAGCTATTTTCCACCCTCCTCAAAAACTCTTTTCTTCAAATGTAGTTTGATTGAAAGCATATTGGCAGTGTTCACAAATCTTGTGCCTAAAGAAAGATATTGCTTTTAATTTGGAGACTGTCAGTATGACCAAAGTGTGATAGATAGAAAAGGCTATTTCTTAAGAAATATATTTAAAAATGTGTTCTTTAAGAAAAATACTTTTTTTTTCTAAAATTTCTGGATTGTTGATGTTAGATTGGTTAGATTGATTAATTTCAATCTAATACTATTGTTCTCCCCCTGTGTTTTCTGGAGAAAAGAATTGACCTATTATTAGCTTTGTATTTTGAGGTTGTGATTAATTGTTTAGGAAGCTATCTTTATTGCACAATTTCTGTCGGGTGTTTATGGATGTATTTAATATCCCTTTACAACTCCTAGGACAAACATATCTGAATCATGGCTTCACCAAAATCAAGTTGGCTTATTATATGTAAAGATGTACAGAATCGTGGGTAAAAGGAAGGGCAAAGACCATGTTCTAAATACCCAGAGGCCAATTATCTTCATAGCATGCAGGCAGCATTATATGGGTTATGGATCAAGTTATTTCCCAGCAACGCTGCTTACTCTGTACTTAACAACTGTCCACGTGCCTAATGTAGCATCTTTGCAATCAAGAGACATGTTTAGCTATCCCTCTTCTCTCTCTCCTTTCCATTTCCTTCCTTCCTGTGTTTTTCAAGACGAAGTACTACTATGTAGAAGTACTCTGTGCATTTTTGTCAAAGGCCACTGTCAAGGGTCCTTAGATAAAGCATAGTTTGATTTTTGCCCTTAGGTAATCTAATGTATCAGAGTTATAGGTGCCTCAAAATGGTTCTATAGATACTGGTTACCAAAACTTCCATATTACTGTGAATTAATCCATGGAAAGTATTTGAGACCTTAATAGATGTCTGAATAAGCATCATACACACCTTCCACCCTCAGAGAGCTTATAGTTCAGGAAAGGAAAAAACAATAGTGGACATTAAATTATTACTCAACAATTAAATCTGAACTGTGTGATGGTGATATTTTGAATACAAATAGGTATTTAAAAAGTGAGAAACTAATGAGACAAGGAGGAGTTGAAAAACATACTGGTAGAAGTAGAGATAAGGAATTAGTTGAAAAAATTTCTACTCCTTTTAGCTTTCGTTATACAGGCAAGGCTTCGGACTACATTTCAGTAATAAACCAAACCATTTGGTTCTTATTTGATGAATTCCATAGCCATTTCTGTGTGAGTCTTATTATGGTTTGTTTTGAGACAGGATCTCAATCTGTCACCCAGGCTGGAGTGCAGTGGCACAATCATGGCTTACTGCAGCCTTGACCTTCTGGGCTCAGATGATCCTCCCACCTCGGCCTCCCAAGTAGCTGGGACCACAGGCATATGCCATGACACCTGGCTAATTTTTGGAATTTTTTGTAGAGGTGGGGTTTCACTGTGTTGCCTAGGATGTTCTCTAACTCTTGGGCTCAAGTGATTTGCCTGCCTCACCCTCCCAAAGTGTTGGGATTGCAGACGTGAGCCACCATGCCTGGCCTCTATATAAGTATTATAATCTAAAATAATTAAGAATGATTCTTATAGGTTTAAGAGAACTATTTTTTTCTATAACCCCTATGTCTCATGGGATAAGACAACTCTTGTTAATCATGAGTTCCCACTGAGACTGGGAAATTAGTGCTGGACAGGTATCATTGCGATGTAGCTCTCAGAGAAGTCTGAAGCCCAAGTCCCAGAAATACTGAAATGTGAAATAAAGTAAAATGTATAATAGCTGCAGAATCATTGACTTCAGGGCATCTGTGCAGACTGTCTTTGGTTTGTCCTTCCAGATCTATTCTAAGCCCTGTGCTGTGCTTGGGAGGTCGACCAGTATAGATATAATGAAGAGATGCTTTGCTTCCGTCTTCCAGTTGGATTGGGTCGGTGGCAGACTCTGGCAAGATACCAGAGGGAGGGAGAAGAATGAAGTTGGAGTATCGATCCCTCTGGCTTACTCCTTGGGGGTTATGATGAGTTGGCTGCCTCAGTTGATTGAAAGGTCACAATGCCTGTTAGGTGGTCCTCTTTTTTATAGCTGTCTCTCCAGGTTCTATTACCTGACCTATTTTCTTGCTCCTTCAGTTCTTGGAATTGCAACCACTATTACTAGTCCTGTGGCACTGCTCCAACCCTTGTTGCTTTTCCTAATCTCTGCCCATTTTTTGGGTAAATATTGCCTTTATTGCACTCTCCTCTACCAAGCTTCAGTGTGCTGCTGATTGATTTCTTGTCTTATGCAGATTCAAGGATGGCAGAGGAGCTGGGAGTAGTCCCATGCACTCAGAGTGGCCCTTTGGACCATTTCTTCCCAGCCATGTTGAAGTGGCTAACTTGGGTTAGCCTATGTGAGTTTAAGCCTGGAGTAAAACTAACTGATGCAGAGGACAGTTGGCAGTGGTCAATCAACCAGTAACTTGCTTGAAATTATATTCACTTCAGACAGTTTGTCCACGCTACTTCTCAAGAGTTTGAGCATCCCAAAGCAACTGACCCACCATCCAGTTATAGGAAAATGGTGCAGTTGACTGCCAGCCACTCTCTTCAACATTCTCTGTAGCTATACCAGTATCACTTCCCACTTGCACTTGCGAAAAAGCATTGAATTCCACACACTACTCAATTAGCAAAAACACTAATGGCTTGATTTGCATGTAAAAATGCTGTTTGCACAAAAATATTGAGTTTTGTGCACACAAATGATTTGCTTATACAAAATTGTATCTAAAATTTTTGGTTTTCAAAAACTTACTACTTAAAGTTGATGGTCTTAGAGCAGTTATTACAGACAGGAAAACAACCTAATGACAGCCTTTCTTCCTCCACGTGCATTCTTATCCCTTATTCGGAGTCTGCACATCCTATCTGCTTATCTTCACTGCTCTCCCCTGAATCTGCCTAGGAGATTCAAGGGAGAGGGGGAGGAAGGAGGAGCAGGCTGACATCCTGCTTCATTTCCTATTGACAGCTGAGCTCTCATCAGAGTCTTGCAACCAGTGATGATGTGCAAATGAAGATCTCTTAAGGATTTGCAAGTCCCAGGTGGAACTCATGGCGAAGGCATTTAAAAAACAAAACTGTCTTTAGACGTGTGAACTGATTAAGTGTGATATGCCCTTCCCTGCAAGGGTAAGCTCAGGGAACTCTGAAGAACTATCCCACTCGTAGGATGGTTGCTCAGATGGCAGTCACTCATTCTGAGGGGACATTTAAAAAATCCCAGAGGCAAACTCGGAGCTTTCCCCTGGAGCTTGGTGAGATCACGGCGTTGAACAGCCGTGGGGCTCTCCACAGCCTGGACAATTTTGTTCCAGTCATACAGTGATATTTTCTATATGAGTGAATGAACGTTTACCACTGTAATTGGTAACTTGTGTGAAAGCTTTAGACTCCTTTCAGTCAACCAACTTGGCCAAGTAAATATTTATTTCCTACTATGGGCTTGGCATCATGTAGACCGCCAAATAAATACTGTCAGGATCCTTGGTCTTAAGGAGCTTATAATAATCTTTTTGGAGTTTAATGAAACGTGAAGTGAAATAAGGAATGAAGAATACAACATAGTACCATTTTCAATATTTATTGAGCACTAAATGTTAGCCATCGAATTAAGCATAAAATGGTGGTCTTTGCTTTGATTCTGAGGTGCTTATAATCTGGGTGGTGAATGATGTGGGCACAGGTTTTACTATAGAATTTATAGAAGGGAGGGGTCATGGTAGATTGGCATAGTTGAGGAAAGACGTAGAGTTTGAATTGGATCTTAAGAGATGGGTAGGATTTAAACGGGTGAAGATAGAGATCAGCTGTAATCTAGAGGAGGGGAAATACAGGCTTAGTATCTGGAATACATGATAGGATTGGTAAGGAAAGGAGACAACGGGCTTTTCTAACACTGGAGAGTTTATCTGGAGAGTGGTAGAGAATGTGTCCTTATGGGTTTGAGTCTTGCTCTGCAAGGTTTAAAGACAGCGACCGTCACTGTGAAGTGTGATGGGGAACATCAGTTAGGTGGCATGTGGTCCTACCAGTAACTGTTTGCCTTGCACTCTTTTCTCTTTAATTACCAGTCTTCTGTCTTTTACAATAGTTTGCCTTTTCTTCTTCAGAGAAGTGCTATGTGAGCTCTTGTGTTATATGCGGGAACATTTCAGCAGTGTGCCAGCAAAAACCGCATCATCCATCATGCCAGACAAAACTCAGCGATGAGGGAGGAGGAGAAGTTTGCTTTTCACTTAGGCACAAAGGTCGTAGGCAGTCTGCTTGCAGTTTATTTTTCAGTCCCAATATTTTGGTGTACACCTTTTTTCTTTTACTTGTCCGACTTGCAGCATTCTTTGCCCTTTTCAACTTCTTTCTTATATGAAATGTATTTTACAAGCCTCTGTCAAGTTCTCTACAAACTATCCTTGATGCACAAAGTCCAGAGGGCTTTTAAAAATTTTCTCATCTTGTACCGTTCAGGGAACCCTGATAAATCCTTTCTTCTTGTTAAGGGCCCCTCTCTGCTCTGCTGGGAGGTCAGTGCTGGAAGGGCCATAGTGATAGAGGAGAGGAGCAAGAGGGTGACAAATGGAAGGAAAGTACTTCTGCACCAGCCAGCAACTCACTCGCTCTCTCACACTTGCAGTGTGAGGCAGGAAGGAGGGAGCAGGCTGGGAATACAGAGGAATCTCAGGCTGGATTGGTAGAATGGAAGTAGTCAAAGGTGGATGAGATCTAGTGAGTAACTTGGATTGGACCTCCCACTAACATGGATGATCAGAGCAAGTTGGAGAATGAGAGTCTGGCTGCAGGCAAAGAGTCTTTGCTCATTGCGGTGATGGTGAGTTATAGACAGGCAGGTGTCAGAAAGCAGAGCCACAGACAAAACCAGGAAGACACCACAGCAGAAGGAATAGTGATAGAAAAGGCGCTACGTTCAGGTGCAGAGACTGATACTAGTGGTTTTTTTTTTTTTTTCTTTTTGAGACAGAGTCTCGCTCTGTTGCCTAGGCTGGAGTGTGATGGTGCAATCTTGGCTCACTGCAACCTCCACCTCCTGTGTTCAAGGGATTCTCCTGCCTCAGCCTCCCCAGTAGCTGGGATTAGAGGCATGCGGCAACATGCCCAGCTAATTGTGTATTTTTAGTAGAGATGGGGTTTCACCATGTTGGCCAGGCTGGTCTGGAACTCCTGACCTTAGGTGATCCACCCTCCTTGGCCTCCCAAAGTGCTGGGATTACAGGCATGAGCCACTGCGCCTGGCCTCAGTTGCCTTTTGAAACCCACCACAGAGAGGAAGATGTGTTCTTCTTGAGGAATAGGACTCAACACAGGGGCAAAGTTAATGACTACAGGGCTGGGTGGGTAATTAAAGAGTGAGGAAAGTGAGGAATAATATTTTTTAAAAATCAGTTCACAGCAGGGACCAGGGCCAGCTGGAAGCCACATTCTGTCCGTCTAAAGGGAACCACTTTTTCTCAGCTCCGGGAAACAGTTGGCCCAGAGTTAAACAACCCTTACGTTGCCAGCTCTTCTGATTTTTTTTTAAAAGAGAAAGTAAAAAAAAAAAAAAAAATTTTAGTAAATTTACCTTTTTCCCTAAATGTTAGAAGCAAATTAAGTTTTTTTTAAAAACAAAACCAAAAACAAACAAAAACACCGTAAGGGCCAAGATTGTGGGGGCTAAACCAAACACCACTTTGGGCTGCCAGTGTGCAGCTTCTAAAAGGAGAAAGGATGTGAGCCCTGAGGTTGAACGGCCTTCTTATCTCAGTTCCCTACTGCCTGTAAAAATCTGTGAACCTGGGATACTTGCCTTTCCAAGTCTCAGATGCCTCGTACACAAGAGGTAGACAATGATAGTTTTGTCTCAGAGCATTGTAATGTTTACTAATATATGTATAGTAGCATCTATTTTATTATTTAAAAAAAAAGACTTTCATATTGGAGGCAGCTTAGAGGCAGAACTGTGGAGGCTGGAATCAACATCAGTTTGACCAGTCAGGGCTAAGCAGGTAACTGGAAGTACAAAAAGGCCCTTGAAAGTGGTCATCTTTACCTGGCAGTATATGAGTGGGACATTTGACTCTGGAACTAACGGAAAAACAAGGAGGGGAGAAAAAGAAAAACTAGAGGTGATAACTGGTGAGAAATAGTGTTTCTTAGAGTTAGAGCCATTAGACCGTGATACTTTAGTTTCTAAGGAGAAAACCAGAATGGAGAGAAAAAGTAGTGCATTCTCTCATGCCAAGCAGGTTCCATGCTTTATATCTTTAGTGGTATTGTCCAGCACACATTCTACTTGGTTGGGGTGGAGGGACTGGGGTGGGTGGGGGGTGGTGTGGGTGAGAAAGAGAGGCAGGCCTTGGTTTCTGTTTCCTACCCCCACCCCCATCCACCCAGCCCTACGGTGTAAGGAGAATAGTGATTGGTCATTGCTTAGACTTCCAGATAATAATTAGAAGAAGAGTTTTAAGTTCTTATGGTCTGTTCTATATCAGATCTTGTGCTTATACCTGATACATATTAGGTGCTTAACTCTGAAGGTAAATATCAGTTCCATTTTACTTGTGAGGGAACTGAGGTTCAGCACAGTTCAAGATGGTACTCTGGTTCACACAAAGCTCAATGACAGAGCTCATATACCAATCTCAGTCTTTTTGAAGCTTCACACTGTATAAAACTGTCTCCCATCAGTGAGGGGAAGGGAAAGTTTGAGGTGCTGCTGGGGCCTCTTTGTCTTTAAGCCCTTGAAGGACATGGATTCTGTAAGTTAGGGGGGCATCTCAAACCAACTATGTTTTATGTCAGTATTCAGGATTGAATACGGCATCACATTGTCCTGAGGCTGATAAATCCTGAGGAATTAGCCTTCAGGTCATTCAGGACATTCTCTTCCTGGGCTGTCTTCAGCCATGTTTTTACTCAGCTTTCTTCCCCAAACCCCTTTGTTTGGAGCAGGATAGACTACTATTCCATATACTCATCCCTGTATTTCACAGTGCATTTTTCCTTTGAAGAGAGCAAAGCTTGTGGAAGTCCTAGCCTGAAGCTTGGTTTGGGGAAGAGATTGGTAGGTAGATTTGGAATGTCAAAAGTGTTTTCCTCGATTGTGTAGGAAGTATGATGCTAGGATGATATTTTATAAATGGTAGTAATAACAGTAACTATTGAAAAGAAGAAAAAGAAAAAGGCAAGTTAGTTTGATACATCTACCAATTCTTCTTGGCTGAAGAAAAAGCATCTAGGGACCAAAGGCTGATGTGATAGAACACTGATATGGGGGAGGTGAAGGAGTCTTAGAGGGAAGCCTAGTCCACCAGGTAAGCAATGAAATAAGTTATTTTTCAGAGCACTGTAGGGAACTGGAATCCATGCCTTATCTCTGAAGGATACAATGTACTGGACGGAGTTCTTGGCAATGATGCCCATAGGATTTTACTTCATAGGTGGGAGCAAGGCCTCGACAAACAAAACAGATAACCATATAACACAAAGATACAAGTGCTATCAAGGTAGTTAATAAGTGGTCATCATGTCCTTATTGACATGACATCAGACTGAAGGGATAGTCCTCTTCCTCAGTCTAAAAGGAGTGTAGAAAGTACCATATCTGGGACTTGTAACCTACTCTCAACCTCCATCCATCCTCCATCCCCTCCTTGACACCAATATGTCATTATCTTTCCTTCTCTCTCTAACCTTTTATCTTCCTGTCTTCCATCTGCTACCTTGTTTTCCTTTCCTCTCTCATCCAAGTGGCCAATGAATCTTTTTGGTTCTTCCTCCTGTATATATCTCCATAAATCTCTTCCCTTCTATCTATTCCTCATGCTACTAGGTTTCTCTTTTTCAATCCCTCCTACTTCACCTAGTGTTAAGTACCGCCTTGGTAGCATTCTTTTCCCCCTAAATCTGACATGAAGCTCTGCCATCCATTGATGAAGGCTGAACTCCTTGATGTACAATGCCCCTTAGACATTTTTCCATGCCTAAACCACAGACCAATTTTTTTGTCACTCTATTCCATAAGCCCTGAAGTCCTTACTTCAGAAACTTCTGGAGGAAACCCTAATAAATTGTATTCATTATTGAAGGATTTCATTTCTTTCTTTTTTTTTTTTTGAGACGGAGTTTTGCTTTTTTTGCCCAGGCTGATGTGCAGTGGTGCTATCTTGGCTCACTGCAACCTCCGCCTCCTGGGTTCAAACGATTCTCCTGCCTCAGCCTCCCGAATACCTGGGATTACAGGTGCATTCCAGCATGCCTGGCTAATTTTGTATATTTAGTAGAGACAGGGTTTCACCATGTTGGGCCAGGCTGGTTTTGAACCCCTGACCTCCAGTAATTCACCCACCTCAGCCTCCCAAATTGCTGGGATTACAGGTATGAGCCACCACTCCTGGCCGGACTTCATAATTTTTAAATTTTCTTTAGGGATTTGGGGATCTCTATTAAGCTTGATTTGAAACACAAATTACCTCTTAGGAATATATATTCTGCTCTTACACATTTCTCCTATCTTCCATAATGTTAATAACTTTAAAACACCCCAATAACTTAATCCATCATTAGCAAAGACCTGTTTGGTAGTGTTTCCAAGAACCATGCCTGTTTGATGTATTGTCCCACACTTAGTTGTGACAGTCCTGTGAGGCATTATGTCACTCAATGTTTTCACTCCAGAATAATAAATTGGAGAAATGAGACATCTGCCTGCAGTTTATTCCAGTTATATCTTTTCCTCCCTGAAAAGGAAATGGCAACATTTCTAAAATGAGAAAGCTAGGTCAGCTTGATTCTTCAAAAAGCTACCCACAGATCCATGTGACAATCACATCATTTTTTGTGTCTTAGTATAGTTGATTAAAACAAAAACAAATTTATCCCTTTCCTTGTAAAGGTGTTATATTAATTAACCAAAGAGAAAATGGAAACTGCTTATGAGTCAGGCACTACACTAGCTCCAGGGGCACAGGGATGGTAGACTGAGTCCTCCACGGAGGTGGTGGAGTAGAGTGGTTGGTTAAGAGTATGAACTTTGGGCTCAAGTCCTGCTTCTCTTATTTACCAAGTGTGTGTCCTTGAGTATGTGACCTGGGCCTAAGTCTTAATTTCTTCAGCTGAAGAAATGAAAATGATTGTGGTAATATCTCATAGGGTTGGGCTCGATGAAATGAGTTAATACATGCAAAGTACCTGGCATATGTAATAAACTTTTAGTGAATAGTAACAATTTATTTTGTTTAATATGGTAGACAAGTATATAGGCTATTACAATAAAGTAAATATTTTAATATTAGAGATGAACATAGCACATGGTCGCTATAGACACCCTTCTCTAATTAGATGGTTAGATACTCAAAAGTAGCTCATGGATCCCATCGATGTCATAGGAGTGCCTAATGTTTGAGTGCTTACAGAATGCTAGGAAATGTGTAATTCTCACAATAAGTTTAAAAAATTATTGACACATAATATTTGTACATATTTATGGAGTACATGTGATATTTTGTGACATGCATGTGACAAGAACATGTATTTGGAGTATTTATCACCTCAAGTATTTGTCATTTCTACATGTTAGGAACATTTTAAGCTTCTAACTATTTTAAAATATATGGTATGTTATTGTTAACTATAATCACCCCATTCTGCTATTGAACATTAGAACTTATTCCCTCTAACTGTATGTTTCACAATGAGTTTTTAAGGTAGGTGCTATTGCTGTCTGTTTCACAAAGAATCTGAGAACACAGAGAGGTTGAGTAGCTTGTACAATATTCCCCAGCTTCCTGCAAGGCTCAGGCAAGGTCTCCAGGAAAAGGGATGCCTACTGGACATATCAGTAAATCCCTGTATACATGACAAGCAGTAATTGGGTAAATATGAGCATAGGAGGCAAGTTGCCTGCTGTCAAGGGGGTAAAGGGATATGATTAAGGAGTGGAGGGTCATGGAGATAGAGAAGAGAGAAAGAGACCCATACTGGGTCTGTGGGGGTTGGGATAAGATGACTACTTGATTAGAAACTCCTTTAGAATGAGACTTGCTTTATTCTTCTTTCTTATGACACATAGGGGGTATTAGAGCATTTTGTATAAAGTAGTTGTCAGTAAATTAACGTAGAAAAATAATCAGTGAAATATTACTTGTTATAGCCAGTAGATTCAGAAGAAAGGACAAGAACCAACCCACATAAGCATTATGTTGTAAGAACTTGGATTATAAAATCACTAGTGTCTCTGTCAAGAGATGTTGACTGTGTCAGGGGACAATTCTTTGTAGTGAAGAAGCTGGAAGAATCAACTTAGAATCACTGTAGATTATAATTTTTTAATGAAAGAAGACTGGAAAACAGGCAGAGTAGAGTCTCCTAAACTTAAAGGATTGAAAGCAGGCAAGACAGAGTATACGGTGGTGTTTCACTTTGAACACTTTTGCCACCAGTGCTCTAGTGACATTTGTCACAAGCAGCCTTGCTGAACAATGTTAACCAACTTGGGTAACATTCTCAAACATGGTCTAACTCAGTAAAAATTTTATCTCATGAGTTGTCTGACACTGAAGACAGGCTACTTAGTCACCTTGCAGCATTTCAAACTTTTTAGCAGGCTTTGTTTGGTAGTGCACAGACCCTGTCTTGATGACTTGCTACCTGAATGAATGCACCTTGCAAAGGAGCACCATTCACCAAGACACTGGGATGATGGTTATTCACACCTGCTTGAGGCTCTGCTCCTAGAGGCAGATGTGACTGCAATATCCAACTCCACCCATGACACCAAGCTTTTAGGTGAAAAGAACAGGCATTATCATCCTTATTCTCCATTTGAAGAGACTGAGTCTTGAAGCGGTTAACCGAGGTGTCTTGGGTCACACAGTCAGTGGAAGGCCAGGATATAAACTTCAGTCATCTGAACGAAGGCCCAGTACTCCCTCTCCTCCAAAGTTCCTTCTGCAGAGCAATCATGGGGGTTGTTTCAAAAACCAAAATCTCTTCCCAGGTCAAAATCCAGAGAACCTACAGAAATGTGGATGGCATGTGCTCTATGGGAATTAAATGAATTATTAGGATTGTGTAATTATTAATAAATAGCCCTGCAGAGTCCATCTAATTCCTGGATCCAATATACTAAATACAGAATGCCTGAATCTATTCTACATAATGAGCCATATATGGTTTACTACACACACTTGTATTGTAAGCTATAAACTATTCTACTTGGGCTGCTGTGCCAAAATGCCACAGGCTGGGTGGCTTGAACAGCAGAAACTTATTTTCTCACAGTCTGGGGCTGGAAGTTGATGATCAAGGTGTCTACAGGACTTGTTTCCTCTGGTTTATTCTTTGGTTTACAGATGACCGCCTTCTCACATGATAATTTTCCTTGGGCACACACTGTGTCTTATTCTCCTCTTATAAATACAAGGGTTCCACTCCTACTGGATTAGGACTTGCTCAAATGATTGCATTTTACCTTAACTACCTCTTTAAAGGACCAATCTCCAAATACAGCCACATTTTGAGGTATTGGGTATTAGGACTTCCACACAGGAATTTTGCAGGTAGTGCAGTTTAGTCCATAATAGCTGTATATTGTGGTTTCTATTTTCTTTTCTTTCTTTTTTATTTTCTCCCAATCTATCTCTGGTTTCTCTTCCCTAAGGAAATTCTGATGATTATTAGCAAGTCTATACACTTAAAGGAGTAGTTATGGTTTTCTCTGGACCAGCATTGTCAATAGAAATATAATGTGAACCATGAAAGTAACTTTAACTTTTCTAGTAGCCACGCTAAAAATAAAAATAGGCGGAATAAATTTTAATAATATATTGTATTTGGCCCAGTATACTCCAAACATTATCGTTTCAACATGTAATCAGTATAAAAATTAGGGAAACTATTTTACTTTCTTTGTACTACATCTTCAAAATCTGGCGTGTGTTTTCTGCTACAGCCCATCTCAATTTGGACTCGACACATTTCAAGCGCTCCAAAGCCACGTGTGATAAGTGGCTGTCATTTTGAAGGCCTAGACTCTCATCTTTGGGTCTCACATGACTGCCTGCTTCAAGCTTTGCTAACTACGTCTTAATCTTTACTTGTGTACTTGCTGAAAGCAAGCTCTCACCCCAACACTCTCATCAGTGGATTTCAATGGAAGACATAGGTACTCTTAAATGTGCTCTAAAAAGTATCCAACTATAGCCTGTTTCTCTCCTGGTCTCAAACTTAAATCTCAAAGGAAGCAATAGGTCATGCAAATGTGTGAATTTGGCTACAGGTAAGATGAAAGAAATGCTTGGACCTGTGAGGAATTTGAACGTGGGCCCTGCTTAAATTCAAAATTAAAAACCAGAACCAAAAAAGCATCGCGCCAGTCCAAAATATTTTTTAGGACAGTATTTAACCCCAAGATAATCCAACTGACATGACTGTGTTCTCTTTGGTACCTGAATTATTTCACAGGAGCAACATTTTATTTAAGCAAAACAAATGAGTATTTTATGTGAAACCTTTCTTGATTGCAGGTATCACTGTCTATTATTATCTATTGATGTATTCCTTGCTCATTGATAATAGTGTCTTAATGTTCTATGCCATACGCCATACTATTATGCCAGCCTCACCTTCTGGTATCAGTAGCTTGGGGCATTGCCATTTAAATTCATGATTACAGTATTCCCGTTACACCATATGTTAAAATACATAGACTGGACATCATCCTGTGGGTAATGCTATATTTTCCTTCCTTAAGTACGGTGAGAGTTTTTATCTTGGTGACAAACAAAAATGGGAAAGGTCTTTTTCCCTGGATGAAAAGGTTTTATCCATGTGACCTCGTGGGGGAGTTCTTTCTTAGCATTTAGGAAAATTAGCTGAGTGGAAGGCTAAGTTATCTCCTGCATTCTCCTGTCCCAGCTTGTACTCTTTGCCTTATTATCAGTGTGACAATAAACTAGTGGGAAAAATCTGTGTTTGGTCACAGCCAGAGGTGAGTGGCTGGTTATTATATTTTCTCATTTGGGAAACAATTCATTGTAGCCCTCGAGACAGGGATGTGTTTTTATTTCTCTCCCTCTCTCCAGCTTGCTTTCCCCTGTTTCTCTGCAGTAATCAGTGCATAGTTCCTTAAGCTACATTAGGTTTAAAATGCCATATTTTCAGGGAAAGCATCTAGCAAATTAAGAGGTTAAAAAATCTGCCTTTCCCTCCCCTATGTATTATATAAAAAGCTTGTTTTGCCAAATTCGTGTTTTTGTGCTCTGATAAGTTTCCTCATTATTAAAGCCCACCATCAATGGCTAATCAACTCTCCCACAGGGAACATTTGCATATTGTACAAAAGGGGAAAACTCCAGTCAAACAAGGAAGTAAATTTGGCATCTTTAGGCAAACCCTTAACATGAATTTTTAAAAGACTGTGTGTGTATGGAAGTTGGGGCAACAGGTTGATCAAATGAGGACTCTGATTGCTTAATCTATTTTCTTCTAATACAAGCTTGGGCCATCTAGTTATTGGAATAGATCATGAAAATGGAAAAAAGAGAAGAAAGCACAAATGCTTCATGTTATACATCTGTTCCTTATTGCTTACAGCTCCAGGCAGCCTTAAGAATCAACTTTTATTAACTCCCTATTAGAGGACCATTTCCCTTATGATTTGATTATTAGAAAGAATATATTTGAAATCTACATTTCCATATAGATAGAACCACTCTGTTTTTATGGCCCTGATGCACCCTTAAATACTCACAAAGGGACTCAATCTGCATTTCCTCAGTTGATTGTTTACGAGAAAGAAATGTGAACAAAATCCACTGAGCTAAGAGAGACAGGGTCCAGGTTAGGGAATGATGAATGGCAAACATTGGCTATCTTGAGCCTCATTAGATAAAAGAAGTATTTTTATTTTCTTTGTCCTCGACAAGCACATCAATTAAGGGAAAATTACTCTTTGATTTTTTCTCTCTTTTCTCCATTCAAGGAAATATGTATTTTCTCTCTTCCCTCTTCTTCTCTCCTTTTTGCCACTTAATATACATACTAAGGATGCACAAACTCCTGCAAAAGTCCTGCTGACTATACAGGTTTAAGTGCTCATTATCCAATTCCATGCTGGCATTAATAATAGTTAACATGTACTGACCTACTGACCGTTTACTTTACGCCAGGCATTGAGAGTATTCCATCACTTAATCTTCACAACTACCTATGTGATAGGTGCTGCTATTATTATTCCCATCCACTAGACAAGGAACCTGTGGATTAGAGGGTCCAAGAAAATTGCCCAAGATTGTATATAGAGTTGATAAAGGATGAGCTGGGAATCAAATTTAGGAAGCATGAATCAGTAGTCCAGATTCTTAACCTTTCTGCTTTACTGCCTACAAAGTAGGTCCAAACCATGATCTCATTTGATTCCCACACCAAGCCTGTGAGACATTTATTATCATCATTCCCATTCTAAAGACATACTTAAGCTCAGGGTGGCACATCCCTTGGACACGTTCACTCAGCTGATAAGTGATAAATCTGCTGTTTTTCTGTTACTCGTGTTGTAAGATATTTTGGAGGAATAGGTAGGTATAGGTCCTGTCTGCAGGAAAGTGTGCAGACACTCCCAAGGGGACTCTAGGTCTCTCTGATATCTTTTATAGATATAGGACCCCAGAATGCACTTGAAGTTTAGAGTAACGTGTGAGGTGGAACTCTATGCAGACAGTGGATATCCTCACACCCCCTACCCCCCAACAAATTCTATATTTACTTGATTATGGTTGGAACATACTGCCTCTCTTGAGACATCCAGAATAACAAGTTGAGAATTGCTGCAATAATAGAACAAGGGGAAATTAATCCTTTCTAGCATTTTTCCTGTTTCAGCATGAAAACTTTGAGTTGAAGGTGCAATAATGAGTAGAAAAAAATTAGTTAAATACAATTATGTAACAGTAGAATTGCTCCAAATTGATTCTCTCCCCTCATTATTTTTTATTCCATTTTATCTTCCTAGGGAGTGCTCATTCAGGACAGAAGTCATCTTAAAGAATAGCAATAGGGTTTGTTTTTACAATTTGGGTTAACAGAGACAGTGATCCTGGTGGATTAAGATGTCTTTTTTTTTTTTTTTTTTTTTTTTAGAATTTCATTTTCACTGTGTGCTTCACAGGTGGGTATGCAATTATACAACTGCTGTGATCAAGTAAAAGCTGGGAGCTGGGCTCGGAGTGTGTGCTTCTCTCTAGTGAAGGGAAGACTTTTTTCCAGTAAAAATTCTGCTAATCATTTTATGAGTGATAATTCATAAGAGCTCAAAGGTGCATTAGAGGTAATATAGTTCAAATCCCTTACTCAGTAGATAAGTTAACTGATATTTAGAAAAATTGACTTTTCCAATCTCTTCTCAGGATGGGATTGTGAAACATGCAGGAAAGACCCAGGCTGGCTGGAAGTGGAGATAAAGGGAGAATATCAGATTGAAATAGGGAACATGTCCAGCCAGTTCTTCAAGCAGAGAAAGCCTAAAATAATATTAAGAACCTACATGTGGAAGAAAAGATGAGATCAGAGACATCAAGACTGAAAGAGTGGTTTGTGTAAAATTTCAAAAGCAATGGCATCCTCATGTATTCCCATAGCAGAATCAATTTGTCATGCCCGAGACTGAATGGACAAGACCCTAGATCGCCTTGTTTTCTACCTCCTTATGGTGCCAATATTGCAGAGTGTGTTGGGAGTGAGCCACGCAGGCTCTGGAGTCTTAAGTCCAACGTGGGATAAACTCTCCACTCTGCCGCTGTGACCTTGGGCATATTACTTGTCTTGGTTTTCTCAAATTTAAGTTAGTATAATACCTCATAGCATTGTGAAGATAAAATAATATATGAAAAGCATTTAGCATAGTTGCTGGCACAAAGTGAATTTGCCGTAAGTGATAGTTACTATGATTGCTGACTAAGATGGCACAGCTAGTGCTTTCTGTTTTTTTAGAGAGTGTGCTTCACTTCAACACTGATCTCCTTTCTGATCCCAGGAGCAGGCATTTGAGATGGCTGGCTGGGGACAGGATGCCATCAGGGATCTTTCTGGGTGAACGCTCTGGTTCCTACAGGAATTGGCTTTTGGCTTCACCATCAGCATGTTCTAACCAACTGAACACGTGGCCCAGATAAAAATCTGATTGTCAGCTGAAGTCACAGCTCAGAGTTGTGAAACTTAGTCCCAGTAGACACTTCTAGTTTGGTAGGAAAAACAGGATTTCTAGGCTAAGATTAGGCATAAGGCAAGCTAATGATGGGAAATTCTCACACCTTTTGTTTTGGGCATAGCCTTTTGTTTTGCCTGATCCATCAGTAAAAAACAACTGCATGGGCAAAAGGTGAATCATTTATATGAAAGAGTTGAGAATCCTTATTTAGAAATAGACCAGAGAGGAGAAAGTTGACATCACAGTACCATTGACTTACTAAAGAAAAATTTATGTAGAAATTATTCAAATTTAGAACTACCTGGTGTGGGAAGTTGGAGGGGATGTCCCAATTTTTTTTTTCAAATGCTGAGGTTAGGATGAGTGAGTGATTGAGGTAGTTTTAAGGGCCATAGGTATATGGAAAATACTTTTTGGAGCTTCAGTGAATATTTTGAAGCATGGCTTTTTGAACTCAAAGCTGCCATTAGGGTCCTTTTTTTTTTGTTTTGTTTTTTGTTTTTTTAGATGGAGTCTCCCTCTATTGCCCAGGCTGGACAGGCTGGAATGCAGTGGCATGATCTCAGGTCACTACAACCTCTACCTCCTGGGTTCAAGCAATTCTCCTGCCTCAGCCTCCTGAGTAGCTGGGATTACAGGTGCCTGCCACCACGCCTGACAAATTCTTGTATTTTTATTACAGACGGGGTTTCATCATGTTGGCCAGGGTGGTCTCAAACTCCTGAGCTCAGGTGATCCACTGACCTCAGCCTCCCAAAGTGCTGGGATTATAGGCATGGGCCACTGTGCCTGGCCTCTCTCTCAATTTTTTAATTTGTTTTATTTATGATTTTTATGCTCAGTGGAGTGGCTGGCTTGTAGTATGTGTTCAATAAATATTTATTAAACGAATGGATGCAGTTCTACAAGAGGCCCTTACAACACTAATACTAGCCGATATCTATTGGGAAACTACTATGTGTTAGGTTTTGAGTATTTCGTATACGTTAACTCATGCCATTCTCTCAACCACCATCGAAGATAGGCATTATTATTATCCCCATTTTATAGAGGAAATACAAAAAAATTAAATAAGTTATCAAAAGCCACCAGTTAGGAGGGAGGAGAGCCATGATTCAGACTCTAGCGATCTTGTCCCAGAGCTTTCTGTCTTTACCATTGAAGCTTCATTGTGGTCCTAAGGCTACTGTGATGAATAAGGGCAAGTCCCTGTTTTTAAGGGATACTCAAATTTAGGAGTAGACAAATATAAAACTATTCAAACAGCATGATGAAAGGTAGTGTAATTTATTAGGAGCTTAGGACTTGGAGTCAGAGAACTTGCTTCAACAAAGAGTGAAAGAATTTCACAGAAGGTTTGACAAATAAAAGTGAGAGGATAACGCCCCAATTTCATCTGATTGCTGTCCTTATAAGAAAGGGAAATTTGAACACACAGACACCAGGGATGCATGTGTGTGCACAGATGAAAGACAATGTAGCTGGGTGTGGTGGCGTATGCCTGTAATCCCAGCACACTGGCAGGCTGAAGCAGGTAGATCATGAGGTCAAGAGACTGAGACCATCCTGGCCAACATGGTGAAACCTGGTCTCTACTAAAAATACAAAAATTAGCTGGGCATAGTGGCGTGTAACTGTAGTCCCAGCTACTTGGGAGGCTGAGGCAGAAGAATCGCTTGAACCTGGGAGATGGAGGTTGCAGTGAGCCGAGATCGTGCCACTGCACTCCAGGCTGTGACAGAGTGAGACTCTGTCTTTTATTTATTTATTTATTTTTTGAGACAATGTGAGGATACTGTGAGAAGGCAGCCATCTACAAGCCAATAAGAGTAAGCCTCAGAAGAAACCAAACCTGCTGACGCCTTGATCTTGTAGTCCCAGCCTCTAAAACTGTGAGAAAGTAAATTTCTATAGTTTAAGACACCCAGTCTGTGGTTTTAGTTATGGAAGCCCTAGCAAACTAATACAGCCACTAAGAGGAGTAGTCATGATTCAGGTGTGTCTTAGTGTTGGTGTGTTCAGAAATGTGAATTCAGGGCTACCAGATTTGATAGTTTTTTTTTTTTTAATGCTGTAAATCTAGGAGTGTTTTGTCAGAAATATCCTGATTAAAAAATTTACGTTTAATATTAAATCCTTTTAACTCAAAGAAAATACCTGTATGTTATATTTGGCCCATAAGCCTTTAGTTGGGAACCTCTGATATAACTCATGTAGGCATCAGCTCAGGGTTTGGCACATAATGAGCTTTCCCTAAATTGTTATTAGACAGTGAAAAATGCTGCAATGGAGTAGACTCCAGAGGGACGCTAGATCATCCAGCTCTGGAGGTAAGGGTGGAAGGGAAAATTGGTGGCCTGGAAATGCCTTTGTAGGAGATAAAGCTCGAGTGGACACCTGAAGAATGATTTGTCATTGTCTAGGTAAGGGAGAGGGCAGCAAGAGAGTGCTTTCTAGGTAAAGGGAGCAGTTGTCAGTGGCCCTGAGAAAGAGGAAGTATGGCCTTTTGGTGAACTACAAGTTGTACAATATGTTTGGGGCATGGAGTTAAAAATGGGGGGTGATGATGCTTGAGGGAGGGAGGGAAAATGAGGGCCAAATTGTTAAACTTTATCGAGAGAGCAAGGGGAGTAATTGAGTTTGAAGCAAAGCAAAGGTAGATTAGATTTGCCTTTTAGGAAGACTGCCCTGGAAATAATGTGAAGGCTGAATTAGAAGTGGTCAGGGTGAAGGAAGGGAAACCAGTTCGCATGCAACGCAAGAGATGATGGTGGTTTGAACTTAAATAATGGCAGTAGAAACAGAGGACATATTTGAGAAATGCCTAAGAGGGAGAATTGACTTGTGATTGGTTGGGTGTGGAGTGAGGGAGAGAATGAATTAAAGATGACTTTCTGTCTTCTTTGGACAATGGACTGGAATAATATGTCCTTCCCTGAGCTACAGAGCACAGAACGTCTGTAAGCCAAAGGGCAGATGAATTTAGTTTTACATATGCTAAGTTTGAAGTACCTGTTGGTGATGGAGAAGCTTGTATTTAAAAGCAAGAGATCTGGGCTTGAGATATACATTTGGTATTTACCAGTGGATAGATAATAACAGAGGTCCTGGGAATATTTGGAGTTGGAAGAGATGAGGGCTGAAAGAGGAAGCAAAGTTGGAGAAGGAGACCCTTGATAAGTTAAATTGAACTCCTGACCTTGCTCTGTCTCAAAACTTCTCTCATTCTGCTTGTATCTGTAGCTAAGATTTGAAATTCTCCATTAAAGCAAAGATAGTCATGTCCTATAATGGAGATTTCTAAAGAACGAGGCATCCATTACCTTATATACAAATAAATTATTAAGGTAGTAAGCAAGTAGCTTCGTCAAGGTCAGTGGGAGACTCAGGATGACTTTCTATTGCATATATGCTGTGTGGCATATTCAACATGTTAATATCATAAATGCCATTTAGAGATGTAGATAATATGAACTCTAAAGTAATACTTAGGATCACTTTGGAAAAAAGGAAATAATCTTGCTAAAGATAAGAGGGAAATAATAATTTATGACTATTTACACACTGTTAGTACATAAACAATAAATAAAATCCTTGCAAGCATACAAACAAAGAATTGCTGCTCTTCAGATCCCAAGCCCTAGAACAAGGTTAGTAACTCCTTTCTCACGGGCATTGCAAAACATAATTACCTGAGCTTTGTAATTCTTTAAGATCTGAGCTTAAATCAGACATGCTACTGAAGGATCTTATATATCCAGTTATATAACAAGCACACATCACAATTTGTTGTCTTCATTTTAGCAAGAATATGAGCATTAGAAGAAGCCCGTCAAGGAAAGAGAGCTGAAAATAGAATGATAAATGCGTGACAAATCCAAAGAAGAAGAACGTCTAAGAGAACTTTGTCTACCTATATGAGCATCTTTAAGGTGTTAATTTCCTGCATCAGTAGGATTGCCTCTAAAGACACATGGTTCCAAGGATTTTTCAAATACAAAGTTATGAAGATGTGTTACATACTAATGCATCACAGATGGGGTTCTCACTTCAATTAGAGCTGGCTTTAGAACATCAAGGGTTAATGTTAGGAGAATGGGAAGTGTTTGAGCAAAGGAAGTGTTTTGGAAATACGGTGCCATGCATGTTTCCGAGTTCTATTTGACTCTTTATTGGTAAAATGACTGCAATAGCAATTGGTGAATTTTTTTCAGACCTTTCTGGAGTTCTGATGAAGGCAGCTTCGCCTCAGCTAGGCCTTGAAGCCTGTTTCAGGAATTGAACAAAATCCAGGTGATTTGAAAAGTTCTGCATCACCTGCTTTTATCTTCATCATCACTAACCCAAGCAATGTCTGGAAATCTCCTTGAGCTCCGTACTTCCTTATGTTATCTTCTTTCAAAAAGCACATGGACTTCTACAGCCTTAATTTTTTTTTCTGTCTCCCAGAAATGAAGAGGAGGAAATATATTACCTAATTGCAGTCAAGCCCTCTAGGTAACAAAATCCCCTCTCCTTTCATTTCAGGGAGCTTGTATAAGCAAAAATGAAAGACAATCTCCGTCTTTTTTGCTAGCACACTGGGTAGGATGCTTTTATACCAGAGGATGAAATAAAAGAGGTCACTGTTCAGCGGGCCACTCTCTCAGTTAAGCGGCTCTGTTCTCAGCACTTTGTGAATACTAAGGTTACCTCATCCCCATGGCTATCAGAATATGAATTGTATGGTCTTGAAAATGCCTAATGGTTCTACCTGTCCATTTGAAGTTTAAAAGTATATCACTCTTACAGCTTGGCTTTGGTTTGCAGTGCTGGGTACTAGAAGGGCAGAAATGGAGCTGCTCTTACAGCATGCAGTGATAAGTGAGCTGCTCAGGGCAGAATATCATTGTTATGGATGTGGGGGTAGAAATCTCCAGTCTAATGGGCATTTTACAGCTTTGTTTAGATTGGCTTATTTTCCTCTGGCTGAGTACCAGTGTCTTGAAGTGTCATATTCAGAGCCTGCCTCTCATCTCCAGTATCGTTGAGTATTATGTTGAAACCAGAACATGCTGCTGGGGCAAAGAGCTTGGGAGAAGATGGTTTGGAATGGGGCTATTATAAATAGCTTGTAGAGTTACCAGTGAAAAGTGATAGGCCTCAATGTATCAGCTAAGGTTTTATGCAAGATAAAACATCTCAAAATTATCATACAGAAGTCTCAGCTACACTGTCAGGATAGATTAAAGAGAACTGCTACAGGATGACTTTCTTTCTTTCTTTTCTTTTTTTTTTTTCTTTTTTTTTTTTTTTTAATGGAGTTTCACTCTTGTTGCCCAGGCTGGAGTGCAATGGTGTGATCTCAGCTCACTGCGACCTCTGCGTCCTGGCTCAGCTTCCCAAGTAGCTGGGGTTACAGGTGCCTGCCACCACGCCCAGCTAATTTTGTGTATTTTTAGCAGAGATGGGGTTTTACCATGTTGGCCAGGCTGGTCTCAAACTCCTGATCTCAGGTGATCCACCTGCCTCAGCCTCACAGTGTGCTGGGATTACAGGTGTGAGCCACTGTGCCTGGCCTCAGGATGACTTTCTATTGCATATATGCTGTGTGGCATATGCAAAGTCACTTTATCTGTGTGTGCCTCTTAAATTTGTGGTGGAACTCATTCATTCCTAAAATCCATTTTGATTCTATATGTAATTCTAAAAGCTGAGAATTCTCAGTTACAGACTATTTTCTTGACACATAATGGCATGTTTTATACCCTGGGATTTCCTGGAAGTATGTTTGAGAATGTAGAGCCATTCCACATGATGCTTACTTAATGTTTGATAATTCATTTACTTTTATTCATTCAATAAATATTTATCACTCATCTTTTATGTGATGGACACTGTTGTAGGCACTGGATTACACTGATGAGAAAAAGATAGCTTCTGCCAACAAAAATTCTTTTCAGTGGGCCGGGCGCGGTGGCTCACACCTGTAATCCCAGCACTTTGGGAGGCCGAGGCGGGTGGATCATGAGGTCAGGAGATCGAGACCATCCTGGCTAACAAGGTGAAACCCCGTCTCTACTAAAAATACAAAAAATTAGCTGGGCGCGGTGGCGGGCGCCTGTAGTCCCAGCTACTCGGGAGGCTGAGGCAGGAGAATGGCGTGAACCCGGGAAGCGGAGCTTGCAGTGAGCCGAGATTGCGCCACTGCAGTCCGCAGTCCGACCTGGGCGACAGAGCGAGACTCCGTCTCAAAAAAAAAAAAAAAAAAAAAAAAAAAAAAAAAAAAATTCTTTTCAGTGGTGAAATGGTCAAATATGCTACAAAACAGAGCTGTGAAATGATGTTAATATAGTACTCTAGCAGTGATTTTCAACAAGGATTGACTTGCCCCATAGAGGACATTTGGCAGTGTCCGGAGACAGTTTTGGTTGTCAGAACTGGGGAACTGTGGTACTGGCAACTAATGGGTAGAGGCCAGGAAATTTGCTAAACATCCTACAGAACGGTGCCCTATGGCAAAGAATTATCCAGCCTCAAATGTCAATAGTACTGAGGTTGACAAACACTTGGTTATAGAATAAAAAAACATAATGCCTAATTGAAACAGTAGGTCCTTGGGAGCTCATCTAGCTTTCAAATCAATTCTACCTGAGTGTGAAAGGGAAATGGCAAAAAGCATTCTAATGATTTGATGTTTGAGTTGAGTTATGAAAGATGGGTAGATATTAACCAGATGAATTAGTGGAGAATGAGAAGGAGGATATGTAGAAAAGCTTTCCAAGGAGACGAACCACACAGATTTGGGGGGTGACAGATCTTGGCATCATCACTGATTGGCAAGTGGTTCTTTATAGCCTGAACACCTGTAGGATCTGCAAAGACAGAATGATAGGGTGCAAGGTCTTGGCTAAAATACTGAAGAGCTTGGATTACTTCTTAGATGTAATAGTGATCCAGTGAATTATATCAAAAAATAGAGTGACTTGATCAAATCTGCATTTTCTAATGATCAGTTTTTTTGGGAGGAAGGTGGTGGTTCTAATAGGGTGAGGCTGAAGGGTGGGACACTAGTGAGATTTTTTTTTTTTTGAGACAGAGTTTCGCTCTTGTTACCCAGGCTGGAGTGCAATGGCATGATCTTGGCTCACTGCAACCTCCGCCTCCTGGGTTCAAGTGATTCTCCTGCCTCAGCCTCCCAAATAGCTGGGATTACAGGCATGTGCCACCATGCCTGGCTATTTTTTTTTTTTTTTTGTATTTTTAGTAGAGATGGGGTTTCTCCATGTTGGTCAGGCTGGTCTTGAACTCCCAACCTCAGGTGATCTGCCCACCTCAGCCTCCCAAAGTGCTGGGATTACAGGTGTGAGCCACCGTGCCCAGCTGACGTTTTTGTATTTATTCCAGGTGAGCACTGCTGAGAGCCTGAATGGGCAGTGATCATGCAAATGAAAATAAAGTCACAGATTAGAGACTTTTAGAAAGTAGTGTTGTTAGGAGAGGTAGCCAGTTAGTTGTGGGTATTTTAGAACAGGAACTATTAGAAGATAACTCTCAGGTTCCAGCACCACCAGATAAATAGTGTTAGCTTTTAACAAGTTAGGGAATACAAAAGGAGAAGTAGTTTTGGGTGAGAGAGAGCTGTAAAAGAGATGGTGAATCCCTGTGTCATGGAAGGAAATCATGAAACCAGTCTAATTAAAACCATCAGTCACTGGGGGTTCATCTAGCTTTCAAACTTGGCTTTGAATAAAACATATGAAATGATTTCCTAAAAGATAACCTGACTTGTTAGCTTGGTTGAAAGATGGAAATACAAGGAGGCGTCTATTCTGACAGGTTTACAAGCAGCAAAAACTCATAAGGACATCCCTGTCAGAATTGTCTGCTTGGCCTTTATTGGAAGCAATTATTCTGGACAACTGAAGCATATTTATAAGGGCACCAGCTAGAAATGGCTCAGTCTCTGTTACCTTGATTGTAGCTCACTCTTTCTCATCATGTAGATGGTGACCACAGGTGTAAAGAACCCTGTAGCCATGTTGACTCTGCTTACTTGATTGGGTACTACAGTTGGGAAGAGGACCTGGTCTCCAAAAGAACAGGGGCCCCTGGGATAATCAGTTTGGATTACTCTTGTCTCTGTGCTTTGTAAGTTTCTTGGCCATTTGAAATTGCAAGAGACTTTAGTCTTGCTGGGATAGCTTCAGATTATCCTTCCTATAGACTGTTTTTTTTTCTTCAGATCTAATGCTATACAACAGGAAATTGGTCTGTGCTGAGTTTCTGAGATCTGCATTTGGGAGCTAAAATATTTTCCTGTGTTTCCCTTATAACTTGGCTGCTGGCTTGAGTGTGCCCTTTTTAGGCTACAGAAGTTGGGTGAGATTTTATGGTTGGGTAGGAAAATCTATTTTGCCCTACTTTTTAAAACAGCATCCTATGTTATAGCAGTAAGATCCCTGTGATTTTACTCTTGCCCGAACAATTCTACTAAACGAGCTGATGTTATTAAACACTGGCAATATGTCAGGTTTTTACATGAGCTGACTGATTTAAGTTTCATATTTTTATTTGAAATAGTCATTGTCCCTTTTTCAGATGAGAAAACTGTGACTCAAAGATGTAACACTAGCAAGTGACAAGGTTATAACCCTTTCCCATGGCTCCACCTGGCTCAATGCTGTATTTTAAATGCCAGATGGCTTCTTAGCCTCCTGCTTTTCCTGAAATATTGCAAATGGCAGAGCTTTAACTATAACGCTGAACCCTCCTGCATGCAAGGCAATATTCACGTATTCTTAGTGACACTCCATTCTTCTCTCATTTTGAATGTTGTTCTATTTTGAATTTTAGTTGTGTGCATGCTTGTCATCCCCTATTAGACTGATAGTTCAAATATATGAAATCATTGTAGGTCTGTTTTTTTCTGTCTGTGGCTTTATTCATGCTTGTGCAGTCTTGTTTTCTTGTGTAAATGGTAATATATGACAGCCCCTGGATATTCTTGAAAAATTATTTGTGAGAATAGAGAAGCTTTGTGTTTGTTTCTGCTAGACATTGATAGACATCTCCAGAATGAACTGCTGTGGACCAATTCAGGGTTGAAGAGTCTCTTGCCCATGCAGCCTATGCATAGGATACCCAGGATCATTGAACACCCTTTATTTTTTATTTATTTTTTATTTTATTTTTTTTTCAGACCGAGTTTCACTCTTATTGTCTAGGCTGGAGTGCAGTGGCACAATCTCGGCTCACTGCAACCTCTGCCTCCTGGGTTCAAATCATTCTCCTGCCTCAGCCTTCCTGAATACCTGGGATTACAGGCATGTGCCACCACGCCCAGCTAATTTTGTATTTTTAGGAGAGACGGGGTTTCTCCATGTTGGTCAGGCTGGTCATGAACTCCCAACTTCAGATGATCTGCCTGCCTCGGCCTCTCAAAGTGCTGGGATTATAGGCGTGAGCGAACACACCCGGCCCATTGAACACCTCTTAAGGGCAAGTGGGCAGCTACTAGGTATGATTTATGTTTGCCTTTCACTTTTCTTCTCCATTTCTGGTCTGCCACGGAGGCAGCCCTCTCTGAATTTTCACTGGTTGGGGAAAGAAGAGGAACTGTTTAGAGCTAGTTTACCCTTACCTTGATAGAGTGACACCTGGGGCCCCAGCTCTCTATCAGGATGGTTTCACAAAGCTCCTCTTGTATTACTGTGTTCTCATGCTGCTAATAAAGATACACCCGAGAGTGGGTAATTTGTAAAGGAAAGAGGTTTAACGGACTCACAGTTCAGCATGGCTGGGGAGGTCTCAGGAAACTTACAATCATGTGGAAGGGGAAGCAAACACACCCTTCTTCACGTGGCAGCAACAAGTAGAAGAATGAGAGCCAAGCAAAGGGGGAAGTCCTTTATAAAACCGTTAGATCTTGTGAGAACTCACTATCACAAGAACAGCATGAGGGTAACCACCCTCGTGATTAAATTACCTCCCACTGGGTCCCTCCCATGATGTGGGGATTATGGGAACCACAGTTCAAGATTTGGTTGGGGACACGGCCAAACCATATCATGCCACCCCGGCCCCTCCCAAACCTCATGTCCTCTCATTTCAAAACAGAATCACACCCTTTCAACAATACTTCAAAGTCTTAACTAATTCCAGCATTAACTCAAAAGTCCAAGTCCAAAGTCTCATCTGAGGCAAGGCAAGTACCTTCTACCTATGAGTCTGTAAAATCAAAAGCAAGTTAGTTACTTCCTAGATACAATGGTGGTATAGGCATTGGGTAAATATAGCCATTCCAAGTGAGAGAAATTTGCCAAAACAAAGGGCCTTATAGGGCTCATGCAAGTCCAAAATCCAATAAGGCCGTCATTGAACCTTAGAGTTCTAAAATGATCTCCTTTGACTCCATGTCTCATATCCAGGGCACATTGATGCAATGGGTGGGCTCCCACAGCCTTGAGCAGCAGCTCTACCCCTGTGGCATTGTAGAGTACAGCCCCCTTACCCCAGTTGCTTTCACAGCTGGTGTTGAGTATCTATGGCTTTTCCAGGTGCACAGTATAAGCTGTTGGTGGATCTACCATTTGGGGGTCTGGAAGACAATGACCCTCTTCTCACAACTCCACTATACAGTGCCCCAGTGGGGACTCTGTATGGGGGCTCCCACCCTACATTTCCCTTCTACACTGCCCTAGCAGAGGTTCTTCATGAGGACTCTGTCCATGCAGCAAACTTTTTCCTGAACATCCAGGCATTTCCATATATCCTCTCAACTCTAGGCGGAGGTTCCCAAACCTCAGTTTTTGACTTCTGTGCACCTGCAGACTAAACACCACATGGAAGCCACCAAGTCTTGGGGCTTGTAACCTCTGAAGCCACGGCTCAAGTTGTGCCTTGGTCCCTTTTAGCCACAGATGGAGCACCTCAGATGCAGGGCACCAAGTCCTGAGGCTGCACATGGCAGAGGTCCCTGGATCCTTCCCAGGAAACCATTTTTCCCTCCTAGGCCTCCAGGCCTGTGATGGGAGGAGCTGCCAGGAAGATTTCCAAAATGCTCTAGAGACATTTTCCCCATTTTCTTGGAAATTAACATTTGGTCCCTCATTACTTTTGCAAATTTTTACTGCTGGCTTGAATTTCTCCCCAGAAAATGGGTGTTTCTTTTCTACTACCTTGTCAGCCTGCAAAATTTTCAAACTTTTATGCTCTACTTCCTCTTGAACATTTTGCTGCTTAGAAATTTCTTCTACCAGATACCCTAAATCATCTCTCTCAAGTTCAAAGTTCCACAGATCTCTAGGGCAGGGGCAAAATGCTGCTAGTCTCTTTGCATAGCAAGAGTGACCTTTACTCTAGTTCCCAAAAAGCTCTTCATCTCCCATCTAAGAGCACCTCAGCCTGGACTTTATTGTCCATTTCACTGTCAGCATTTTGGTCAACGCTATTTAACAAGTCTTTAGGAAGTTTCAAACTTTCCCACATATTCCTGTCTTCTGAACCTTCCAAGTCTCTAGAAAGTTCCAAACTTTCTCACATTTTTCTGTCTTCTTCTGAGTCTACCAGACTGCTCCAACCTCTGCCTGTTACCTAGTTCCAAAGTTGCTTCCATATTTTTGGTTATCTTTACAGCAGCCCCCTACTCTACCAGTACCAATTTACTGTATTAATCTCTTCATACACTGCTAATAAAGATATACCCAAGACTGGGTAATTAATAAAGGAAAGAAGTTTAATTGACTCACAGTTCAGCATGGCTGGAGAGGCCTCAGGAAACTTACAATCATGGCAGATGGGGAAGCAAACACATCCTTCTTCATATGGCAGCAGCAAGGAGAAGTGCTGAGCAAAGAGGGAAAAGCCCTTCATAAAACTATCAGATGTCCTGAGAACTCACTCACAAGAACAGCATAAGGGTAACTGCCCTCATGATTCAATTACCTCCCACTGAGTCCCTCTCACGACATATGGGGATTATGGGAACTATAATTCAAGATGAGATTTGGTTGGGGACACAGCCAAACCATATCACCCTTGAACTCTAAATCTCTAGCCACATGTGGCTAATGCTCTCTACTTGAACACAGTGTTTGTGGTATCAGCAACTGCCCTAAGGGAAAATGCAGCTCTGGTGTTCTGATCTTTACCTTACCTCTCTTCTTACAGACTTTCTTCCCCCCAAAATTGGCCTGAGGTATCTCACTGTATTTTTAAGGTCTTTAGTGTTTCTATTTAGACAAATTTTACCCAGCATTTTACTTTGGGTATATGAATATAAGTTAGAGAAAGTTGGTATTATTAATATCAATAATTATGCTGATAAAGCCATCATGTTGATAAAAGAAAAACTGCATTTTAAGTTATATTCAAAGCTTGTAAAGGATGATTTTGAGTCAATATGTAGGTCTTTGCAGGGAAGATTTGAATTTCTCCCCAGAAAATGGGTGTTTCTATTACAGAAACACCACTTGAGAACAACAATTAGGACTAAAAACTGGGATGTCATCACGAGAACCAATTTAATACGACCCTTCAAAGGCCATATTAATAGAATAAAAGGGCCCTGGCTTGGGTTGAAAGTAAGAGATAGATAGTAAGAGGTAGATTGCAGAACACAGAAGGCAAAGAACTGCCCTAGAAAGGGGCTAGAATCTGACCAGCCCCATATGTCTATAATAATAATAACTTCTATTTGCACTACATTGTGTTGTTTGCAAAGTGTTTTAAAATACTATACCATTTGTTTTATTTAATTGTAACAATGACCTTAGGAAGAAGGTTATTATCATTAATATTTTACAGAAAATGCCCAAGAGCATATAGCTATGGGAGGCTTTGATAAGAAGACCCTGATCTTCAACACCTTGCCACATCCATATTCTATCTTCACCCTGAAGGAAGGCAGTTTCTTGTGTTCTAAACTGTCAGTTGAATGTGATGTTATTGGTGAGTTCATACTGCAGAAGGGACACAGAATATGATTAAGGATAATGAGTCTGCTGTTTGGGATAGTTGTCACAGTAACTCAAGGGTTCTTACAGGTTATTAGAATTTAATAGCAAAGTTATCCTAAAGAACAGCTCTGATTTCAAAGCTTCTATACTCTAAAACTTAGACTACCAATTGTGGTTGAGGCATTTCATTCTGTGGTTGCTGCCTGCCATGTCAGCCTTCCTATTTTTCATCTTATATATGGGTCATGAAATCATACCAGGCTACCAGACATGCTGTCCATTCTTTGCCCTTTCCTATCTTTGTCATGTGGCTGATGCGGTTGTCTCCTTTAGGAATGACATTTTCCATCATTTCTACCTGTAAAATCTTGCCTGTCTGTCAATGTCTTTCTCGTGTGCTGCTCTTCCATGAGATGGCCCATTTTTTTTCCTGCCCACCACTTGCCTGTTGATTATGTGTATTCCCATTGCATTTTGTTTCCTCTTTATAGCACAGGTTGCAAAAGTTACTAAAAAGCCAGGGGTTTTGGTCTAGGTCTTGCTGCTCACAGAATAGAAAGCCCATAACTGAGTCAAAAAGTATTGCCAGAGAAGGCTTTAGTCTGGTGCTGCAGCCAAGGAGAACAAAAGATACAATCTCTAACCTTCTCTCCAGTGGACTAAATTTGGGAGGGGGGCGGTTATATAGCAGGGAAGGTGGGAAAACAATAATCAGGGAAGGGTAAAGAAGCAGTCATGATGGGTGAGGGATCAGGCATTACTAGATGCAGTAATGTGAGTTCCAGTTCCTTTCCTGAGGGTCAGTTTCCTGAGGATAGAGCTCAACTGAGACAAATGTAAGTTTCAAGTTTTAAGACCAGGGAGGTACACTCTCTATGTTTATTATTGGGAAGAAAAAGCCTGTAAATATCAGTTCTATAGGACAATTAGGTTGGCTTTCCAAACTAAAATATGTGCATGAGCCAGCCTGGTTCCTTAAATAAGGGAGGTGGTTGAGTGTAAAAAACCTATTAAGATTATGGTGAGTTTTTGAGCTCCTTATCTAATAGGTAACTACCACTATGTTCTAGTCATTAAGCCCAAACTAATGTGAGTGTGAGTGTGTGTGTGTGTGTGTGTGTGTATGTGAGAGATCTCTTAGTTTGAAAAATATTGGTAAATAATTCAAATGTTTTTTGAAGAGATGGGGAGACAAAACAAAAATTCTCCTGAAGACTATGTTTGGCCCATTTCCCTAGTTTATGACCCTACTCTATAGAATTTGGAGACAAATAAATGGTACAAGTCAGAGTTTAATATGTCCATCATTAATTAAATATCTACAGAGAGCAAACATTCTATGGGATCATCCTTCTAACCTTAGAGTGTCTTTTGTGGAGTGACTTACACATTTTTGTTGAATTGCAGGAAACTTTTTGGGAAAGTTCCCCAAAACTTTGGGGAACTGTGTTCCCCTGAAGTTTGGAGGGTGAGGAGTGAAAGAGGTTGAGAAGAATGAGCTGGCTGGGTGAGTGTGCTACTTTAAACAAGTTGAGACTAATTTTTGTAAACTTTCATTTTGATGTTTTATTAACCACTGCTGTTGGTGAATTTAAATATTTTAATGATCAGTATATTTTACTCTTTGCATGCCCTGGGGCTTTCTTTCTTTCTTTTTTTTTTTTTTTTAAAGAAATGGCAGCTTAAAAAAATTAAAATAGACTCTCCATTCGATCAGCTTTCAAAATGCTTGGTGCTCACTCTGCCCTGAATCTGGGTCAGCATGGCATTTGATGACTAAGAAACCTGCATCTACCTCCCTAGCAGGCTTTCACTATGTTGAAATTGCTCTTTAAGTAATTTCATTTCTCTTGATTGAGCCTCTGCAAATTATTTCACGAAACAATTCTTCATTTTGAATGTGAATCTCCACACTTCCACAAAGCTGGGAGGAAGAAAAAAGCATTTATTACCACAAAAAACATTTGTTACCACTACATTTAAATCTTGCCTTTCTTTTCTTGCCTTTTTAACTATTAAATATCTTTTTTTCTCATAAACTATGTAAATGATAGATTGTGTATCTATGGGAAATCTCTGGTGTATATGTAAGTTCAGAGCTCCTTAAGGATATAAAGTATTTTTTAAAACAGGTTGGGGAAGGTGAATTTATTTTTCAATCTTAAAAAAAAAAACAGTGAAATGTTGGGCATTTTTTCGTTGGATTTTAGTTACACTTGGCCTCTGTATCCATGGGTTCTGCATCAGCAGATTCAACCAACAAAGAAGAAAAAATATTCTGGGGTGGGAGGGCAGAAAAAATTAAAAAATGATAAAACAAAAATAAGTAAAAATACAGTATAAGAACTATTTACGTAGTATTTACATTGTAGTAGGTATTACTAATAATCTAGAGATGATTTATAGGAGGATGTGCATAGGTTATGTGCAAATACTATGCCACTTTATATCAGGGACTTGAGCATCTGCAGATATTGGTATCTAAGGGGGTTCCTGGAACCAATCCCTATGGAAGGCACCATTGTAGTTTATTTCTTTGTGGCAAGGGTATTTGTTCTTGTGTCAGCATGCTAATGTAGTCATTCTTGAGAGGAGATTGTTTTTTTGCTTTGCTGCCTCTTTTTCCACGAAAGCATCATTTTCAGATGAAAGTTAGGGCCTTGACTCTTGTGCCTGGAGTTTCTTCCTGTTGATTCACACCACAGAGGGTTCCAACTGGGCCTTTTTCTGTTCCCTTCCTTCCTGTGGTTCATCCAGGATCTGTGCAGTGACCAAGTGTGGAGTCGTGATCTGTAACCATCCCTGGAAATTCTCCTACTTTATTGGTCCTATCTGTCCCATTTCCTCTCACTGTGCAGTCTTGCCTTTTTCAGTGCCAGTCTTGGCTAATTTCTCCCTCTCTGGGTTGGTATCTAATTCTGTAAATCATTGACCGGCGGGGTGTGGAGCCCGAGTTATGTCACAGAATTGTGATTTTTTTCATTCTTTCTCACTCAACCGTTCTGAATTGTCACTTTTCAGCCAATTCTTAGACATGAAGTTGAAAAAATATATAAATAGCTTTGTGACTTACCTGAGGGATTCTTTGACCTTTTATTTCCATTGTTTTCACTTTCCCCCCATCCTTAGTTGGAAATCAACAGTCTGCATTTAAAACAAAAACAAAACTCATTGTTCTACTCTACTAAACGTGAAGAGGAGTGGGGGGATTGTAAGACTCCACAGGGAAGAGTTTGGAGGGATTATAAATAGGAAAATAAAAAATGAGAAAAAATATGTAAACTTGGGTGTTTTAAAGGATTTGAAGGTATTCCCATGTAAGTGGATATAAAGTAGTAACATCCTCGATGTCATCTTCAGCTTCTTGGCCACACAGAAACGTATGTCCACATTATTCTGCTTTCTTGAGGCAACTTTATGCTGAATTCTGATCTAGAGGTAGATATACCATTAAGCTTAAGTTTCAGGCCTATCCAAGGCCCTGAGAGGGGGCCTAACAATGTGTTCACGGGGTGTATGTTCTACAAAATTTGCAAAAAATACTTTTAATTGTCATTGTTCATTTCCTACTCCCTTCTTCCCAGTGATCGGCTGTCCCCAGTGGCCCTTGGACATTTTAAGGAATTCTCTAAGGAGAAGTTGAATTAAGGACATTTTAGTTTGTGTTTAGTTAGCTACATTTTTGTGATATCTGTTCGTTCCATGGATAGTTAAATTACTGCCAGCCATCCCAGTTTAGGAAAGGATTCCAGGAATATTCCTACCAGAGCTATGCTGCCCCCAGAGTAGGGTAGTTAGTTATGGGGTTATCACTTAAAAGAAGATTTAAATATACAAGAAAACTTAATTGCTCTGAAATTTTACAGCTTTGATATGAAAGAAACTTAAGAGAGGTTTTTCCAACCAAATCTCGTATCTTCTCACTTATAAGTTAGGAGCTAAGCTATGAGGATACAAAGGCATAAGAATGATACAATAGTCTTTGGGAGCTTGTTGGGGGGAAGATGTGGGGGTGAGGGATAAAAGACTGTATTTTGGGTACAGTGTATACTGCTCAGGTGACAGGTGCACCAAAAATCTCAGAAATCACTGCTAAAGAAATTATCCGTGTAACAAAAAACCACCTGTACATCAAAAACTATTGAAATAAAATTAAAATACACACACACACACACACATTAATGAACATAAAAGAAAGGTTTTTCTATCTTTGGCAATCCTATATGTATATGTGACATCTACCAATATTGAGTTGTGATGCTGAGCCTTTTCTAAACTATTGATAATAAAAGGAAAACTTAAACAACTGAAGTTGAGTGAGATATTTAAAATCTTCTTAATGGAAAATTATTTTTATAAAATTATTATAATCATGCATTGTTTAACAACAGTGATGCATTCTCAGAAATGTGTCATTGGGCAATTTCTTTATTGTGAGGACATCATAGATTATGCTTACACAAACCTAGATGATATCGCCACTATACACCTAGGCTATATGGTGTAGCCTGTTGCTCCTAGGCTGTAAATCTGTACAGCTTGTTACTGTATTGAATACTGTAGGCAATTGTAACAAAATGGTATTTGTATATTTAAACATATCTAAGCCTAGAAAAGATACAGTAAAAATGATATTATAATCTTATGGGATCACCATCATATACGTGGTCCCTGGTTGATTTAAATGTTATGAGATGCTTGACTCTATATGAAGAGGTGATTGAAGTATGAGCAGTCAAAAATGAGAAGAAAATATCATAGATATTTGTCACAAAGTTAATTCGTGAAAATGTTATGCTATTTTCTGAATATTTGTCATGTTTGTGGCATCTGCCAGCTTTTAAAAATTTGTATTTGTTATGATCCTTTTCTGATTTATTTTTGTACCCTAGTTTTATATTTGAAATTTTGTGTTATTTTTCTTAGGGCCTTCAAGATTGTAAAAGGTTTTAGGCCCTACAAAACCTGGATCCATCCTTGATCTGACTTATCTGTAACCAGCTGATACTTTCTGTCCATCAGCTGAATGTGGTTAACTGAGGTACCCAGATTAAAAGCTTAGAGCCAACTTCAGATTCTGGGGAATGACTCTAGCCATGTGATGGCTACTCCCTGGTAGCAGTATGACCCCATTCCTTCTTGTTAATCCTAGATTAGCTACTTACCAGGTAGGACAAGGATTGAAGTGCTTTGGAAAATTTCCTGAAGTCATAAACCCGACTAGTTTAAAAATTGAATCATGCCATATACTGGGGAATCAGTATATACCCTCTGGGACTTCTGTATTGTAACTTGAAGTCTAAAAAATACTTTTAAGTAAGCAGACAAAAAAAAATTCTATTAGGACAAAGTGGGGTTAGGAGAAAAATCTTTATATAAAACCCACAAGAATTTTCAAGATTAGGATTCTAAATATTCTATGAAAGTCTATAACATAATCTAATAGGAGCCTTTATCATACTTACTTTGCTTTGTCCAAAATTAATATATGTAGTTCAGCTTTATTTGGTCAGGGTTAGCATGATATATGTTTTTTCATCTCTACTTTTATTCTATCTGGATCTTCAAAATGAGTTTCCTTTAGACAACATATAGTTGAGTCTTTTTTTAAAAAAAAATCTACTCCGACAATCTCCATCATTTAATTGGTGTATTTGAACATTTGCATTTAAAGGGATTATTGATCTAGTTGAAATAATGTCTACTATATTTGTATGTATTTTCTATTTGTTGTCCTTTTTTTTGCTTCTACTCATTTTCTTCCTTCCTTGATTTTAAGCATTTTACATGATTTCATTTCTTTCCTTTCTTAACATATTATAATTCCTTTTTAAAAAGATATTTTTTAGTGGTTACCCTAGAGTTTGCAATATACATTAATGACCAATCAAAATCCACTTTCAAATAACTATACTCCCTGTAAACCAAAAAGTGATTGAGAGCCGGGCATGGTGGCTCACGCCTGTAATCCCAGCACTTTGGGAGGCTGAGGCAGGTGGATCATGAGATCAGGAGTTCAAGACCAGCCTGGCCAAGATGGTGAAACCCCGTGTCTACTAAAAATCCAAAAAAATTAGCCAGGCCTGGTTGTGGATGCCTGTAATCCCAGCTACTTGGGAAGCTGAGGCAGAGAATTGTTTGAACCTGGGAGGCGGAGGTTGCAGTGAGCCGAGATCGTGCCACTGGACTCCAGTCTGGACAACAGAGGGGGAGACTCGTCTCAAAAAAAAAAAAAAAAAAAAAAAAAAAAAAGTGACTGAGGCAGGTATCTCAATCAATTAGAGGTTTATTTAACCAAGGTTGAGGAAGCCCAGGAAAAAACTCAAATCACAGGAGCATCTGTGATCTATGTTTTTTCCAAAGAGGGTTTTGTGAACTTTTGTATTTAAAGGGAAAAGAGCAAGCAGAAGGGAGACAAAAGGGAGGGGAGTATAGGTTGTGAGGCAGATGGTTACATTCTAGTGAGGCTCTGATGAGCTTCAGTGAATCTACATTTTACATGTGAAAAAAGAAGCTGGTCAATTATGCATTTTCTTGCACTCAGTAAATTTACATTTTATGTAAGATAAAGTAAACATGTGAAACGAGGGAGTAGAGGAAATGAGGCTGTGACATGGGAATGTGAAATTACAGCTACCTGTTTGAAAACAAAAGGGAAATAGTGTTGGCGGCTCAGTTCCCAAGGTTAACTTTCCCTTTGGCATAGTGAGTTTGTGGCCCCAAGATTCTATTTTTCTTTCACATGCCTCACAGATAGTACAAGTACCTTAAAACAGAGTATTCCTAATTTCTTCCTCCTGTCACTTATAACGTTTCTGTCATTCATTTCCCTTACCTATAAGCTATAATCACTGAATAAATGACAGAGCTACCAGAGGTAAAATTCACAAAAGTGTTGGGGACCCCCTGAAACTGGGCACCCTCTGAGTTTTTAATTCTCAAACTATTCAATACTGATCCTCTAGTAATTTGTCAATTATAATTTAAAATCTTCCCACCAATATGGTTTTTGCTGTGCACTTCTCCTCCTGGGCTTCTGATCTGTAAAGTTGTGAATCTCTGTATCTGCCTCTCTATCTTCAGTTTTGGTGATAGCAGTTTTTCTGTGGCCTTAATTCTCTGACAGATCTAATAAGGTTGTTGATTTTCAGTTTGTTCAGAATTTTCCTTGTTGTAAGGATGGGAGTGATGACTTTCAAGTTCTTGGACTTCCAGCCTCTAGAATTGTGAGAAAATAAATTTCTGTTGCTTAAGCCACTCTTCTGTGGCGTTCTGTGATGGCAGACCAAGTAGATTAATAGACTACACCTATTTCAGATAATATACTGGCAATGCAGCAATGAAGAGTTTACTAGCTCAACAGTGACTGACAGATCTTAGAATTAAAATGATTACTTTCTAAAAATTTGCATTGTGTTAGATGCCTACTTTCTTGTAAAGGAGCTCTTTGAAATAATTTTTAAACTTGGGTTAGAAAAAAATGTAAGAAAACATTGCTGTAAACAAAGAAAAAAGAGAGTCTCCAAACTTTTTTTTTTTTTTTTTTTTTATCATATTACCTTGTAGATGAAGGTCCAAAGCTATGCACTAATGTTAACCGAGTAGGCCACAAATAGAAAAATGGTTGAAATTTACATATGAAGATTTGTCAAGATAGAATAAAACAAATGCAGTCACCTATAAACATATATTAAACAGAATCTCTGAAAAAAACATGTGAAGTGCCAGATGAAAAAGCTGAGTGTGATAGCTGTATTGAACAGGAGACAGAGTCAGGTACTGTGATGAGGAGGGGTAGCTCCATAGCTCACTAGTGTTTTTGTCTTTGATAAGCTGTCTAATGCCTCTAGCTTTATTTTCCTTGGAGCACGATGATATAGTAATCCTATCCTGGCCATATTGCAATGTGTTTGGGGGGATTAAGTGATATTGAGAATGTGAACAGGCCTTGGCATCTTATATTACTGGAGAGTGAGTATTGCTGTGAGGATAATGGACGTAATGTAGGAGACAGCTTCTAATCCAGTGCTCAGCCCAAAGTAGGGACACTTTATAAATGGTTCTAGAATAAATGATGACTGTTAAATGGCCTAAACTGAAACTATAATATTCTGGATTCTAATCTTCTGGAGGCTTTAAAGATATGCTCTAGGGTTTTTAGAAATGTAACAGGTATAGTGAATCTAGAACTCTCAGGGTGTAATACATTTTTTTTTTTTACCAACCCTGTCCAATTTACATTTCATCCATGGGTGAGTTATTTTTCTTTGTTCTTAAGAGGGAAATTTGACATATCCTGTAATTTTTCTGCTCATTCTTAGGTAACGTAGTCATAAGATCATGAGTCACAAAGCACTAACTCTGTTCTGTTTGTTTTATTTGTAACTGTTCAGTACTCCGTTCAAGATATTAATAAGTCTTCTTCAATCTTCCATTAAAAGTCCTCTCCTTTCCTTGGATATGTACTTGGGTTGCAGGCTACCTTCAGGGCTGGTTTCTTTTCTCTCACTCACTCACAAGTGAGTGACTTTTACTATTTTGGGCCTCTGGTTTGGGAGATAAGAGACTGAGAGATAAAGGGATAAAGAAGACCTTACTTTAACTGGGCTACTTCAAGCTCTCTGGGCCTAGACAACGGTTAGAACGGACTCTTTCTTGGTACGTCAATGGATTCTTCACAACTTCCAGTTATTGTCAACTCTTGAAACTTAGGTATCGTTACTTTATTTCTCAGGCTGCCACGTGCCTCTAAGCACCTGATTCTCTGGTGGTTTACTTCAGTTGCTGTTCTTTTTGTGTTCTTATTGACTTGGGATAGGATTTTAAAGGGCTATGGCCCAGGTCTCTTTCTCATGAGTCTATATTTGCATCAAAGACACATTCTTGTAACCATTTTGCTCGCAAGACTAAGAAGGTGTAGGGGGATTCCAATGATGTCAGTTTATCCTGCTGCCATAGGATAGCTATTTTAGAGTCATATCAGGATCACATGGAACACATAGAAAGCTCTTCCAAAGCTCCCTCTTGCTGTGATTGGGTGAAATTTTAGCATCTCTCTCACCAGCACTGCATCTCCCCATAGCCCCCACCTTTACTGGGGAGGACTCTGCAGTTCAACAGCTCTTTCTAAGGAAAATCTTACAAATCCTTCTTGTTTCTCTACTTTCTAACTTGGCTTATATCCTTGATCCTTCTGAAAGGTCCAAGATTTATGAAACCATGCCTCAGCTATCTCTTTTAAATTTTCCACATGAGAATCATCCCACATTCACAGTGGTATCTGATACGTCTTATAGTGATGCTTTTGTTGAAACTTCAGTATCACACCCTACTACAAAAACAATAAATTATCTCCATTAAACTATAGATTTAATCCTGAGGGATTAAATCTGTAACTTTTTATAGAATGGGACCCACAAAGATTCCATTGTGAAGAATTACACTTTTAAGAAGATTGGAAAATTAATGCCCTAGTGAAACACTTTGTTCAAGAATGTGTCCATATTTCTAAGTGAATATTCTTTATTTAACAAAATATGAATCTGCTATGTGAATAGCACTGAGGTTATTTTTGGGCAAGTATCACTACTATTGTGACCACTATTAAAGCCTACAGTCAGGTAACCAGAAAGCTATACAGGGAACTCCTTGCCCTTCAGATCTGGGCAAAATATTCTATTTTGTTGGATTCCATGCTTCTCCCCCATTGTCTCCCAACATTTCATTATTTTTAGTAATTTTGTTAAAGATATGCAGGCTGATGACAGGCAGATGGAGGGATTATGTCAGCAAATGTTCAATTTTTTGACATCTCACAGAATCTGCGTCTTCCTCTCTCTTTCTCTTCCCTCCTTCTCCAGAGTAACTAGCAATTTCTTTCCCCCATTTTTCTCAGATCAGTTCTATCCTTAGGCCTTGTTGGAGTTGTATCTTGCACACTCAGCCCTTTTCTAAGCAGATACAGTTCACTTCATAGTGGAAATTTTGGTGCATCTAATTTATCCTTCAAATTATATCAATAATAACCTAATCCACACTTGGAGAACACACTGCAGTTTATAAAACATGTGAATCTACATGGCCTTTTGTTTTTTTTTATTTTCTTAGGGTGCAGATAATATAGGCATTATTATTTGCACCTTATAGACATAGGACTGTTAAAATATTATCTGGATTAGTGGAATTTGTAATAGAGGAGAGAAGACATATAAATTATAAATTATGAAAAAAGATAATTTTAAAAGTATGCATAAATAGTGTAATGTAGTATAGATTAGATAGCAATTACTTTGGATCTGATAAACCAGAGGAGACTTTGGGAAAGAGAAAAACATTTTTTCTGACTACTAAAAAGAGACAGCTTTTTTGTCCACTCAAAAACCTTTTTTGAAGGTTTGACATGATCCCTCCATCTGCCTGTCATCAGCCTGCATATCTTTAACAAAATTACTAAAAATAATGAAATGTTGGGAGAGAGACAATGGGGGAGGGACGTGGAATCCAACATGATAGAATATTTTGCACAGATCTGAAGGGCAAGGAGTTCCCTATATAGCTTCAAAAAAGGTTTCTAGAGAAGAAAATTCTAAGCAGATAGGTTTGTCAGAGTATGTAGGTGAGAAAGCAGGCAACATGTTTAAGAATATGACTGATTTCTAGGGGCTGAACTGCAGAAGGTTAGTTTGTGGCCAGTGGACGAGGGAATGGTTGCAGGGAAATTTAAAGTGCTGTGAACAATTTCCTCTTGTTTTATTTTCTATTTTCAATTAGATAAAAAAAACTGATAGTAAGTACCTATAACCAGATACATGTGAGGATTTGTGTTGGCACAATCAATCATTCATAGGCTCATTCTGTTTAAAAATTAAATCTATAGAAACTAACAGAGCTACATGGAATTGTTTGTAAAAATATTTATTCTCATGGGTGTATTACTCTTATGTTACTGGCAACAATGTTAACAAGATGCAACTACTTTTTGGAATTATCTTATCAAAGGAGGGCATTTCCTATCATTTTAAATAAACATCCTCCCAAAGTTTTATATTGGAAAATCTGAATGCAGGTTCTTTCCTGTTACAGACAATAGTTAGAGGGTGTGTTGTTGATGGCATTAAAAGGTATATTAAGGAATTTGTACTTTATTTGCTGTGCAAAGCAGTATTTAAAGGTTTTGAACAGAGAAGGAAATTGTCTAACCCTACTAGGTATGAGATACATAATCCAGTAGGTTCTTTAGTTTTTATAGATAAGAACATAGAATTTTTAAATCTGTCTACAATCTAGTGGTAGGTGAGAAGATATCTATCTAACATTGTTTCTTTCAAAAATATTATTTAAGCACCTACTATGTGCCCAACACTTTTAGGGTCTGGACAGGCAGAAACCCTGCTGGTGATGGGCCAAGAATGTAATAGAGAGATAAACACCACCACCAAAAAACAAAGAAAAAAATAGTGAACATGATTATTTCAATTATTTATAAAGTGGAAAATTTCATACAAATAAGAACCAGAATAAGAAAATAACTTGTGTGTCAGCGTGGCTACTTAAGATTGGGAGGTAAATTTTGAGCTGAGACCTAAATGCCAGGAAGACACAAATCATGTGGAAATGGGTTGAAGAGATTTCCAGGCATGGAGTAGAATAAGGGGAAGCATCCCAAGGCAGGAGAAAGCTTAGGCTATTAAACAGAAAAATAGCTGAGTAAGCAAGGATGGAATGAGAGGAAGTTATACAGGGAAGCACAGGCCAAGTCCTGGGCAGGCTGGGCCATGGAAATAACTTATTGTATTCTCAGTGTGATACGGGAAGCCATTGAAGGAGATTAATTTAGGAAGTGAGGCAGTCTGATATTTATTTTAACTTTGATTTTTAAATTGACAAAATAGTTGTACATATTTATGAGGGACAGTGATGTTTTCATATATGCAATGTATAGTGATCACATCTGGGTAATTAGCATATCTATTATCTCAAACATTTATCATTTGTGTTGGAAATAATCAATATTCTCCTAGCAATTTATAACTATATATTATTGTTAATTATAGTTATCATATGGTGCTATAAAACGCTAGAACTTATTTCTCCTATGTAGCTATAATTTTGTATCCTTTAACAATATTACCAAGCAGAGCTGACTCATTACCATGGGGATGGCACCAAGCCATTCAGGAGGGATCCAACACCCATGATCCAAACACCTCTCACTAGGCCCACCTCCAACATTGGGGATAATGTTTCAACATGAGATTTGGAAGGGCCACACATCCAAACCATATCATTCCCTTCCCCGGCCCTTCCCAGTCACTAGTATCCTCTGTTCTACTTATTTCTTATTTCTTTTTTTTTTTTTTTTTTGAGACGGAGTCTCGCTGTGTCGCCGGGGCTGGAGTGCAGTGGCGCGATCTCGGCTCACTGCAAGCTTCGCCTCCCGGGTTCACACCATTCTCCTGCCTCAGCCTCCCGAGTAGCTCGGACAACAGGCGCCCACCACCACGCCCGGCTAATTTTTTGTATTTTTAGTGGAGACGGGGTTTCACCGTGTGACCCAGGATGGTCTCTATCTCCTGACCTTGTGATCTGCCCACCTCGGCCTCCCAAAGTGCTGGGATTACAGGCATGAGCCACTGCGCCCGGCTCTGTTCTACTTATTTCTATGAGATCAATGTCTTCAGCTTTGGCATATGACTGGGAACATGTGAAAGATCTCTCTGGCCTCTGTGTGGATAATTCTTTATAAGAAAGTAAAGAGAAACAATATGACCAGTAAGGATGCCATCTTAGTTTCCATGCTGGAGATGATTGGTGCTTGGGATAAGTTATGAGAGCATTTAGTGGCTTGGATTAGGTTGGGTTGGAGTCTCAAGTGGGTAGCAAATTTCTGAGGGAAAGAAAAAAGAACAACATGTCATTTTATCTGTGACAGCAGCATCATGAATCCTAATTATAATGGATTATGTAGACAAAAGATCATTCACATCTCTTTAAGGAGATATACCACCAGAACCAGTTTAGCATTACAAATCTATATAAAGGAATCAGTGATTTAGAAGGCTGTTGCTTAGAAAACACGGGTAGTTAATTTCATAGAGAAATCTTTGTTTTCATTTCCCAATGCTGGACTGCTAGCATAATGATTTCAAATATTCAAGATACATAAATGTATATTTAATTAATTTTTTTTTTTTTGAGACGGAGTCTTGCAATGTCACCCAGGCTAGAGTGCAGTGGGGTGATCTCGGCTCACTGCAATCTCCGCCTCCCGAGTTCAAGGGATTCTCCTGCCTCAGCCTCCCAAGTAGCTAGGGTTACAGGCACCAACCACTACGCCCGGCTAATTTTTTTTTTTTTTTTTTTTTTGTATTTTTAGTAGAGATGGGGTTTCACCATCTTGGCTGGGCTGGTCTTGAACTTCTGACCTGCCTCAGCCTTCCACAGTGCCAGGATTACAGGCGTGAGCCACAGTGCCCAGCTTATTAAAAATTTTAAAAATAAAATTATAATTATATATAATAAAATTATACAGATATGTAAAAAATTAGTACAGAAGAATTTTCAATGAAAAGCAGCAATCTCTTGCTCCAACTGATCTAATCCCAGTCTTATTTCCTGGAATGAACTTTCAATACTCCCTTTTAGTTTTTCTGAATGTGCAAATTCAAAATAGTAAGGTTATGCCATTCTTCTTCTTCTTTTTTTTTTGAGACGGAGTCTCACTCTGTTGCCCAGGCTGGAACGCAGTGGTGCGATCTCTGCTCACTGCAACCTCCGCCTCCCAGGTTCAAGCAATTCTACTGCCTCCGCCTCCTGAGTAGCTGGGACTACAGGTGGCTGCCACTATGCCTGGCTAATTTTTGTATTTTTAGTAGAGATGGGGTTTTGCCATGTTGGCCAGTCTGGTCTCGAACTCCTGAGCTCAAATGATTCTCCCACCTTGGCCTCCCAAAGTGCTGGGATTATAGGCGTAAGCCACTGTGCCCAGCCCTTATACCATTCTTTATTGGTGTATATTTATTGATATATTTACTATAGATGTTGCTCGACTTTCTGCTGGAAACCTAACCTCAACATCAACCCATGTGCTAACCCTAACCTTATAATCTCACTTACATTGCCTGTCTCCCATATAATTACACAAATATTCTGAGTTTAACCAACTTCACTGGTTAACTTTGCAACCGCAAAAAGGTGACTTAAGTCACAATTATTTTCTCCATGGGTTACACCATGGGGTATATTGATAGTCCCTGTTCCCACCACCCATGTAACCTCTGTTACCTCTACTTTTTTTTATTGTCAGGATGAATAACATTCATTTCTTCGCTTTTATTATCTCTCAACAAAAAAGGGATTTAGAAAGTGAATATATAGAAAAGATTTTGAGAAAAATTTGTTTTTGTTTTTTTTTCCTATTTCTATTGCTCGTGCAGCCTGCTCCTTCCATGTTTAGCTTTCTTGTGTTAAAGTAAACCATTTAGTATTTTTTTCTATGAGGTCTACGAGAGTAGCACATTCTTAAACTTTTTCTGAAAATATATTTTTTATGTTTACATTTGAGTGATAGTGTGACTTAGAGTAGAAATCAAGGATAATAATTATTTCTTTTAGCACTTTGAAAATATGATTGCATTGTCTTATCAATGGGGTATCTGTTGCCAATTTGTTGATCCTGTTAGATGATGTGTTTCTGATTTTTAAATCTCTGGTGTGGTAGCAGATCCAGTAAGTTATCTGTGGCTATCTACTATTTTTTCTTAGAATAGAATTAAGCCGGACGTGGTGGCTCATGCCTGTAATCCCAGCACTCTGGGAGGCTGAGACAGGTAGATCCCTTGAGGTCAGGAGATCGAGACCAGCCTGGCCAACATGGCGAAACCCTGTCTCTACTAAAAATACAAAAATTAGCCAATCATGGTGGTGCATGCCTGTAATCCCAGCTACTCAGAAGGCTGAGGGAGGGGAATTGCTTGAACCTAGGAGGTGGAGGTTGCAGTGAGCCGAGACCGTACCACTGCACTACAACCTGGGCAACAGAGTGAGACCCTATCTCAAAAAAAAAAAAAAAAAAAGCTAGCATATGGGTTCACAGATCTCACCTTCACAGTTTGGTTTAACTATGTGGTTAAGTTATACCAAGGTGTATGCGTATGCACCTTCAAGTAAGGGGCTTTAAAAAATGTACATGGACCCTTGCTTCCTACTTCCAGGGATGCCAAGAACTACAGAAGCTATACTGGACCCAGATACCCAACCAGTCCTAGAACACTTACCTACAGAACTATGCTGTCATTATGGTGGCCAATAGTCACATGTGGCCATTGACTACTTAAAATACGACCAGTGCATCCGAGGAACTGAATTTTAAATTTTACTTCACTTTGAATAACTTAAATTTAAATGCTAATATTTGATTTGGGAGTTGAAAACTTTTGAAAATGTTTGTAACAATTTGGGTATGTGAATGTACTTTTTTCACAGTAAATGAAAATATAATGTCCACATTGAGATCTGCTATAAATGTGAAGAATTTAAAGACTTAGCAAAAACATGTAAAATACAGTAATCCCCCCTTTTATCCATGGACGGGGGATATGTTCTAAGACCTACAGTGGATGCCTGAAATTGGAACACATTTCTGTTATATCTTCCACACACAAATGTAATGCCTTTTCCATCTTAAGCTCTTACCATGCACTGTGGTTGTATTTTTTTTTTCCACATAAAGCTTTTTGAGTTTTATTTTTTTCCTCAGGTTGGAGATTCATCTTAACATGCATGCATTTTAAAACACTAACAGTGTCTCGAACTGTTCAAAGCAGATATTAGGTAAGCACAAGGGATTGAAAATTCCTATTTAAAAAATGGAAGTTGCAGTGGGATATTGAAATCACACACATGTGGTGGGGTGGTAGTTTGTCCTGCTTCCCCAAAAGCTGGGTTTAAACTTCATTAACATTTTTTGATTATGACGATCTGACCTGATACTGGGGTGTGCCGAGCAGCACTAGAGCTCCCCCAGACGGTGTTGGCTCCCGTCACCTCGCAAAGTGGCTTTGAGCAAGGGTAAGGGGCTCCTGTGGAAGCTTCCACCCTGGCCTCTGCCGGGGATCTCGACACAAGCTGCTGAGTCTCCTCTTTCCCATGGGGAACATTCTAGAGGAGGGCGAGGGCCAAATCACTACCCCCTGCAGATGGCTAGTAGACTTGGGGACAGCTGTCTAAATATGTTTTCCCTTTGAGGACCCCCTGCCCACATGACTGCCAGAAAGAGGTGAGGCTTCCAGACTTGGGGTGGCCACAGGTTTAAGGTCAGAGCTCTGAAGGTTGTTAAAACACATTGTCCCTTCCGGCTCCAAACACCTGAGTAGCTCAAATGCTGGAGTGCTGCAGTTTTCTCTCTCCCACCCTGAATTGGTAAAAAGACAGCTGAAGGGGTAGGATTGCCTACTGAGTAAAGGCCTGTGTCTTTGGTCCACCTCCGCATGGTATGCCCTGGGAGACCATGAAGATGGGAAAGTCACAGGGCAGGGTTCTAGCCTAATGCCCTGAGCACTGCCAGGAGATCAGTTTGAGGCCTAAAGCACAGGCAAGAGAAAAGAGTGAAGCAGGGAGAGCGGACGAACAGCCTGTGGTGGGAACTTAGAGACTACCACTGACAACACTGTGGCTGTAATTTCTGCAGTTTGAGGTGGGCCAGCAAAACTAGCAGAGATTTCTTTTTCCTTCTTCACGATTTCATATATAGAAGGTTTGTTCTTACCGTAGATCTTAGCAACCTCAGTGTACGATTTTTTCTTTTCCTATTAAGTGAAGATCTTTCATGTTTTCATTTAAAAGAAGTACTTCGGGCAGGCATGGTGGCTCACGCCTGTGATCCCATAACTTTGGGAGGCCGAGGCGGGCGGATCACGAGGTCAAGAGATTGAGACCATCCTGGCCAACATGGTGAAACCCCGTCTCTGCTAAAAATACAAAAATTAGCTGGGTGTGGTGGCACATGCCTGTAGTCCCAGCTACTCAGGAGGCTGAGTCAGGAGAATCGCTTGAACCTGGGAGGGGGAGGTTGCAGTGAGCTGAGATCGTGCCACTGCACTCCAGCCTGGTGACAGAGTGAGACTCTGTCCCCGCACCACACCCCCCTGCAAAAAAAAGTACTTCACAGCTTCTCTTCTGGCAGGTCCACATAGCCAGCAAAACTACTCTTGTGCTTTAGGGCCATTATGAAGTAAAACTAAGAGTGACTGTGAGAACTGAAACCATGGAAAGTGAAACTGTAAATAAGGGAGGACTACTGTATCTAATTATTTTTGTGTTGATTATACATTGAACTAAACTGATATTTTAGATATACTGCATTAAAGAAAGTAAAATATTAACATTAACTTTTTTACTGTGGCTGCTAGAATTTTTAGAATTATATATGTGGCTTGCTTTATACTTCTATTGGATTGAGGTGCTTTCGATTATTACATGAGAAAAGAAAATGAATTTCAATCATTTTGAAAGCATTGTATTTCATTTTACTTTGTAGCTAAACATATATATACCAAAACAAATACCGCTGTTTTTACAATTTTTTTCTTTGTGTTTGATGTTCTATTGTTTCACTATGGTATGGCTAGGTATAGATTTACTTTGACTTATTCTGCAGAGGATTTGGTGTGCTTTTCTAATGTCTTAAATGCTGAAAAATCTATCTTTAGTCCTTTTAATGATTCTTCCTTTTTCTCTATTCTTCCCCCATTAGGAATGCTTATTTGATGTGTGTTGTGCCTTTTCTTTCTAGCCTACATATAACTTTTTCCTTTTCTATGTGCTGAATTAATGTATTTTCTCAGATTTTTCTTTTAATTCATTAATTTTATTTTTGTTTGTACTGTTAAATCCACCCGTAATATTTCAATTTCCCTCATTGTACTGTTTATTTATGGCATTCTTTTTAATCTTTAGAAAAATCTGCCAGTTTTTTTCATATACTTGTCCTATACTTTCCTGTTTCTATTTCTTCTTTGTCTCTTTAAGCATTTTAAACATACTAATTTCAAAGCCTCTCTCATATTGCATTACTATTTCTAGTTTTAGACTGTACATTTTCCTGTCTACTTGCATTTCCTAATGGTTCTTTAGTGTACTTCATTTCCTCACGCAATTTATCAAGTTTGGCTATGAATCCATTTTCAGCGATGGCCGTTTTCCATGAAAGTCCTTGCTACAAGTCTTGTTTGTAGAAGCATTCTTACAGTGTGATTTTGTACCGGTCTCTGATAAATTCTGAATCCATTTTTCATGCAAATTCCTTGGCTTGGAATTCACGTGTCCTTGGAGCGTATGAATTCAGATCTTATCCCTGCAAATGGCATTGGCCTGTATTCAGACTTTTTAAAAACGTGGACCTGAATGGATGGGAGCCTTCCTTGTCAAATCCCAGGGTGTCATGTGGGGTTCTTCTAGACCATATTTACAGCTGGGAGAAGGCTTTGTGACTCCTGGCCTTATGCAGGAATCATGTCTCTGGATTCCTATGCTCTTGAGGGCAGTGGACTGGATTCCCCTCTCTGCAGGGAACAGACAGTATCCCATTCCCTAGTTTTTAAAACCCACTGTGATTTCCACAATACTGTGAGGTATTTTGCTTTCAGTCCACAGTAGCTACTCTGTGATTTCAGCCTCCTTTTATTTCTATCACCTGAGAATTTTCTATTCTTGGTGCCAAGTTTAGTTATGGTTTCGAAAACTTAAATGTTATATTTTATTCAATTTTTCTCAATTCGTTTGAAGTGGTGTTGTGTGTATATTTTTCCATCAACCTAATACGCCATTCCAGAAATATTTTGGTTGATGATATTTATGTTACCAAACCAAACTGGATCTCTTTGTCCATGGGCAATGCCAAACACCAAGTGCTGGGTTTTTGCGGTAAGAAAGGTTTCGTGCAAGTCAACGGGCAAAGAGACAGGAGGAAATCTGTCTCCTTGAACTGGGGGCTGGGTTGGGTTTTATAAGCATAGGGTAATGAGGATGATCTGATTGGATCTTGCAGTGAGGTGAAGTGAAGGAGTGTTATCTAATTGGATCCTGCCATGGGGTGATGCCAGAGCTCAATCTTATTGGATCCTGAATCCTGTCATGCAAAGTCCACTTCTTAATTCAGTCTGTGCTTCTCTGCCCAAGCACTTAGGTTCTTGCTGTGGTTGCAAGCTTTGTTCATCTGGGCATGCTTAGGTTATGTGACCTTCAGTCTGAGGGTCTGTGGCAGCTGAAAAACAACTCACAACTCTGTTACATAAAAGTTCAACCAGATTGGCCTGGTGTGGCTACAGTTACTCTTTCTAGTTTACAATGAAGTCTTCGATGTTTTTGTTGGTTAATCATGAAAGTTGAAAATTAATAAACAGAGCTGATATTATTACAGCTACATAGAGAAAGTTTACTTCAGAGCCATCTGATAAAATAGAATTTATTTTTGGGTGTAATATAATTGCCACTATGTCACTCAAAGGATAATTATTCTATCATCACATTAAAATACAGACAGGTATTGCCATAGGTTCTAGTCTTTGCTCATGAGACAATGTAGACGGACAACTCATAGGGTTCTCATGTTTCTGAACATCTCAAGAGCAGAGGCACTGACTCTCCCTTTTTCTCTGGATTATCTTTTCCAGATTGTATAGTAATCAGTCATGGAAGAAAGAGACAGTATCTTTTTTTCTGGAGCAAACAATAGGCATTCTTACTGCCCATTATAAAAGATTTGGGTTCTCTAAGCTCAGATTTCCGCTCTTGGAATGCAAACCACTCCTGGTGCAGGCATCTGTCTGGGCCCCTTGATGTCACCCTTATGGGACTTGGGAGCAATGGGCTCTGACATAAATATGCTGATGCACATTGTATTAGTCCATGTTCACACTGCTATAAAGAAATATCCAAGACTGGGTAATTTATAAAGGAAAGAGGTTTAATTGATTCACAGTTCCACATGGCTGGAGAGGTCTCAGGAAACTTACAATCATGGCAGAAGGGGAGGCAGGCACCTTCTTCACAAGGCATCAGGAGGCAGAGCATGTGAAGGAGGAACTGCCAAACACTTATAAAACCATCAGATCTGGTGAGAACTCACTCACTATCATGAGAACAGCATGGGGGAAACCGCCCCCATAATCCAGTCACCTCCCTGCTTCGACATGTGGGATTACAATTTAAGATGAGATTGGGTGGGAACACAGAGCCAAAACATATCACACATGCTGCATGCTTTGCGATGAGTGATAAACTTCTTTATCTCTGACCAGCAGTCTTATATTTTCTTCCTGCATTCATGCATCTGTGGCATGCTGACATGTTAGTTTACAAGTTGGGTAAAATCTCAGACACTTTGTAGTTCTTGACAGAGATTTACAAGAGGTTACACTAGAAAGCTTCTGGAAACAACTTGACCTTTGTTTTTTAAAGGAACAACTTTTGACATAACTTTTTGCTTTCCTCCTCCCCTTGCACATGGTAGTAAATAAAGCCTGGAGTTATGTTAACTATCTTGAGGTCATTAGGTAAAGATGAATTCTGATGTCATTGAACCATTTAACAAATGTCAGTACCTTACCACCTTAATACTTTTTGATAATGTTAAGACAAAAGAAAAACAAATGAGCATAAACCAACACAAATCCCCAAACCCACGAAAATAAAACTGTTTAAGCCACTGTTAGCCAGGTCTTATATTTCTTTGACAAATGCCTTCAATACCATTGCCATTGGTCATTTCTCCAAGAAATCAATGTTTATTCTGTATAAGACATTATGCTAAGCACTACAGAGGATAAGAAATGTTAGCTATTATCTTGCCCTTGAGGAAGATAGAGCTTTTTTGAGAAAATGGTAATTAGCAAAACAAGGCAGTGATATAAATTTTTCAAGAGTGAAACAGGTAACAGGAGCTGTTGGAACTGAAGGGAAGGAGGAATGGCTGAACTTTACATGCTTGGAGGGCTGCCAAAACCATAGAGTGTGGGGAAGCCATTTCCTCATCTGGAAGATGAGAAAGCCAGCTACAATCAGATGTTTTTGAACTGTAATTTTAGCAGCAGAACTATTTTTGTAAATGAAATTTTACAGAGACCTTTAATCTATGAAACAGGTGAAAGCACAGATTCTTTGAAGTTTAAACCTGGAGTCAGCTCACTTGATCTTCCCTCACCAGTCTGTCTCTCCATTGCTCATTGCTCCCCACCCTTCCGAAGTTTATAATGCATCTCTCTGAAACCCCAAAGATCACAGGATACAATTTGAAAATGATCAGGCATGATGATTGAAGAGAATTACAGAGCTAAAAGAAATGCATTCTACAAGGATCAGTCATATCCATTGAGTTTCAGTTGGGTAGTTCTGCTGACCCCATCAGCACAGTGCAAGACTCCAGCCAGGTCTTTATCCCTTGTTAACTTGGCTGGCCACGTAGTTACAGACAGCAGCCTAAGAAGAACTAGTAGCTTTGTAGACATCTGCTATTTGATCATAGCGTGGGGGATGAGTGAGGTCAGAAGATGTGAATGAATCAGTTCAAAATCCATCATCACTAACTAGAAAAACAACTTGCAGCTCATTCCTCACTGACTGCGGGTTGGTGACATCTCTCTACTTAGTAAGGGTGACAAGCATCTATTTGGAAATCAGTGTTTCGCACATCATGAAAGAAAAAATGCTTTTTGGATTAGCTCCCCCCTCAACTGCACCCCCACTATACCCAGAGGGAGAGGCTTTTGTGGTCATTAGCTTTTTCTGTGTTAAAGCTGCTTGGTCTGACTGGGCCATTTGATTTCAGGTTTATCCTAAAGCCACAAAAATCGAGTTGCTGGGTATTTACTTGGGATTAATGACCAGTTAAGAGCAGCTGTGCTTTATATCATTAACCCGACCCAGGTGCTAATTCCTGGAACATGCCCTGTAAGCAGGGGCCATTATTGCTATTTGAAGCTGCAAATGCTGCCTTAGAGACTACAGACTTTATTTGAAGAGGAAGCCATTTTGATTGGTCAACACGTCATATTTCTGGAGAATTAATGCTCTGTGTATAAGCCAATCTGATTGCCTGGAAACATCTCCCTGTACTTGTGCTGTTCAGCTGATAATCCACTTCTAGACACAGGGCAGCCGGCTGGAAACGGCAGCAGGTTCTATTTTTGGTACCTAAAATCAATGCCCCACTCTGGCAGCCTGGGCGGCTGCCTCATTATCCCCCCTGCCCGGTGCAATGAGCACAGCTTCCCTTTGTGGGAGATTAAAGCAAGTCAGGGAGTGTGATAAATGCTTTTAGTCATATCTGCTGTCATTTGAATAATACTAGGTGTCAGGAAGAAATACGTCCCTAGCGGATTTTAACCAACCAAACTCTTTTGATATTCTCTTTTTCCTTAGTGCAATAAGAAACAGCAACTTAGAAAACTGTAACCCTCCCCTCACCACCACCCCCAGAAAAAAACAAAACCAAAACAAAAAACAGCAAAACCTGTTTATATTTGTAGGCTAGGTTGGATAATCTTTCTGTAAAGACTTTTTTCATTTATCCAGTGATAGCCAGGGAGTGACTATTGGGTTGAGCAGGGACATTTCCTTTGTTTACCAGAAGAGAAAATGGCTCAGTTCTGCCAGAATCTTCCAGCCCTCTGGAACCTCAGATCACTTTTTCTAGCTAAATCCCTATCTATATGCATTTAAGTTGGCTTTATTGAGTATGCTTATTCATGCTTCAGTTTTCCTACAGGTAAAATAGAAGAAAGATAAAGGTGTGATGAAAGGTATAATTGGTTGGAGTCCAGTGTAGGGCATGAGTCCTGGCTCCTCCCTACTCTCGGCAGGCTGGGATGCGAATGCTGGCTTCTTGTGTGGCCAAAACCATCACAGGCAATGCTGAGGCCAGTGATGTTGGTCCTCAGCACCTCCCAGGTTCCCCATTTTGAGTCTATTTGCTGCACAGGTGGGTTCCCTTCCATTCATCCCTTCAGTTAAACAAGGGTCCTCAGATCCTCTCTCCTTATGCCCTGTTGAGATCAGCTCTCAGGAGGGAATCTGATGGATTGTTCATGATATAATATTGACAGCAGGAATCTTCTAGGATAGTGGAAGACTGTTACACCTTGAACGCTGATTGGGCCTATCTCTCTGGTTGTGTAAAATCTGTGAATGACTCCCAGAGACACTAGTATCAGGCATTCTTGGATTCCAAGAATGCCTAAGCACTCTCTACAGTGTGCTAGTAAACTGGCTCTGATTTGTAGCTGTTGCTGATTTCAGTGGCAGAACAATTCCCATGACTACTGATTTCAGGGTACTAACATAAAGTCACTGATCACCAAGCTGGAAAGAGATGTTCACGGTTTGCTGCTGTGAGCCACTATGAGTCTTTCCCTAGCCTTTTTAGGGAATTTGTCCAGTATGTTTTTTGCATTTGTTTTTTCATGGTTAACTTTACTGACTATAAGATAGGGTAGTGATAGGGTTTAGATGGAGAACCTTAGCTTGGAATCCTGGATTTCTCTGTTACTTACTGTGATTTTGGACAATGTAATATCATTGAGCCTTTTTGTCCTTGACTACAAAATAAGAATAATACATAACTCTCAGAGGTGTTCAGAAATGAAATATATAAAATATTTGAGAAAAGCCAGCACTTAATAGTGGCTCAACAAATGTTTTAGAACCAAGTAAATTATTTCACATGTCAGAAAATGGTAAGTGTTATAAGCAAATACTTTAGTAATGTGATGTCTATCATTGTTTTCTTCTGTTTATTCTTAGTTTTAAAAAGAAATGAGAAACAGCAGCCCCAAGGACACATGTGAAATTGTCCATTGCTTTTACATAAGGAGGTGGGATTATTTCTCTGTTTTTTTCTTTTCCTGTACCTCTTCTGGTCCTTAGTGAATCCTTCCTGGAGAACTTAGTCAAGAACAAACATCTTCCCTTTGAGGATGGTAATTAACATGATATATAAGATTATTTTGCCCTCTTCTTGCCTAAAAGAAACTCAGCATCATGGTTTCAGCAATTGCTGTATGTGGTTTTCAAAAATATCTAGTATCTCTATGAAAAGGTTTTGCATTTTAATAAGGATCAGGATTTTGAGTCAAGAGAATGGATATAATAGCTAACATCTTTTCATGTTTACTACATGCTAGAGACTTCACTAAGCCTTTATAAAAGGATTATCTCATTTAGTCTTCACAACAACCTATGAGATGGGCACTATTACTTCACTTTACAAATAAGAAATCTGAGACTTAGGAATGTAAATAATTTGTTCAAGATCACAGAAGTGTAGTGGTTTATCTGTAATTATGGGATTTTAAGCATCAGTGAATTTGTATGTGAGGTAAATTGGGGAAAGAGGAATCTCTGTAGGGCAGTAACAATCATGCCTCATGGGCAGTCTGCTTGGCTAACTCTATTAATACTTGACCACAATAAGTTCTTTGAGGGCAGGGAGCTTGTTCTATTCATCCCAATATGTTCTCATCACTGCCTGGCATGGTGCTTTGCACAAAGTGAGTCCTTAGTAAAGGACAGTTGAACTGAATCTTTAATTTACTGACTAAATTTTTATAAAACATTTCTGTGATAGATACTTTTCTAGGCACAAGAGGTAGAGTGGTAGAAAAACAAAAGACAGAAAAAAATGTGTTGTTTACATGAAGTTTATATTCTATTAGGAGGAGCCTAATACAAAATATAATTAAATTATTTCACACGTTAGAAAATGGTAAGTGCTATAAGAAAACAAGGCAGGATAAAGAAGAAGAAAAATTGAGTGAAGGGAGTTCAATAAAACGATGGCATTTGAATAGACACTTGAAAGAGTGAAGGTGGTAACCATTACGGTTATGTTCCAGGCAGAGAGAAGGCCCTGAGGTGGAATGGAAGCATGCCTAACCTGTTCTGGAAAAGCAAGGAGGGTCCCCATGGCTGGAGCAGAATAAGCAAGTGAGAACGTAGGAGGCGATGAGGTCAGAGAGTTTGGGGATGTGCATCACACAGGACCTCTCTAACTTTTACTCTGATGAAATGGAAAGCCCCTGGAGGGCTTTGAGGCTCAGTTTTTTGAAGGTTTCAGAGTGTTAATAATCTGACTTACATTTTAAAAGGATTACTATGACTGAGCTCAGACTGTAGAGTAAAAAAGGCTGGAAGCAGAAAGATCAATTAGGAGGGCATTGCAATAATCCACACAAGTCATGATGGTGGCTGGAGCCAGGAAAGTAGCAGGAGAACCAACAGGATTTGAAGGAGGAGAGTCAAAGATGATGCCCAGCAACTGGAAGGTTGGGACTACTATAACCTGAGCTGGGGAAGACTGCTAAGAGAGCAGGTTTTGGGGAGAAGATCAGGATTTCAATTCTAGACATGTTAAATTTGAGATGTTGATTAGGCCTGTGTCTAGTAGGCAGCTGGATATGGGAACATGGATTTCAGAGGAGAGGATTGGGCTGGAGATTTTTATAATAATTGGGAATGATCAGCCTCTCGGTAGAACTCAAAAATGTCATCCAAAAGACCACCAGAATAGCTAAAAGATAAAAAGGACAGCTTTACTGGGAATATCAGTTCACAAACTGAAAAGAGTCTCTGGTGTGAATCAAAGGTGTTCTTTCTTTGAAGAGGAGAAGGGCCAGTTGGGTTTTATGCCTCACAGGGTCTGCTTTACAAAATAGAGTCCTACATATTCAGCAGATTTGGTGGAGAAGCTATATATATTTATGAGGGGAGGTGAGTTACGTGGAATGGATAAACATGTAACATACATCTCATGGCAATTTGGGGGTAGGTACTTAGCATTAAAATGAAGTGGAATTGGGCTCCTTATGTCAAAAGGTGAACTATAGGACACAAAACGATTTGTGTGCAACCTCTAAAAGCTGGCTGAAATCAGCTTAAGGTCTGCAGTTGCTTATTAAAAAAGAATCTAAGGTCAGTCCTCTGTCCAGCAGAGTTGTAGCGGTCTGGGTTGTAAACCAGAGTTAGGAAGGGTCTGATAATTTTCCTGATAGCTCCTATCGTTAGGGAGTTTAGCAAGAGTGCAGTTTTTCTTGTAGCTGTAGGAATTTGGAAATTTTCTATGCCAGCCAGACCGTGAACCCTCAACCTATAGGTACCTTTTGTTTCCTTAACCTTAGGGTTCTTCTTAGTTGATTAAGGGGCATCTACTTTTGTCTCTCAGATGATAAAACTGAGAGACCAGAAGAGGATATCAAGAAGAGAAAGAGTTCAAGGACTAAACCTTTAAGGCCTGAAGTCAGAAAAAAAGAATAAAAATTAACAAAAATATTAATGAAGTATGGTTACAGTTTGGAGAAAAATCAGAACATAGGGCCCTAGAGGAAAAGTAAAAAAAAAAAAAATTATGTATCTAAGAGAAAGTAAAGAATGACAGTTAGAAGCTGCTGGTAGGTTAAGTAAGATGAGAATAATGGACCCAGAATTTCACAGTACGACGTCTCTGGTGACCTTGACAAGAGCAGTTTCAGTGGAGCTTTGGTGGCAAAAGCCTAAATGAAATGAGTTTTGGGACGGTTGGGTGAGATAAATGAAAGATACTGAACAGAGGTAACTCTTTCAAAGAGTTTTAATATAACAGGCAGCAGAGAAATGGGGCAGCATCTGGAGGGGGAAGAGGAACTAAGAAGAGGTTTATTATCATTATTATAATCTCTTAAGTTGGAGAAGTAATAACATGCTTTATGCTGACAGGAAAAACCAGTAGAGATGAAAAATGGGAGATGTAAGACAGATGCAGTTTAAACGTCATTGTGTAGGAGGGGGGAATGGGATCTTGTGCAAATATGGAGAAGGTGGTTCATAAATAGTTAGAGGAGGGAGGTCCAAGTGTATCTGTACTGACTCTTTTAGCCTTCTTTGGCCAAAGATGGCTCAAATTTTTTTTGTTTTTGGTAATATGTATATTCTCTGTAATGGGGGTGTGTTTGTGTGTGTGTGTGTGTGTGTGTGTAAATTATAGCTGTGAGGTATGCATGCATATATGTTTGACATGTGTACATATATGTGTATTACAAACATTTGTACAGTACAAAGATTGTTAATTTGGGATATATACACACATATATGCACACATACATACATATTTTGTGATATACATATATAGGTGTATATACATATACATGCATATGTAGTCTTATTTTCTGTAAGGTGGAAAACAAGAACAAATAAATGAATTCTTCTTCTGAGAGATTTCCAAACTCCATAGCACTATAAGGCCACTTAAAAATTTCTGACTTTTTAAAGGCATATTGTTAAAGCTCAATTAGTCTTTTTTTAAAAATTTCCTTCTGGTATTAAATTAACATGAAAGAGCAGTTAAGTATATTTAGGACACTTTATTTAAAGTGTTTTCCAATCAGGAAACAATAAATATTTTTTTAAAGAGTGAATCTTTGAAGCGAGTCAGCTGCTGCTTCTCCCTCCCATAATTGAAGTGAGGGAGAATTATATGGAAAGAGTCCAGGACGCTCTTTGGTCCAGACAAAGCTGTGGTGATTAGGAGAATGAATTGCAAATGAGGAAGACAATAGGGAAGAAGGTTCTTTTATGAAGGGAGAGAGGATGGGTGTTGCAGAAAGGACACTTAATAATGACAATCCAGGCTCAGAAAGCACTTGGGGTTGTGAATAATTCAGCAGCCATTAGAGAAAAGGAAACCTTTGGAGAATGTCAATCTGTGGACACCAAATTGTACAGTATGGGTGCAACATCTGTGCCCTCCCAGATGGGCCCTGCTGCTGATGGGTAGACAATAATAAATGCAACCAGTTTATCGAGTACTCTCAAGAAAAATACAAACATGAAATGGCTTTATTTCTCTATGGTTATAGCTCCTAACCATGCTATGCCAAATCTCCCTTCCCCATTGAGAGCAAATCCCTTAATTCATTTTAGGAAGATTCCATAATTTTACAGATATTTTCAGTTATTAAAACACCAGTTTAAAATTTAATCTCATATATCATCCCAAGCTTTCCTTGCTATCATATGTCAGGCTTATAGCCAGGGAGATGGGAGGTGTAGGGGCAGGCTATTCCAATACTATACCAAGATGGGGGCTTCTGGTGGTGCAGGAGCATGTACCACCAGCAAGTCCCATGATTGTGGGCACACCTCATAACCTCCTTCACGGTAAAGTGGCTCCTTTGGTTAAACATTACATTGGTGTGGGGTTCTATGCCTATAAATCAGGCACTCTATTGGTCCTTGGATGATGATGCTGGCTGAGGCAAATTCATACCCAGAATAAGTATCTATTTTCATGGGAATGTATCACTGACTCTTCTGGGCTGAAAGGCACCCATTGTAGCCAACTTGCCACCATGTGGCCAGTTGATCTCCTCAAGGAATAGTGCCAGTCTCAGCTTTGGTCTCTGTTGCTTGTAGGTTGGACATTCAGAGGTGACAATGGCCAGATCAACCTTGGTAAGTGGGAGTCCATGGTGTTTGTTCCACGCAAAGTTCTGTCTCTGCCACTTTGTTCGTTTGCCTCTTTTTCCAGTGCTTGAGGGTGGCAGCTGACAAAGGCTGACTGATATCAACTGACTGATTCATTTCATCTGGTTGGAAATTTACTGCCTTTTCTGTGGTAGATGCCTTCTGATGGGTCTTAATGAGAAATGGGTGGCATCACATTTAGTATTTGTGCCTATATTGCCTTCTACATGCTTCTATCAGAAATCTTTATTCCCCCAGTCTTTTACCTTCTTGGCCTTGACATGAGTATATATATATATATGCACGCACATATGTATGTATATGTGTGTGTATATATGTATGTGTATAAATATGTATATGGTGTGTGTCTGTATGTGTGTGTCTATATATCCCTCAGGCCTTTTCTTTTTTCATGCAAAATATTTGATCAGTGCACTACCCAAACCACCCTTTGGGAAGATATTCTGTCCACCGACTTCCAAGGCTACCTTTGAGTGAGACAGTAAGGCAGCTCTTATCCATTTTTGGCTTCTACCTTCCTAGCAAGTCTTTCCAACCATAATCCAGACTTGGGCTTTTTCTTCCTTCCTTAGGTCATCTTACAGGACTTCCCATGGCCATCTGTGTAAGCTGAGAGAGAGATGGTGGTGTAACCATGATGGATAACATGGTACTCCCTGCTCATACAGCTTGCCCGTGTCCTCTGTTCCCAATAAAGCTCCCTTTGAACTGCCTTTGGACCAGCTTGACTTCATTACTTAGTGGGTGAGACAGGACCCAGCTTATGATGGGGAGCTCTGCATGCCCATTTACTGGGTGTTTTAAGTATTCCATCTCTACCAGAGCCAAGGAGCATGTCAAGAGCTGTTTTTTGTTTTGTTTTTTTTTCCCCAACACATAATTTTCCACAGCAGAAGTCAAGGCTTTGTACCAGAAACCCAGATTCTGCTTTGTGATTCTCCCCCTGGGCTTGCCATAAATACATCTTTTTTCCATCCTTGGCACCTCACACACCAGAGGGTTTGTGAGAACCTATTCTCCACATGGCAGGGCTATTTACACGGCAACCCGAACCTGATGATGACAACTTTCCTGCTTCAGGCTCCACTTACATTCAGCAGTTTCCATGACTCCCAATGTTTGATCTGGAACAGTATTGTTAGGTGTGCAGTGTGTTGCCTCCAAAACTTACCAGAGGCCTAGCAGGTGTGTGCTTCACTCTGTAATGGTAGATATAGAAATAGAGATAGAAAAGCTGCAGTGAATAGTCTTTTCTTTTTGCTTTTTTAATATACCACCTTGTTGAGGTATGTTTGATGTATAAGAAGTTGTACATATGTAATTTATACAATTTGAGTTTGGAGATAAGCTTATACCCATGTAACCATCACCACAATCTGTGCCATAAGCCTATTCATCACCTCTGAAAGTTCCCCTGGCCTTCCTTTTTTTTTTTATTATACTTTAAGTTTTAGGGTACATGTGCACAACGTGCAGGTTAGTTACATATGTATACATGTGCCATGTTGGTGTGCTGCACCCATTAACTTGTCATTTAACATTAGGTATATCTCCTAATGCTATCCCTCCCCTGTCCCCCCACCCCACAACAGGCCGCAGTGTGTGACGTTCCCCTTCCTGTGTCCATGTGTTCTCATTGATCAATTCCCACCTATGAGCGAGAACATGCGGTGTTTGGTTTTTTGTCCTTGCGATAGTTTGCTGAGAATGATGGCTTCCAGCTTCATCCATGTCCCTACAGAGGACATGAACTCATCCTTTTTTATGGCTGCATAGTATTCCATGGTGTATATGTGCCACATTTTCTTAATCCAGTCTATCATTGTTGGACATTTGGCTTGGTTCCAAGTCTTTGCTATTGTGAATAGTGCTGCAATAAATATACGTGTGCATGTGTCTTTATAGCAGCATGATTTATAATCCTTTGGGTATATACCCAGTAATGGGATGGCTGGGTCAAATGGTATTTCTAGTTCTAGATCCCTGAGGAATCGCCACACCGACTTCCACAATGTTTGAACTAGTTTACAGTCCCACCAACAGTGTAAAAGTGTTCCTATTTCTCCACATCCTCTCCAGCACCTGTTGTTTCCTGACTTTTTAATGATCGCCATTCTAACTGGTGTGAGATGGTATCTCATTGTGGTTTTGATTTGCATTTCTCTGATGGCCAGTCGTGATGAGCATTTTTTCATGTGCCTTTTGGCTGCATAAATGTCTTCTTTCGAGAAGTGTCTGTTCATATCCTTCACCCACTTTTTGATGGGGTTGTTTGTTTTTTTCTTGTAAATTTGTTTAAGTTGATTGTAGATTCTGGATATTAGCCCTTTGTCAGATGAGTAGGTTGCAAAAATTTTCTCCCATTCTGTAGGTTGCCTGTTCACTCTGATGGTAGTTTCTTTTGCTGTGCAGATGTGCAGAAGCTCTTTAGTTTAATTCAATCCCATTTGTCAATTTTGGCTTTTGTTGCCATTGCTTTTGGTGTTTTAGACATTGATAGACTGCTAGCAAGACTAATAAAGAAGAAAAGAGAGAAGAATCAAATAGACAATAAAAAATGATAAAGGGGATATCACCACTGATCCCACAGAAATACAAACTATCATCAGAGAATACTATAAACACCTCTACGCAAATAAACTAGAAAATTCAGAAGAAACAGATAAATTCCTCGACACATACACCCTCCCAAGACTAAACCAGGAAGAAGTTGAATCTCTGAATAGACCAATAACAGGCTCTGAAATTGAGGCAATAATTAATAGCTTACCAACCAAAAAAAGTCCAGGACCAGATGGATTCACAGCCGAATTCTACCAGAGGTACAAGGAGGAGCTGGTACCATTCCTTCTGAAACTATTCCAATCAATAGAAAAAGTTTCAGCCAGGCTGGTCTCTAACTCCTGACCTCAAGTGATCTACCTGCCTTAGCTTCCAAAAGTGCTGGGATTACAGGCATGAACCACCATGCCTGGCCAGCTTTTGGCAAATTCTAATGTACTTTATGTCTCTATTAATTTGATTATTCTGCATATAGAAGCAGAATCACAAAATGTCCTTTTATGTCTGGCTTATTTCATTTAGCATGATGTTTAAAAGTTTCATCCATGTTGTAGCACATGTCAGGACTCCATTTTTTAAACGGCTGGATAACCTATTGTATGCATGTACCTTATTTTGTTTATCCATTCATCAGTTGATGGATTTTGGGGATGTTTTCACCTTTTGTTTGTTGTGAATAATGTTCTAAAGAACACTGAAATACAATTATCTGTTTGAGTCCCTGTTTTCATTTTTTGGGGGGTATATATCTAGGAATGGAATTGCTGAATTTTATGGTAATTCTTTTTAACTTTTTGAGGAACTGCCAAATCAGTGCTAATTCTTTTTTTTTTTTTTTTTTAGATGGAGTCTTGTTCTGTCACCAGGCTGGAGTGCAGTGGTGCGATCTCAGCTCACTACAACCTCCACCTCCTGGGTTCAAGTGAATCCCCTGCCTCAGCCTCCCTAGTAGCTGGGACTACAGGCACACACCACCACACCTGGCTAATTTTTTGTATTTTTTAGTAGAGACGGGGTTTCACCATGTTGGCCAGGATGGTCTCAATCTCTTGACCTCATGATCTGCCCACCCCACCCTCCCAAAGTTCTGGGATTACAGGCCTGAGCCACTGCACCTGGCTGCTAGTTCTTAAGAGGGAGGTATGAGACGTATGTATAGACTAAGTGAAAGGAAAATATCTTGGGCCCCCAAAATCACTAAGCTAAAAGGAAAATTCAAGCTGGAAACTGCTCAGAGCAAACCTGCTTCCCATTCTATTCAAAGTCATCCCTCTGCTCACTGAGGTAAATGCATATTCTGATTGGCTCCTTTGTAAAAGCTAATTAGAAACTCAAAAGAATGCAACTATTTGTCTCTCACCTACTTGTGACCTGGAAGACCCCTCCCTGCTTCAAGTTCTCCCCACCTTTTTGGACAAAACCAGTGTACTTCTTACTGTATTGATTAATGTCTTGTGTCTCCCTAAAGTGTATAAAACCAAGTTGTGCCCTGACCACCTTGGGCACAGGTCATCAGGACTTCCTGAGGCTGTGTCATGGGCATGCGTCCTCACCCTTGGCAAAATAAACCTTCTAAATTAAATGAGACCTCTCTCAGATTTTCTGGGTTTACAACTATGAATGTTCAGGAGAGTTTGGAAGCCAATATCTTCAAGGTCATACACTTATCTGTGTTTAGGGTACGTCTCCAGAGGGAGAGAACCACTAGGATGCATATGAAGGGAAACCAACTAGGGGAAATTGGCTCACACAATCACAAAAGTGAAGTTCCTGATGGGCCACCTGCAAGCTGGAGAACTAGAGAGGCTGGCAGCATGGTTCAATCAAATTCCAAAAGCCTGAGAACCGGGCAACCTGATGGTGCAGCCCTTAGTCTGAGGCTGAAGGCCTGAAAGTCCCTGGGAGGCCTCTGGTGCCAAAAGGCCAACAAAATTGGAGTGTGATGTCCAAAAGCAGGAGGAGAAAAAGGCATCCTGCTCTGAGACAGAGAGGAAGCAAGAGGTCTCAAGCTGAATATCTCCTCTCTTCCACCTGCTTTGTCCTAGTAGAGCCCTCAGCCCATGGGATGCTGCCCCCTACTTTGAGGGCAGGACTTTCTCACTCAGTTCACTGACTCACTCACTAATCTCATCTGGAAATAACCTTAAAGACACACCCAGACACAGGCATTCCCCCTTCCAGTCACATCAACACTTAACATTAACCATCACACTTTCCCATGTATCAGGATGTCACATTCCCCAACTAGGGCTCTAACCTTAGAATAACAACCTGGCCTTTTGTGAACATTCAGTTATCTTTGAAAATCAGTCTATCATTTTACTTTTCCACTTGACTCCCAGGAAACCCTCTCATTCTTGCTATGCCAAATACAGCTACTGGTCATAGAGCTGCTATACATTTTTTCCTTCTCTGTGTCATAATATGTGAAACTTCTCATGTTTATCTAGGTATAGAGCAGAATAAAAAGTTCTCTGTTTAAATTAGATAAGCAAATGAAGATTGAATGCCATTTGCTTCTACTCACAATCATTGCTAGTCTATACTAGGGCACTTGACTCTGGAGATTAGAGAGAACACACTCTTTTCTCCCCCCTCAGGAAGGTGCCTGGCTCCCATCATTAAAGAATCTCAGTCTAATGTGGGATGCTTATTGCCTCTTTGTCCTCATCTCTGGTCTCTAGTCACCAATTCTAGAACAGAAATGCCAGTTTCTTCTAACAGTGAATGGGCAGGAGGGCTTAAGGATTCTGTGTTCTATGCTGCAAGTATACAGAAGTCTGCTCAGGTTGGTAATCACATGGTAGAGCCTCATTCTGAGTGAAAGCTGCTTCCCTAGTCGCAGGGAAATAATACTTGGGAATGGTGTGGTGTAGTGGCAGGAAGAGCCCACAGGGTAGTCATCAGGAAGTGTGGATGAAAATCCAACTCTGCCACCTTCCTACTGCTTGACATTGGGAAAGTCACTTTTCCTTTGTGAGCTACTTTTCTCATTTGTGAAATGAGTTGATTACATTCTCCCAATGTGTCATAAAAGTCTGTTTTTGAGAGTTAAATAGGGTTGTGGCTGTGCAAGCACGGTAAAATAATAAAAGGTTTTCCTAAGGTAAGGTGATATTCTTATGAATGTAGAGTGCTTTCAAGGTCATTTTTGAGAGGTTTGCTTCTGAGGGTGAAGGTTGGTTGAAACACTTTGCATGTAGGCTACCCTTTCCATCCACCCACCAACCCACCCATCCATCCACCAACCCACCCACCCACTCACCCATCCATCCATCCATCCATCCATCCATCCACCCACCCACCCACCCACCCATCCATTCATCCACCCACCCACCCATCCACCCACCCACCCACCCATCCATCCACCCACCCACCCATCCACCCACCCACCCACCCATCCATCCACCCACCCACCCACCCACCCATCCATCCACCCACCCATCCATCCATTCATCCATCTATTGGTTCACTCATTCATTTATTCACTAATTCATTCAACAATAACTGAGCACTTATCAAGTGCTGAGTGCTAGAGACATAAAGATGAATGAAAGATTCCTTCATTATTCAAAGAACTCACAATCTAGTGAGAGGAATAAACATACAAAAAATCATAATTCAGTGGAATCAAGGTTTCGATGGAAGTAGGTTGTACAGTATTGGGAGCCCATAGGAGGGGCATCTAACTCCCAGGCAGGTCAGATGAGGTTAAGATCCCATCACATGTGAAGGCTGGGAGAGTGAACACATTTTGAATTAGGCTGGACATCTTCTGAGAATTGTCCCATGATAAAAATTACCTCCCTGTTTGTGTTCTCAGATGCTGCCAATTTTCCTGCCAGGCAACATCTGCTGTATCACCTGTAAGCTTTACGCTAATGATTATTAATGACACTCTCTCCCTGCATTATGGTAGATTGCAGGGGAAGCCACAGCCAACAGTTCCTCCATAGGGCTTGTGCCGTGGACCACTGCTAAAGGAACCGATGTCAACAGCTCCTCCATAGGGCTTGTGCCGTGGACCACTGCTAAAGGAACCGATGTCTTACCTCTGGTTCTGCAGCCCACCCATCAGGAAGCATGCTTGCCTGCAGCAGGCAGGGCCTTAGCTTTTCTTTTTACGCACCTTCTCTTCCTTGAATATTTCATTTGCATCTTAGGGGTTTTAGCTTTCTCAGAAAAGGGGCTTATTTTCACTCTTTGTGATTTTTTTTTCATGTCATCAATTACCAAAGAAAAAAGCAATAGCGGCAGCAGAAGCAACAAAAGCAGATTCCCATATGAACTCACTCATTCAACAAATTTGTACAACAGTGAGCACAAAACAAATGTTACTGATTTACTGACCAGATCAGTCGCTGCTATGGCCTCTTGTGTGTAAAAAAAATAAGGACTTTCCTATCTCTGACATAACATATGGGCATAAGAACCCTTTTCTGGAGTCAGGGAGAACTGAGCTTGAATCCCAGATTCAATATTTTCTAATTATATAACCTTGTACAAGTTGCTTCTTTCTTCAAGCCTTGGTTTCCTTCTACAGACCTACTTCCATAGGATACTTAGGAGGATTAAATGAGCTCATCCATGTAAAACACTTATCACAGTGCTTGCACACTGTTGCAGTGCAGTACATGAAAATATTACTACTATTACTGTTATCACTTTTGTCCTGATCCCCCATAGCCTGTTCCCTTCCTTTGGGATTAGGATTAATTTAAATGGAAAATTCCAAAGCGCAGAAGGGTTCATGGAGAAATTGTCCCCTCTGCACTATTTGCCAGTAGTCAGAGAAGGTTAAACTCTACATCCTCTAATGCAAACACTCTTACCATTTATAGATCTGAAGTGCTTACTAGACAAATACCATGAGAATGTTTATATATGTTATCCTTTTAAATAGCTCTGAGGGGTGGTGTAGGATTGCTGACTTATAAATAAAGGATTATGCCTCTTTACCCTAGTTAGTATCATAAACTAACTCTATCTGTTTTGTGGTCTCATCAACCCTACCTAAGTGTTGTATGGTCCATCCTTCCTCCCCAGTGACCACAGGACAGTCCTAAAAGTGTGTATTGAGATGTACTCACTAGAAAAAGACACTGAACAATTGGTGTTGAGGAACTGGGCAATGTTCTAAATGGAAAACACTCCCTTCCTTCCTCCTTGTAAAGCAGTTATGAACAATTGGGCCTTACTTTTAAATACTTGGTCTGAATTATTAAATTCTTAATATATCTGGGTTATTTAAATACACTATTTTATTTCCTTTCTTAAGAGAGATGTTACTTTGGGCAGTGCCATTAATTTCTTTCTATTATTTTAGTCCATTTGTGTGGCTATAAAGGAATACCTGAGGCTGGGTAATTTATGAGGAAAATACGTTTATCTGGCTCATGGTTCTGCAGGCTGTACAAGAAGCATGGTACCAACATCTGTTTCTGCTCAGGGTCTCAGGCTGCTTCCACTCATAGTAGAAGGCACAGGAGAGGCACTGTGTGCAGAGATCATACAGTGAGAGAAGAAGTAAGAGGAGGAGGAGAATGTGCCAGGCTCTTTTTAACAATCAGCTCTTGTGGGAACTAAGAGTGAGAAACCACTCATTCTTTTTAAGAATGGCACCAAGCCATTCATGAGTCATCTGCCCCCATGATCCAAACACCTCCCACCAAGCCCCGCCTCCAATATTAAGAATCAAATTTCAACAGGAGACTTGGGGTAGGGGGCAAATGAATCATATCCAAACCATAGCACTATTCCTTATATCTTCTCCCTTTACTCTTGCTGCTGTCATTATTGTGACTCAAAACAAGCATCAATACCAGCTACACAGGAATAGTAGCTGGTATTTAAGTAGTGTGTCCAGTGTGCCAGGCAGTATTCTAAGTGTGTAGTTAATCATCACAGCATCACAACGTTGGCATTTTACAGAAGAGAGATTGAGGCACTGAGAGGTTAGGTAAGTATCCCTCAGTCACACAGCTAGCAAGTAGTGAAGCCACATTTTAAACCTCAGCAGCCCATCTCTAGAGTCGTCAGTCTTGACCACTATGCACAATTGTCTACTGGGGGAACCCACCCCAATAATTCAACGTTATTTCACGTAGATTCTTTTCTATTTCCCTAAGTGTCGGTCAGTCTGAGAAATAAAGAGAAAGAGTACAAAAGAGAAAAATTTTAAAGCTGGGTGTCTGGGGGAGACATCACATGTTGGCAGGTTCTGTGATGCCCCCGAGCTGTAAAACCGGCAAGTTTTTATTAGCAATTTTCAAAGGGGAGGGAGTGTACAAATAGGGTGTGGGTCACAGAGATCACATGCCTCAAGGGTGACAAAAGATCACAAGGCAGAAGGTCAGGGCAAAACTAGAATCACTAATGAACTTCCATGCCCCACTGTGCACACATTGTCAGGGTTCAAGAGCAGAGAACAAGTCTGACTAGAATTTCCCAGGCTGGAATTTCCTAATCCTAGCAAGCCTGGGGGCGCTGCAGGAGACTAGGGCGTGTTTCATCCCCATCTACATCTGCATAAGGCAGACATTCCTAGGACGGCCATTTTAGAGGCCCCACCCTGGGAATGCATTCTTTTCCTGGAGCTGTTAATTATTAATATTCCTTGCTGGGGAAAGAATTCAGTGATATTTCTCTTACCTGTTTTTGGTAATAAGAGAAATATGGTTCTGTCCTGCCCGGCCCACAGGCAGCCAGACTTTAAGGTTATCTCCTTTGTTCCCTAAAAATTGCTGTTATCCTGTTCTTAAGGTGCCCAGATTTCATATTGTTCAAACACACATGCTCTACAAACAATTTGTGCAGTTAACGCAGTCATCACAGGGTCCTGAGGTGACATACATCCTCAGCTTATGAAGATGATGGGATTAAGAGATTAAAGACAGGCATAGGAAATTAGAAAAGTATTAATTTGGGGAACTAATAAATGTCCATGAAATCTTCACAATTTATGTTCTACCATGGCTTCAGCCAGTCCCTCTGTTCGGGGTCCCTGACTTCCCGTAACAATTGTCTTTTATCCATAGTGTTTGAGCAGTTTATATATACAATTTTATTTCATTCTCACAGCCAGCTTGTGATGTATGTATCAATATTTTTTCATTTAATAAATGAGGAAACAGTGTTTCAGAAAGTTTTAGGAGTTCTTCAGAGTTGCACAGCTAGTAGCCATTCAACTGGAACTTGGACCTAAGATTTCTAACCACAAATAATCTCTCCATGTGGCACTTTTCTTCAAATAGACAACTAACATCAGAACTGCTAACTTAAAGAGCATTTGATTCTTGGGCCCATTCTCCATCTTATTGCAGTTTTGCCCTGGTGAAAAAACTATGTGCAGGCATTGAAAATGCTTTCCAACAACCCTGTTCTCCAAGGTCTGATTTTTCTTTTTTCTTTTTTTCCCCCTTCACACAGTGAGAAAAGCTAATTGAAATTCATGCTGTGGTCTTATGAACTATGAGTCAGAAGAAAGAAACACTTAATCACTTAATGCAATTATTGTCTTTTCCAGTAAGAAAAGGGAATAGGATCAGGGTGGGGGTGCAGAGAAGAGACGAATGTGCAAGATTTTTTATGGGAAACCCTTTGAAAACATGACTCCTTGATCTTTGCAGTTTTTGTCATCCTGTGTAACTCAATGTGCTCTTTTCTTATGCTCTGTTTAATAAAGAGGAAGCTAGCTGACTGAAGTTCTGCATCTACTTTGGTGTCAGAAAACACAGTTAGGTGTGTCTGTGGACCATAATTCATTGGTCGAGCCAGGTCTTCTTATGAGTCTATCTCACTGGGATGATGGTCACCAAGACCAATATGGGGTACCTGGGTTCCCTCTATATTGTTAATGCCCCCAAGTTAGATGTGTTTCTAAGAGTCAAGCTTAACTCCCTAGAAAGATAGACACTGTCTTTGACTACTTTTTGTGTATCACCTTTCCCATCACCTGTTCTCTTCCTCTGGAGTTAGGCTTCAAAGTCATGGTCTATGACACAACTTGCATGTAGTAACAATTACTCTAGAACAATCTTTCAAATTCTCCCCTAAGGAACACACCATAGGAATTTACGCATAGCGCACCATCCTAGTAAGTCCAATGCAAGCCAGATTTTTCCTTCAGTGTTGAAAGAAATTTCTGTTTCCTTGGTTTTCTGCCAGATGAAGTGGCTGGCTTGTGCTTAGAACCATGTGGTCTAAATAGGTTTATTTATTATTTTTACTTGGCTTTGCATATTTGAATTTGCACTAGTTAAATGTCATTACTTTGTACCTGCTATATGTGCCACATGTTGAAGATAACTGATATGAACATGTTGAGCTATCCTGTGATTAAGGCAGAAGGGTTAGGCTATTGTGTACTGCCAAGGATGTCACACAGTAGGGAGGAATTACAGGCAAGGAACATTTTACAACTTGGACAGCTCTTGCATTAGAGTTCCCTGAACTTCCTTTGCTGCATGATAGATAAAATAGTATATCATGTTCTGTCATTAACCATTGACTCATTTACTCTGCCTAGTAACAGCTCTCTCAAAGTTGTTTGTTCTTTATCTGTGGGGAGAAAATTTATGTTCTCTGTGTTTATGAAGGATTGTGTTTATGTATGAGATATAAATCCTGTATAGCTAGCATTTTGTAAAGGAATCAGGATATAGAAGACTTACATATTTCAGTGTGGATTTAGAATATGTGCCGCTTATTTTTTAACTCTAGATAGTGTGACTTTGGAGACATCACAAACTTTTTAGGCCTCAATTCCTTTATTTATTTGTTATTGCTAAATGCTTTGTAATCAAATAGAATTTTCTTGCATACATATTGAAAGAACTGTTTTAGACTTAGCTGGACATTAATTCTTTCATCATATAACACTCTTGTGCATATATTAAAAGGAAAATACAAATTGAGGTATTCTTAAAAGTGTTTTGTATTCAGAATCTATCCTTACTGAATCACTCTTTGACTCAGAGTTGTTGAAGTTTTTTTTTTTTTTCAACAATAATTTTAGATTCATGGGGCACATATGCAGGTTTGTTATCTGGGTACATTACATGATGCTGAGGTTTGGGTAACAAATGATCCCATCACCCAAATACTGAGCATGGACCAATAGTTGGTTTTTAATCCCTTGCCTCTTGCCCTCCTCTAGTAGTCCCCACTGTCTGTTGTTACCATCTTTCTGTCCATGAGTACCCAGTGTTTAGCTCCCACTTATAACTGAGAACGTGTAGTATTTGGTTTTCTATTCCTGCATTAATTCTCTTAGGATAATGCCCTCTAGTTGCATCCATGTTGCTGCAAAGGTCATTATTTCATTTTTATTTTTATGGCTGCTTAATATTCCATTATATATCTATACCGACCTATCTATATATATATCTCATATTTTCTTTAATTTGCCATTTATGGGCACCTAGGTTAATTCCATGTCTGCTATTGTGAATAGCACAACAATGAACATGTGAATACATGTGTCATTTTGGTAGAACAAATTATTTTCCTCAGCAAACTCAGTAATGAGGTTGCTGGGTTGAGTGGCAGTTCTGTTTTATTTGAGAAATCGCCAAACTGCTTTCCACAGTGACTGAACTAATTTGCACTCCCACCAACAGTATATAAGTGTTCTGTTTCTACACATCTGTTGTTTTTTGACCTTCCAATTATAGCTATTCTGATGGGTGTAAGATGGTATCTCATTGTAGTTTTGATTTGCTTTCCTCTGATGATTAGTGATGTGGAACTTTTTTTTAAATATGTTTGGCTACTTTTACGTTTTCTTTTGAGTTTTTGTTCATGTCTTTTGCCCATTTTTTAATGGGGTTATTTGTTTTTTTGATTACTGTTTAAATTCCATATAGATTCTAGACATTACACCTTTGTCAAATCCATAGTTTGCAAATATTTTCTCCCCAATTTGTAGGTTGTCTGTTTACTTTGTTCATAGCTTCTTTTGTTGTGTAGAAGCTCTTTAGTTTAATTAAGTTCCACTTACCAATTTTTGTTTCTGTTGCAATTGCTTTTGAAGACTTACGCATAAATTCTTTCCCAAGGCTGATGGGCAGAATGCTGTTTTCTAGATTTTCTTCTAGGATTCTTATAGGTTGAGATCTTACATTTAAACCTTTAATTTATCTTGAGTTAATTTTTTTGTATGGTGAAAATTAGGGGTCCAGTTTCATTCTTTTACATATGGCTAGCAAGCTATCCCATTGCCACTTATTGAATAAGGAGTCTTTTCCCCATTGCTTATGTTTGTCAACTTTGTCAAATATTAGATGGTTGTAGCTATGCAGTTTTATTTTTGAGTGCTCTATTCTCTTCCATTGGTCTATGTGTCTGTTTTTGTACCAGTAACATGTTGTTTTGGTTACTGTATCCTTGTAATGTAGTTTGAAGTGGAGTAAAGTGATGCCTCTGGCTTTGTGCTTTTTGCTTAGGAGTCTTTGGGTCTCTAGGTATAGAATTAAAGCCTCTGTAAAGAGAGATAGTTTGAATTCTTTGTTTCCTATTTGGATGCCTTTTATTTCCTTCTCTTGCCTAATTACTCTGCCTAACACTTCCAGTACTATATTGAATAGGAGTGGTGAGAGTGGGCATCCTTGTCTCGTTCCAGTTCTCAAGGGTAATGCTTCCAGTTTTGCCCATTCATTATGAAATTAGTTGTGGTTTGTCATAGATGACTGTTATTATTTTAAGGTATGTTCCTTCAATGCTTAGTTCCTTGAGGGTTTTTATCACAAAAGGATGTTGGATTTTATCAAAAGGTTTTTTTTTTCATATCTATTGAGATAATCACATGATTTTTGCTTTTAATTATGTTTATGTGGTAAATTATATTTATTGATTTGCATATGTTGAACCAACCTTGCATCCCAGGAATAAAGCCTATTTTAACATGGTGAATGAACTTTTTGATGTGCTGTTGAATTTGGTTTGCTGCTATTTCATTCAGGATTTTTGTATCTATGTTTATCAGGGACATTGGCCTCTAGTTATCTTTTTTCATTGTGTCTTTGCTCTATTTCTTTACTTGTAAAATGGAGATACAAGTACTTGCTTCATAAATTTTAGATTTGTTGTAAAGATTAAATAAAACAACATGTGGGAAAGCACTTATGTGAAATGAGTGGGACTGCTGAGATGTTTAATTTCCTAGGATGAATATATGAATTTTTGTTATACTTTTAGGACACTATTTTTTCTCCTTGATATGAGGTCTTTCTATTTTGTTCAGGGTGGTCTTGAGCTGGTCTTGAACTCCTGGGCTCAAATGATTCTCCCACCTCACTTTCCTGAGTCGCTAAGGCTACAGGTGTCTTCTGTTGCACCCAGCTTAGGATACTATTTTGAACTATTTATTGATATTTCTAGGGATGAAAAGCTTTTTTAAATATTAGAACAAACTACTCCATTTTAAGAAAAACCAATTAAGGGAAAAAGAAACCCAACTAACTGTATTAGACGGTATTAGGAAGATTTTACGAACACAAAGGACAAGGAGCATCAATATGGAAGAAGATTTTAAAACAAAATTTAAAATAATCACAGCACTAAGGCTATTAGTACTTATTGTTAAGTAAAGATTATAACTCTCTTGGATGATGCAGAGGAACTTTGACCAAAGAATTGAGTGGATATGTATGAAATATCAGTTTGTAATATGTGGCATGGAAAATGGGTAATGAACAAAAGGGACTTTACAGTGCATACCTTTGTGTAGCCTCCAGGATTTGGATAGTAAGGAAGATTTGTAGCATCTGTGACTGTGTCACACTTTTCATAAATTTATTGTTTTCAAAGATGGTTGGTCTGCTTTTGGGAGTACTATGTTACTACAGCCATGTTTTGATAATATATTACTCATCCACGTCATCAGATAATTTTTTTTTTTTTTTTTTGAGACGGAGTCTCGCTCTTTCACCCAGGCCGGACTGCAGTGGCGGTATCCCGGCTCACTGCAAGCTCCTCCTTCCGGGTTCATGCCATTCTCCTGCCTCAGCCTCCTGAGTAGCTGGGACTACAGGTACCCGCCACCGCGCCTGGCTAATTTTTTGTATTTTTAGTAGAGATGTGGTTTCACCATGTTAGCCAGGATGGTCTCGATCTGATCTCGTAATCCGCCCACCTCGGCCTCCCACAGTGCTGGGATTACAGGCATGAGCCACCGAGCCCAGCCATCATCAGATAATTTTATTATCTCTATGGCACTGTATTACCTTCATGGGGTAACTGGAGTAGGATACTAATTCATCAATTGGGTGGGCAGATGCACTAATATATACTCCACCCTTATAGATGCAATAAGAGAAAGGGGAATAGGCTTTGTTCATTTTGCCTTAAGATCTGGCAAACTTCCTAGTGGTTCAGATCATCATTCAATACTACAAATAGAAAGAACCTTAAGGAACTTTTAGACATTTTTTTTTCATTTTATGTGTACAAAAAGTACCAAGAAAGGATACTTGCCTAAGGTCACATAGCTAATTTGTTAGAGTTTAGCTTTTCTCTTTGCTCAGCTAGGATTCAACAGAAAAATAAAATGAAAATTGAAATATGATAAAATAAATTTGGTACTGTCATTTTCTGGTTTGACTGACCACATTGATCTAGTTAGTTGTGAACTTGCCAAGTTTCTATATTACCTTCAGCTATGAAGGAAACCTGCTGGCATTTACCTTAGAAATATGAGCTTTCTGTGAGTAAAATAACATTAAAGTTTATTTTATTGTATTAAAGCAACAAGAACATATTTCCTAAAAGAAAGGTCAGTTATAATGCAGCTATGAAAAGAAAAGTCCAGAAAAGATTATTGTTTTCTAACATGAAATTCTTTCAGTTTTGGAGGGTAGGAATAGCAGTCATTAAAACAGCTTGGAAAATTGTGATTTTGAAGAAAATATTAGGAGCTGTAGTTATTTAAAATATAACTACAGTGTTTTTTTCCAAGATGGCGGATAGGAGGCAGTGTTAGTGTGCCTCTTCCACTTGGAAGGACAGAATAGTGGGAAGATTCACACTGGATTTTTTGCCCCCAAAACCACAGAAACTTACCAGGAAAACTGAAAGCATCCATAGAACCTTTGAAAGAAGCAGCAGGCTGCAGCCTACTCTGTCAGACAGGCAAAAAACAGAGTGTGGGAGGGGGAGAGCCTGCCTCTGAGTAGACATCCCTACCAAGGAACCTGAAAATCCAAATCAGAGGAGAGGGTCTTATCCCTGCCCAGAGCTGGAACAGATTTAGGGAGTGGCATGAAATATATAAGTAGAAGCTGCAGCACAAAAGGCCTTGTAGGCGTTCCCAGTCTCTGGTGTGAGCCCAGAGAAGCCATTTCTGACTATATCTCATAGGGACCCTCAGGGAAGTCAGCAAATGAACACAGGGAGGGGTTACAGGGTGAAAAAAGCCTCCAACTGAATTTTGTGATATAATTTTGAGGGGGAAGAACTCCCTTGAACAGAACCCAGGGGTGAGCAGCAATTGCACTGCAGGCATGAATGCAGGAGCTGGGTGCCTGGCCTTGTGAGCAGATGGGGAGGGACAAGGGCTGAAAGACATGCTTGCTATCTCTGCAGGGGAGCTTATGGCCTGGGGCAGGTCTGAATTCTGTGAACATGCTGCCTGGATCTAAACGTGGCACTGTTGGTGGTGCATTGCAGGAGTGAGACCAGCCTCACCAACTGTGTGGAAGCTGGGTGAGGCTTACTACTGCCTACTACTTCCCACTCCCTTTGCACAGCAAAGACAGTTATAATCCCCTCTGGAACATTACCCCAGTGGCCTGAGAACCACCTCTGTCCCTAACAGTGGCCGCAACAGGCCCTGCCCAAGGATAGTCTGAGCTCAGACTTGCCTAATCCTGCCTCCACCTGATGGTATTTCTCTACCTACCCTGTAGCTTTACATGAAGAACATAAACTTTTGGGGGGCTTTATGGCCATCACCTGAGAAGCCAGAATATTTCCCCCGGGCAACTTACGGCAAGCTGAAATCCCATTGCTACTACCAAAGTTGGAGAAAATGGCTGTGGGATCTCAGTTAACACCACTGCCTGGAACACCCTGGCTAAAAAGAGATCCTGAGTCTGTCCACATGACAAGTTTACAACTAATATAACCAGCCTTCAAGAAAGCCAGCACACTAACAGCCTATCTACAGTCAGGAACCTCACGGAGTCTACATCACTCCCCTGCCACCTCCGGTACAGCTGCTGCTGGTATCCACTGCTAGGTGGCCTGAAGCCAGGTCATATCACTGGATCTTTTGCAGGCATTCCCTAGCACCAGCCTGGAGCCTGGTAGCTCCACTGGGTGGCTAGACCCAGAATAAGAATCACTGTAGTCTGGCTCTCAGGAAGTACCATTCCTAGGGAAAGGGGGAGAGTATCTCATCAAGGGAATACCCTGTGGGACAATAGAATCTGAATAGCAGGTCTTGAGTTCCAGATCTTTCTTATGGTAGGAAGTTTCTTATAGCAGAGACACAATTGCTGTGCTGGCCACAATAGGGAAAATCTCCATCTCTACCCCAACAGGCAGGCAGCCTCTGTGATGGTGAAGGGCCTTGGAGAAAGAGTCCTTGTTCCCTGAATTGTACACCACTGCAGACACAGCTGGGGCTTCTCCCATGAGAATGCAGTGTGGTCGCAGACCCACAAGAGAGATGCTCTCCAGATTTAGGTCTGCATGAGAGGCAGTCACAATTCCTCTCTACTTGGAACATCGATATCCCTACAGATGAAAGGAGGTGCCTGTGTAATCTGAATAGCCAGAACACTGGAACAGGAGTGAAACTGGGAGGTGGATAGCTTTTCTGCTGGCCTGGCAGGGGAGCTGAGTTAGTTCCCACCCTTTGCCCTGACAAAACCACAGAACATCTAACTGAGAGCTCCTCCAGGCACCTTCATCAGGGTTGGGACCTCTGCTCACCATTGGGTATTACATCTACCCACTTGCCTTAGCTATAACCAGTGCCTACCCAGAGATACTCCCCTATTGGCCTGAAGCCTGAATCATCAACTCAATAAATAAAATACTGGGGAAAAATTAAGTAAATAAATATATAAATAAAGTATGCATCATGACAGAATGAGATAAGCTTCAAGAGATCCCTGCCATTCCAATCCCATAGGAGACAGTGAACTTGTCCACACACCAAGTACATAACTACTACAACCAGCATTTTGGAAAGCCAGCACACAATGACTCTATATAATTAAGGAACTCATATAGAATCTTCATTCCTAAAAGTACCAAGAATCAAATTAGGCTAAAATAAATTATAAGCATTGAAGTCAGAAGAAGAAGAAGAGGGGGAGAGGGAGGAGGAGGGGGAGGAAGAGAGGGAGGGGGAGGAGGAGGAGGAGGAGGAAACAGTTCAATCAAAAATAAATCCAAGGACAATTTGAAGAAATAGTCTACCCAAATGAGAACGAACCAGAAAAGTACTTCTGGTAATATGACAAAACAGGGTTGTATAGTACCCCCAAAAGATCACACTAGCTCCCTAGCCATGGATCCATACCAAGAAGAAGTCTCTGAAATGCCAGATAAAGAATTCAGAAACTTGATTATAAAGCTACTCAAGGAGATACTGGAGAAAGGTGAAAACCAATGAAAAGAAATTAAAGAAAAAAATCCAGTATATAATGGAAAATTTTCCAGAGGAATATATATCATAAGGAAAAAACAATGAGAACTGTTGAAAATAAAGGACACACTTAGGGATATACAAAATACAGTGAAAAGTTTCAACAATAGATTAGAACAAGTGGAAGAAATAATTTAAGAGTTCAAAGGCAAGGCTTTTCACTTAACTCAATCAGATAAAGACAAAAAAGAACGAAAAATAAGAATCAAGTCTCCAAGCATCCAAACCTAATTATTAGTGTTCCTGAGAAAGGAGAGACATCTAAAAGTTTGGAAAACTTATTTGAGGGAGTATTTGAGGAAAAACTTTCCTGGTCACTAGAGATCTAGACATCCAAATACAAGAAACTCACAGAACTCCTGGGAAATTCATTCCAAAAAGATCATCACCAAGGCACAAATTTATCAGGCTATCTAAAGTTAAGATGAAGGAAAGAATCTTAACAGCTGTGAGACAAAAGCATTAGGTAATCTATAAAGGAAAGCCTATCAGACTAACAGTGTATTTCTAAGGAGAAACCATATACGCCAGAATGGATTGAAGTCCTATCTTTAGCCTCCTTATACAAAAGAACTGTCAGCTAAGAATTTTGTTTCCAGCAAAGCTAAACTACATAAATGAGGGAGAGATAAAGTATTTTTCAGACAAATGCTGACGGAATTTGCCACTACCAAACAAGCAGTACAAGAAATGTTAAAAGGAGTTTTAAATCTTAAAACAAAAGCTAATTATACATCAAAATAGAACCTTCTTAAAGCATAAATATCACGGGGGCTATAAAGCAATAACAATGATCAAAACAAAGTATCTAGGTAACAACTAACATGATGAATAGAATAGTACCTCACATCTCAATATTAATATTGAATATAAATGGCCTAAATGTTCCACTTAAAAGATACAGAATGGCAGAATAGATAAAAACCCATCAATCAAATATATGCTATCTTCAAGAGACTCACCTAACACATAAGCACTCACATAAACTTAGGGGTAAAGGGTAGAAAAATATACTCCACACAGATGGAAACCAAAGTGAGCAGAAGTAGCTATTCTTGTATCAGATAAAACAGACTTTAAAGCAACAATGGTAAAAAACAAAATCAAAGAAGGACATTATATAATGATAAAAGGATTACTCCAACAAGAAGATATCAGAATTCTAAATTATTTGCACCTAATGCTGGAGCTCTCAAATTTACAAAACAATTACTACTCAACCTAAGAAATGAGATAGACAGCAGCACAATAATAGTGGGATACTTCAGGACTCCACTGACAGGACTAGACAGATCATCAAGACAGAAAGTCAACAAAGAAACAATGGACTTAAACTATACTCTAGAACAAATGGACTTAACAGATAGTTACAGAACATTCTTTCCAACAACTGCAGAATATACATTCTATTCATCAGCACATGGAACATTCTCCAAGACAGGCCACAAAACAAGTCTCAATAAGTTTAAGACAATCGAAATCATATCAGGTCTTTTCTCAGATAACAGTGGAATAAAGCTGACAGCAGCTCCAAAAAAAAAAAAAAAAAAAAAAAAAAAAGAGTCCTAAACCATACAAATACATGGAAGTTAAATAATTTGCTCTTCGGGGTGGAGCCACAATGGCCAAATAGGAACAGCTCCAGTCTACAACTCCCAGCATGAGTGACGCAGAAGATGGGTGATTTCTGCATTTCCAAATGAGGTACTGGGTTCATCTCACAGGGGAGTGCCGGACAGTGGGTGCAGGACAGTGGGTGCAGTGCACCATGCATGAGCTGAAGCAGGGCGAGGCATCATCTCACCTGGGAAGCACAAGGGGTCAGGGAACTCCCTTTCCTAGTCAAAGAAAGGGGTGACAGATGGCACCTGGAAAATCGAGTCATTCCCACCCTAATACTGCACTTTTCCAACGGGCTTCACAAACGGCACACCAGGAGATTATATCCTGCACCTGGCTTGGAGGGTCCTACACCCATGGAGCCTCGCTCATTGCTAGCACAGCAGTCTGAGATCAAACTGCAAGGTAGCAGCGAGGCTGGGGGAGGGGTGCCCACCATTTCTCAGGCTTGAGTAGGTAAACAAAGCAGCCAGGAAGCTCGAACAGGGTGGAGCCCACCACAGCTCAAGGAGGCCTGTCTGCCTCTGTAGGCTCCACCTCTGGGGGCAGAGCGCAGACAAACAAAAGACAGCAATAACTTCTGCAGACTTAAATGTCCCTGTCTGACAGCTTTGAAGAGAATAGTAGTTCTCCCAGGAAACAGCTTGAGATCTGAGAACAGGCAGACTGCCTCCTCAAGTGGGTCCCTGACCCCGGAGTAGCCTAACTGGGAGGCAACCCCCAGTAGGGGCGGACTGACACCTCACATGGCTGGGTACTGCTCTGAGACAAAACTTCCAGAGGAACGATCACGCAGCAGCATTTGCGTTTCACCAATATCCACTGTTCTGTAGCCACCACTGCTGATACCCAGGCAAACAGGGTCTGGAGTGGACCTCCAGTAAACTCCAACAGACCTGCAGCTGAGGGTCCTGTCTGTTAGAAGGAAAACTAACAAACATAAAGGACATCCACACCAAAAACCGATCTGTACATCACCATCTTCAAAGACCAAAGGTAAATAAAACCACAAAGATGGGGAAAAAACAGAGCGGAAAACCTGGAAACTCTAAAAATCAGAGCGCCTCTCCTCCTCCAAAGGAACACAGCTGCTCACCAGCAACAGAACAAAGCTGGACGGAGAATGACTTTGACAAGTTGAGAGAGGAAGGCTTCAGAAGATCAAACTATACGAGCTAAAGGAGGAAGTTCGAACCAATGGCAAAGAAGTTAAAAACTTTGAAAAAAAATTAGATGAATGGATAACTAGAATAATCAATGCAGAGAAGTCCTTAAAAGACCTGATGGAGCTGAAAACCATGGCACGAGAACTACGTGATGAATGCACAAGCCTCAGTAACCAATGTCATCAACTGGAAGAAACGGTATCAGCGATGAAAGATGAAATGAATGAAATGAAGCGTGAAGAGAAGTTTAGAGAAAAAAGAATAAAAACAAATGAACAAAGCTTCCAAGAAATATGGGACTATGTGAGAAAACCAAATCTACGTCTAATTGGTGTACCTGAAACTGATGGGGAGGATGGAACCAATTTGGAAAATACTCTGCAGGATATTATCCAGGAGAACTTCCCCAATCTAGCAAGGCAGGCCAACATTCAAATTCAGGAAATACAGAGAATGCCACAAAGATACTCCTCAAGAAGAGCAACTCCAAGGCACATACTTGTCAGATTCACCAAAGTTGAAAAGAAGGAAAAAATGTTAAGGGCAGCCAGAGAGAAAGGTCGGGTTACCCACAAAGGGAAGCCCATCAGACTAACAGCTGATCTCTTGGCAGAAACTCTGCAAGCCAGAAGAGAGTGGGGACCAATATTCAACATTCTTAAAGACAAGAATTTTCAACCCAGAATTTCATATCCAGCCAAACTAAGCTTCATAAGTGAAGGAGAAATAAAATACTTTACAGACAAGCAAATGCTGAGAGATTTTGTCACCACCAGGCCTGCCCTAAAAGAGCTCCTGAAGGAAGCACTAAACATGGAAAGGAACAACCGGTACCAGCCACTGCAAAAATATGCCAAATTGTAAAGACCATCAAGGCTAGGAAGAAACTGCATCAACTAACGAGCAAAATAAGCAGCTAACATCATAATAACAGGATCAAATTCACACATAACAATAATAACGTTAAATGTAAATGGGCTAAATGCTCCAATTAAAAGGCATGGACTGGCAAATTGGATAAAGAGTCAAGACCCATCACTGTGCTGTATTCAGGAAACCCATCTCACGTACAGAGACACACATAGGCTCAAAATAAAGGGATGGAGGAAGATCTACCAAGCAAATGGAAAACAAAAAAAGGCAGGGGTTGCAATCCTAGTCTCTGATAAAACAGACTTTAAACCAACAAAGATCAAAAGAGACAAAGAAGGCCATTACATAATGGTAAAGGGATCAATTCAATAAGAAGAGCTAACTATCCTAAATATATACGCACCCAATACAGGAGCACCCAGGTTCATAAAGCAAGTCCTTAGAGACCTACAAAGAGACTTAGACTCCCACACAATAATAATGGGAGACTTTAACACCCCACTGTCAACATTAGACAGATCAACAAGACAGAAAGTTAACAAGGTTATCCAGGAAATGAACTCAGCTCTGCACCAAGCGGACCTAATAGCCATCTACAGAACTCTCCACCCCAAATCAACAGAATATACATTCTTTTTAGCACCACACCACACCTATTCCAAAATTGACAACATACTTGGAAGTAAAGCTCTCCTCAGCAAATGTAAAAGAACAGAAATTATAAAAAACTGTCTCTCAGACCACAGTGCAATCAAACTAGAACTCAGGAGTAAGAAACTCACTCAAAACCGCTCAACTACATGGAAACTGAACAACCTGCTCCTGAATGACTACTGGGTACATAACGAAATGAAGGCAGAAATAAAGATGTTCTTTGAAACTAACAGAACAAAGATACAATGTACCAGAATCTCTGGGACACATTCAAAGCAGTGTGTAGAGGGAAATTTACAGCACTAAATGCCCACAAGACAAAGCAGGAAAGATCTAAAATTGACACCCTAACATCACAATTAAAAAAACTAGAGAAGCAAGAGCAAACACATTCAAAAGCTAGCAGAAGGCAAGAATTAACTAAGATCAGAGCAGAACTGAAGGAAATAGAGACACAAAAAACCCTTCAAAAAATCAGTGAATCCAGGAGCTAGTTTTTTGAAAAGATCAACAAAATTGATAGACCACTAGCAAGACTAATAAATAAGAAAAGAAAGAAGAATCAAATAGATGCAATAAAAAATGATAAAGGGGATATCACCAGCAATGCCACAGAAATACAAACTACCATCAGAGAATGCTCTAAACACCTCTATGCAAATAAACTAGAAAATCTAGAAGAAATGGATAAATTCCTCAACACATACACTCTCCCAAGACTAAACCAGGAAGAAGTTGAATCTCTGAATAGACCAATAAGAGGTTCTGAAATTGAGGCAATAATTAATAGCTTACCAACCAAAAAAAGTCCAGGACCAGATGGATTCACAGCCAAATTCTACCAGAGGTACAAGGAGGAGCTGGTGCCATTCCTTCTGAAACTATTCCAATCAATAGAGAAAGAGGGAATTTTCCCTAACTCATTTTATGAGGCTAACATCATCCTGATACCAAAGCCTGGCAGAGACACAACAAAAAAAGAGAATTTTAGACCAATATCCTTGATGAACATCGATGCAAAAATCCTCAGTAAAATACTGGCAAACTGAATCCAGCAACACATCAAAAAGCTTATCCACCATGATCAAGTGGGCTTCATCCCTGGGATGCAAGGCTGGTTCAACATATGCAAATCAATAAACGTAATCCAGCATATAAAGAGAACCAAAGACAAAAAACACATGATGATCTCAATAGATGCAGAAAAGGCCGTTGACAAAATTCAACAACTCTTCGTGCTAAAAACTCTTAATAAATTAGGTATTGAAGGGAAGTATCTCAAAATAATAAAAGCTATCTATGACAATCCCACAGCCAATATCACACTGAATGGACAAAAACTGGAAGCATTCCCTTTGAAAACTGGCACAAGACAGCATGCCCTCTCTCACCACTCCTATTCAACATAGTGTTGGAAATTCTGGCCAGGGCAATCAGGCAGAAGAAGGGAATAAAGGGCATTCAATTATGAAAAGAGGAAGTCAAAGTGTCCCTGTTTGCTGATGACATGGTTGTATATCTAGAAAACCCCATCGTCTCAGCCCCAAATCTCCTTAAGCTGATAAGCAACTTCAGCAAAGTCTCAGGATACAAAATCAATGTGCAAAAATCACAAGCATTCTTATATACCAATAACAGACAAACAGAGAGCCAAATCATGATTAAACTCCCATTCACAACTGCTTCAAAGAGAATAAAATACCTAGGAATCCAACTTACAAGGGATGTGAAGGACCTCTTCAAGGAGAACTACAAACCACTGCTCAATGAAATAAAAGAGGATACAAACAAATGGAAGAACCTTCCATGCTCATGGGTAGGAAGAATCAATATCATGAAAATGGCCATACTGCCCAAGGTAATTTATAGATTCAATGCCATCCCCATCAAGCTACCAATGACTTTATTCACAGAATTGGAAAAAACTACTTTCAAGTTCATATGGAACCAAAAAAGAGCCCTCATTGCCAAGTCAATCCTGAGCCAAAAGAACAAAGCTGGAGGCATCACGCTACCTGACTTCAAACTATATTACAAGTCTCCAGTAACCAAAACAGCATGGTACTGGTACCAAAACAGAGATATAGACCAATGGAACAGAACAGAGCCCTCAGAAATAATGCTGCATATCTACAGCCATCCAATGGTTGACAAATCTGACAAAAAGAAGAAATGGGGAAAGGATTCCCTATTTAATAAATGGTGCTGGGAAAACTGGCTAGCCATATGGAGAAAGCTGAAACTGGATCCCTTCCTTACACCTTATACAAAAATTAATTCAAGATGGATTAAAGACTTACATGTTAGACCTAAAACCATAAAAACCCTAAAAGAAAGCCTAGGCAATACCATTCAGGACATAGGCACGGGCAAGGACTTCATGTCTAAAACACCAAAGGCAGTGGCAACAAAAGCCAAAATTGACAAATGGGATCTAATTTAAATAAAGAGCTTCTGCACAGCAAAAGAAACCACCATCAGAGTGAACAGGCAACCTACAGAATGGGAGAAAATTTTTGCAACCTACTGATCTGACAAAGGGCTAATATCCAGAATCTACAATGAACTTAAACAAATTTACAAGAAAAAAACAAACAACCCCATCAACAAGTGGGCAAAGGATATGAACAGACGCTGCTCAAAAGAGGACATTTATGCAGCCAAAAAACACATGAAAAAATGCTCATCATCACTGGTCATCAGAGAAATGCAAATCAAAACTGCAATGAGATACCATCTCACACCAGTTGGAATGGAGATCATTAAAAAGTCAGGAAACAACAGGTACTGGAGAGGATGTGGAGAAATAGGAACACTTTTGCACTGTTGGGGGACTGTAAACTAGTTCAACCATTGTGGAAGTCAGTGTGGGGATTCCTCAGGGATCTAGAACTAGAAATACCATTTGACCCAGCCATCCAATTACTGGGTGCATACCCAAAGGATTATAAATCATGCTGCTATAAAGACACATGCACACGTATATTTATTGCAGCACTATTCACAATAGCAAAGACTTGGAACCAAGCCAAATGTCCAACAATGATAGACTGGATTAAGAAAATGTGGCACATATACACCATGGAATACTATGCAGCCATAAAAAATGATGAGTTCATGTCCTCTGTAGGGACATGGATGAAGCTGGAAACCATCATTCTCAGCAAACTATCGCAAGAACAAAAAGCCAAACACCACATGTTCTCACTCATAGGTGGGAATTGAACAATGAGAACACATGGACACAGGAAGGGGAACATCACACACTGGGGACGGTTGTGGGGTGGGGGGAGGGGGGAGGGATAGCATTAGGAGATATACCTAATGCTAGATGACGAGTTAATGGGTGCAGCACACCAACATGGCACATGTATACATATGTAACAAACCTGCACATTGTGCACATGTACCCTAAAACTTCAAGTATAATAAAAAAATTTGCTCTTCAATGATTTTGGGGTTAATATTGAAATCAAGATGGCAATTTAAAAATTCTTTGAATTTCAATTGTTTGAATAATAGTGACATGACTTATCAAAACCTCTGGGATACAGCAAAAGTTGTGCTAAGCCATATATGACAAACTCACAGCCAACATCATATTGAATGGGGAAAAGTTGAAAGCATTTCCTCTGAGAACTGAAAGAAGACAAGAATGCCCATTTTCACCACTTCTATTCAACATAGTACTGGAAGTCCTGGCCAGAGCAATCATATGAGAAAAAGAAATAAAGGGCATCAAAATTGGAAAAGAGGAAATCACACTCTTATTTTCATTTATAATATGATTGTATACCTACCAACCCTAAAGACTCATCTAAAGAGCTCCTAGATTTCATAAATTCAGTAAAGTTTCAGGATACAAAATAAATGTACACAAATCTGTTGCACTGTTATATACCACTAATGACCAAGCTGAGAACACAATCAAGAACTCAGTTCCTTTTACAACAGCTGCAAAAAATGAAATTAAATAAAAGACTTAGGAATATACTTAACCAAGGAAGTGAAAGATCTCTACAAGAAAAACTGCAAAACACTGCTGAAAGAAATCAGAGATGACCCAGACAAGTGGAAACACATCCCATGCTCATGGATGGGTAGAATCAATATTGCAAAAATGACCATACTGCCCAAAGAAATCTACAGATTCAATGCAATTCCCATCAAAATACCATAATCATTCTTCCCAGACCTGGAAAAACAATCGTAACATTTATGTGGAACCATAAAGAGCCCTCATAGCCAAAACAATACTAAGCAAAAAGAACAAATCTAGAGGCATCACATTACCTGACCTCAAATTATACTACAAGGCTATAGTTACTAAAACAGCATGGTGGTGTAAAAATAGGCATGCAGACCAGTGAAACGGAATAAGAGCCCAGAAATAAGGGCAAATATTTACAACCAACTGATCTTCAACAAAGCATACAAGGACATAAATTGGGGAAAGGACACCCTATTCAATAAGTGGTGCTGGTAAATCTGTGAAGCCACATGTAGAAGAATAAAACTGGATCCTCATTTCTCACCTTACACAAAACTCAACTCAAGATGGATCAAATACTTAAGTCTATGACCTGAAGCCATAACAATTCTAGAGGATGACATCAGAAAAACTTTTCTAAATATTGGCTTAGGCAAAGAATACATGAGTTAGATCACAAAAGCAAAAGCAAAGCCAAAAAAAAAAAAAAAACCCAAATAAATAAGTGGGACCTAATTTAACTAAAAAGCTATTGCACAGCAAAAGAAATAATCAGCAGAGTAAACTGACAACCCACAGAGTGGGAAAAATATTTGGAAATTATGCATCTGACAAAGGACTAATATCCAGAATCTGTGAGGAACTCAATTCAGCAAGAATAAACAAATAATTTTATCAAAAAGTGGGCAGAGGACATGAATAAACAGTTCTCAAAAGAAGATATACAAACAGCCAATAAACTTGAAAAGTTTGCAACATCACTAATTATCAGGGAAATGCAAATTAAAACCACAATGAGACATCACCTTAGTAGAATGGCCAAAAATAAAAAGTCAAAAATAATAAATGTTGGTATGGATAGGGTGAAAGGGAGTACTTTTACACTGCTGGGAGGAATGTAAACTAGTAACACCACTATGGAAAACAGTATGGAGATTCTTTAAAGAAAACTGAAAGTAGAACTACCATTCAATCCAGCAATCACACTACTGGGTATGTAGCCAAAGGAAAAGAAGTCATTATATAAAAAACGCACACGTGGCCGGGTGCGGTGGCTCACACCTGTAATCCCAGCACTTTGGCAGGCCGAGGCGGGCAGATCACGAGGTCAGGAGATTGAGACCTTCCTAGCTAACACGGTGAAACCCCATCTCTACTAAAAATAGAAAAAATTTGCCGGGCGTGGTGGCGGGCGCCTGTAGTCCCAGCTACTTGGGAGGCTGAGGCAGGAGAATGGCGTGAACCTGGGAGGTGGAGCTTGCAGTGAGCCGAGATCACGCCACTGCACTCCAGCCTGGGCGACAGAGCAAGACTCCGTCTCAAAAAAAAAAAAAAAAAAAGGCACATGCATATTTATAGCAGCACAATTTGCAATTGCAAAGATATTGAACTCACCTACGTGCCCGTCAACCAACAAGTAGATAAAAAAAATGTAGCGTATATACACCCTGGATACTTATCTATTAAAAGGAATAAAATAATGTCTTTTGCAGCAACTTGAATGGAGCTGGAGGCCATTATTCTAACCGAAGTAACTCAGGAATGGAATACCAAATATCGTATATTCTCACTTATAAGTAGGAGCTAAGCTATGAGGATGCAAAGGCGTAAGAATGATATAATGGACTTGGGGGGAGAAGGCTGAGAAGGGGGTCAGGGATAAAAGACTACATATTGGGTACAGCGTACACTGCTCAGGTGACAGGTATGCCAAAATCTCAGAAATCGCCACTAAAGAATTTATCAATGTAACCAAATGTCACCTGTACCCCAAAAACTATTGAAATAGAAATTAAAAAATATAACTACAAATTATTTGATACTCCTTTCAAGGGATACAGCCTAATTTTTCTCCCTTGTGGGCTGGACTTAGTGATTGTCTTCTAACAAATGGAATAAAGCAGAAATAATGATGTATGACTTTGGAGACTAGATCGCAAAAAAAGCACTACAGCTTCCTTCCTAACACCTATCTTCTTGTGTTGGTTAGTTTGAGTGAAGTGAGCTTTCAGGTTGTGAGGATTCTGTGGGGAGGACCTATGGTGAGGACCTTGTAGCAAAGAACTGAAGTCTCCTACCAACATCCAGCAGGGAGCTGAGGCACCTGGCCAGTAGTCCTGTAAATGTGCTGTCTTGAGAGCAGACCCTCTGGTCTGGGTTATGCCTTCAGATGATGGTAGATCCTGCTGACATCCTGACTAAAACTACCTGAGACAGCCTGTGCCAGAACCATCCAGTGAAGTCTAAAGTGATCTACCAACTCATTCTGGTTTGCCTAGAACTTTCCTGGTTTGATCACTTAAAGTCATGTTTCCTAAGAATCCTCTAAGTTGTGGGCAAACCAGGTGGTTTGTCACCCTAATGTTTCCTAAATTCCTGACCCACAGAAACTGAAACACTCAAACTGATTTTAAGTCACTAAGTTTTTTGTTAATGTATTACATGACAACAGATGCTCAGACAAGAGTCATGGTTTTCTACTTATTGGCACATCAAAATTCAGAAAATTAAGAGTTGTCTCAGACACTCATTTACACAATTTAAATTTTAGATTCTGACTCTAGCCTTCATGATCTAACAAAAAATTGGCTAAAAATCTAATCATTTTACCTATTGTCTTATTCCCTAATGATTATTTGAATGCATTTCTTTTTTTCTCTAAATTTTATGGTTGTTTTGATACCTGGCTTGTGTGTGTGTGTATATATATATGTGTGAATATATATTTATATGTGTGTGCGTACATATATGTATATATGTACACACACACATATATTTATGTATATATGTATTTGTGTGTGTATGTATGTGTGTGTGTATATACCAGGGTCTCACTCTGTCACCCAGGCTGAGTGCAGTGGCACGATCCTGGCTCACTGTAACCTCAAACTCCCAGGCTCAAGTGATCCTTCCACCTCAGCCTCTTGAGTAGCTGGGACTACAGGAACATGCCACCATGTCTGGCTAATTTTTAATTTTTTTGTAGAGACAGGGTCTTACTGTGTTGCTCAGGCTTGTCTCCAACTCCTAGACTCAAGTGATCCTCCCATTTTAGCCTCCAAAAGTGTTGGGGATATAGGTGTGAGCCACCACATTCAGCCAGATATCTGTTAAATATCACATTTCTAAAAGTATTACTCAATATATTGTGTACAGACTACATGCTTTACAATCATCTGGAGAATTTGTAAAAAATGCACATTCTTGGCCCCACTTCAGACCCACTGATTAGAATTTCTGGGGGTGTGGAACAGAATTTTGTGTGTTTATTAGGCCTGAGAGGTGGTTCTTAGATACTGACTTAAGAGAAATGACTTAAAAATTCTGCTATTGACTACCAACTTTCAAGCTGGTAGAAATAATACATTGACTATAATATGCTATGAAAGAGCTCTTATTGATAACAAGGTTACCATTACCCAAGGGTTTTAGTCTTCTTAACTTCACTGGGGAAAGGAGAGGAATACATACTGACAGAGCAGATGGATGAGTTCACTGATTGCTTTCAGGAGATGGATAATAGGTCAGCAAACATGCTGTGGACTAATATTGGGAAGTGCCTTGTGTTATCTGGTATTGGGAGCTGAGGAAAACAATTAAAAGCCCCCTGGCTGAAAAGCCTTGGTGCATATTTCCCTTTTCTGTGAAGTTATACAGACATCAGAAGGCCCAACTAATCTGTTACAAATCCAAACAACTATAACTGGAGTCAGGCTGTTTTTGAAGGGAGATGAGCAAAAGGAAGACAAATTGAGGAGGTGTGGGAGTGCCAAAATGAGAAAAGCAATTGCAGTTCCAGCATAATGACACATGTGAATAATAAGCACGCCCCGTTTGTGGTGTATACATCGTTGCTAATGAAACATTTTACAGATTGTACAAATAACATGTCCACTACGAAGGAGGGGGGAATATACCAAAGTCAAATAATTAGAGAAGGCAACACTTTCCAGGAAGATGCAATACAGCAGAAGCAACAGATGGAAGCTAATGGAAGAAAAGGAAAAGGGAGACTATGAGATGCTTTTTGTGCTAAAATAAACAAAGTGCAGGAGGTCAAGGGGATGGAACAGAGCAGGAAGGAAGTGACTGACAAATTGCAAATCTTTCTCTCTTTGATGCATACAGCATAGAATTGATTAGCTTCAGTTTAATTTAATTTAACTCGGTTCAACATTATTAACTCTGCAATGCACTCCACTTAGGCACTGAGATTATCCAAGAATGAGTAAGGCAAGTTTCATCTCCTCAAGGAGTTTACAATCTAGCAGGCAGGAATGGAGATGGAGATGGGTAAATACACACATAAACAACTAGTGATAATTATACCAGTTTCTCTTAGGAAATATATGTCATGCCCTTCATTGTATCCTGAAGAATATTTTCTGTGACCTCTGGATGTATAAAGGATAAAATAATCTATGAACCTTATCTAATTTGTCTGCAAAATTCAAACAATTTTTTTGTTGAGTTGTTATGTCAGATTTTCTAAGTTGCTTCTCTTTATGCCTTTAGAGTAAAAATATTAGGGGAATTTGTTTAATGAAAACTGTTTAGAGAAAGTATTTCCTTCTGACACCTATTATTTAAATGATAGCAGGTATTTATAAGCATGTAGTTTCTCATTGACATAATAATTATATGGAATAGCTATTGTTGTCCACATTTTAGAGATGATGAAAAGAGGTTGAGATAGTTTAAACTAAGTATGTTGCCCAAGGTCATACAGCTAGTAAGGGTAGAGCTGCAGTTGTAACCCACATCTTTCTAATATCATTAGCATGAACTCTTAAAATTCTTTATGTTGCCTTTTGAGATAGCATGGAAGTAGAATGAAATAAGTGCTAAGTGTATGTATAAATAAATTATAGGCTTCCAAATGAAAAGGCATTTTTTTTTTTCTGACATGGGGTTAGACAATCCAAAGGCATAGTGGCAACTGAATTGGGTCTTGAAGGATGAGATGGATTTTAATAAAGACTTGAGAATTGAAGGAGCAACAGGAGCAAAAATGTTAAGACACACAAGCTAAAGGTGTGTTTTGAAATTGACTAGCATACAGTGTTACACACAGAGGAATCAGACTAGAATGATAATTTGCAATTGGTTATTTAAAAAACCCAAGAATTTGGGGTTTTATTCTGGAAGCAATGAGGAGGCTATACAGTTTTTGAGGCGAGAGATGAAATAACCAGATCTCTATGGTTGGTTGATAAGGGATTGGAATATTATGGGCAAAGAGGCAAATGTTTAGAATTTGTCAGGCTGATTAGAAGGCTATTGAATTAGTCTAGGTTAAAATAAAAACAAACAAAAAACCAAGAGCATGTTTAAAAGCATAAATATTGCAAAACCCCCTAGAATTATTAGGATTTTCTGACTATCTGGATGCAGTGGGTGAAGAATAGAAAGCTGTTGTAGATGACTTTAAAATGTGTGCTTGTAATTAGAATAGAAGCACTTTATTAAATGAGATAGAAAACCTCAGCAGAGAGGCAGTTTTCCAGAAGAGGAAGGTGAAGAGTTCATTATACTAAAATTGAGTTTTAGAAATGTATGGAAAACAGCTGGAAATATTCTAGAGTTTAGGAGAGAGAGAAAGTCTTATGATATAGATGGGAGCATTTATGGTCATTGGATGATCTGGGAGATTATTTTGTCTGCAGAAAACTGGGGGAAAAAGCAGGAACATTCACTTCCCTGAGATTACATGTCATCTAAGTTATAAAAATTAATCTCAATCAACATTTAATGAGGAAAAGGCATAGGCTGTGGCCATTACAAGCCTTCCATCCAAGAAGGATAAAGAAATAATTCTATAAATATTCTGTGAATTCCCATGGACATCTCATAAAATTAGGGATTTATAACCCCTGAGGGGCCTTAGTAAAAATGCAACATTACACAGGCTGGGAATGTCAAAATTCCTTGAAACTTTGCAAAATTATAGCAATGAGGGAAATCTAACATTATTGACTCCATCTTGCTTCTAGCTTCATAAGCTAACTGCTTTTGCTTAATCTTGTGTGTAGGTCAGGCTAACTATGGGAGGAATTTAGTTCACAGTTCTACCTTAGAGCAAGGATAATAGTCCCTTCCCAAAACTAACAACCTCCTTGTTCAGGGACTAAAACTGCCTTTGTGGAACCAATACAAGGCCACAAGCTTAGTATTATAATAGATGCCTGAATTCTGCTAAGGTATAGGCACAGTTAAACAATAACTAGTCATTGTTCCCTAACTTGCTTTTTATAATTGCATACTGCTCAGGAATCACATAGCTGGTAGTCACAAGATTTGTAACTTCCCTAGTTGCTCCTATAGATGACACTGCTATTGTGAAACTTAAGACTGGTGTTGAAGATATTTTTCAGACTTTGCATTCTGGTGGACCAGCTGATGCCACCCAGACCAGTGACCCATATCTAGAAGCTGACTCAACTGGTTCTGTGACCCCAACCCAGGAACTGATTCAGCACACAAAGACAGTTTTGACCCCCCTGGGATTTCATCCCCATCCCAACCAATCAGCAGTGCCCATTATGTAGCACCCTGCCCACCAAACTATCCCTGAAAACCTTAGTCTCCAAATTCTCTGGGAGTGGGATTTGAGAAATATCTCCTGTCCTCCCTGCTTGGCTGCCTTGTGATAATTAAACTCTTTCTCTGCTGTAATACCTGCTGTCTTGGTGTATTGTATTTTTCTGTGCAGCACACAGAAAGAACCCATTGGGCTGTAGCACCATGGGCTTCTTTTTTTCAGTCCATATTCAGGCTTGAATCAAGCCTGGGGATAGGATGATGTGGGCACTTCCATAGTTCAGTATTCACACCCTACAATTTTTGCTGCCTCTTATAGTTGTACTCAGTTGAAGAGTGATTTTGGCAAGTATATTGCTTCATGCTTTGTCTTTGAAATCTTGGTGTTATTCTCTCTATAATCTCTTAAGAAATTTATAAGTGGAAACAGCACACATCACAATTGAAAAACATGTCTTTTCTCTCCAATGTTAAAAGGAAGAGATTTTTTTGCAGCTGTCATTTCAAAAACTAATTATCTTTTTTGTCATATGTGTGGCATATGACACACATGTGTCATATGTGTGGCATATTATTTTAGGAACACTAGGAGTACTATTTTAACTTTTATGCTATAATGTCATGAGTATAATTATTATAACTATTTCTTTACTTATTTTTAGTTTTTTGAGACAGAGTCTTGCTCTGTTGCCCAGGCTGCAGTGTAGTGGCACAATCTCAGCTCACTGCAATCTCTATCTCCTGGGTTCAAGCGACTCTTGTGCCTCAGCTTCCTGAGTAGTTGGGACTACAGGCATGTGCCATAACACCTGTATGATTTTTGTATTTTTAGTAGAAATGGGGTTTCACCACATTGGCCAGGCTGGTCTTGAACTCCTAGGCTCAAGTGATCCCCCAGCCTTGGCCTCCCACAGTGCTAGAATTACAGGCATGAAACACCATGCCCAGCCTAATTATTATAATTATTTAAAATCTGTTCTGATGAAGTTTAAATGGACATAATTTGTAATGAAAGGAAGTGTTCTGTTTATTGCAAGTCTGACTTACAGATTTTAGTTTCAGAAGTTTAGGAATAGTGAAATTCTTCCATTAGTTTATAGATGCCCCATAGATTACCAAAAGGATATCAAAAAAATTTGCATTATCTGATTGATATCTTCTAAGTACTATCTTTATGACTTTTCTGAATAGCCTTCTGAGTCCATAAACAACCAGGAATTAAAAGACTAGCAGAAATGTTTGATGGTGGCTGTCTTCTTAGGCAATCGGCTGTTCACTCATCAAATATGGAGGCATTTCAGCTTTAGTGCTTCTGGAACAGAAGTGACATAAGAATGCCTCCTAGGTATTTTAGATGTGACTAAGTATACTTTTTTCCAAGGTCAGGCAGGCATTCCATTTTTAAGTTCTGGGAAAGAGAACTTGTGTTATTACAATCTAGTCACAAGATAACACCTGCAGGATGCTTGTAAGTACACATCTTTAGCTCTCAGGCAATGAATGTTCTCAACTGATTAGCTGACCACAAGTAAGTCAAATCTCTATTTCATTTATGAGGCAACTTGTATTTCATTAGGTTTTAATACTTTGCTTTGGACATGTGTACTGACAGGAACTCGGTGTCTTATGGCTACTTCTAATTCTCGAATCAGTGATTCTAATGAGATTATTTGTCTTAAATGAGTCTCATTTTACTTACATTATATAACATAATAAAGGCCTAATAATATCCAAAATATTTGAAATATTGTTTTCAGTATGGATGTTATTAAGTCCTCCTGAGAATGTGGTCTATTTTCTCATGAGAGTAATTAAATGGTGAGTTATCAAAAATGGCAATAGAGTGAGAGCTTCAAATTTGGGCTTTAGTGACAGTCAGACCTGTACTGAAGCCAGTTCTGTCACTTACTGAGTCAAGTTGGTCAAATTATTTGAACTGTAGAAATTCTCAATTCCAATAACATAATTACCTCACGGGTTTGGAAGGCCTAAATGACAGAATGCATATAAAATGTTAATTTCAAAAGTGAGGTTATTGGGGTTTGTGTCTCTTGATCATTCATTTGCTACAGGATATTTTATTAATCTCTGATAAGGAAAGTAGCCAAAAGGCAGAGCTATTCATGCATGATGCACTCTTCCCACACAAAACAGTAAGTGTACTGGGTTTGGAATCGGTAGAGTTGTGATGTAGGGGAAGGAAACGCTATTTGCACCCAACAATTTCAGGAAACATGGTGCCTAAGGGAACACATGGAAAGAGGAATCAGATTCTCACTTAAACACAAGAGCAGGGTTGGAGAGGTTTCATAAATGAGTACACCTGGGCATATAACTTCAAACACCTGGGCAAATAAGTTATGAAAAAAATGTTTTTATTCAGTGCCTACTATGTATAATGTGTTATGTTAGAAATATCACTGTAGTCTCTCAATCCTATAATAATCATTACATCAGTGATGGAGATAAATTTCCTAAAATTTAGAAAATTTAATTTTCCCAAGATTCACATCTAAAAAAATTTAATGTCATGAAGGGAGATGAAATTTCCTCTTCAATATTGCCTCCCTGACCTGCTTCTATGTTTTAGACATGGGATTATAAGAAATGGATCAAGAAAGAGTATTCTCTTCCCATTGGAGGATGACTTGGCCAAAAGAGATCTGTCAGAAGAGTCAAGATAGTTTCTTCAGTATCTGCGTAGAGACCCCATCCTAGCTCCCCTGTTTAAGGTTCCAGGTCCCCATTAATCTGTAGAGGCCATGGCAACAGCCCACAAAAGTGCAGCAAACAGCACTGCATGGGGCTGGCACAGGACAAATTGGAACACTACATGGTCATCTAAGCCTATAAACAAGTTTTCGGGAAGGAAAGTTCTTTAAATCTTGAAGAGTTGCAAACATAAATAGACCTCAGACAAGACAGACTGTGGCCAGACCAGCGAAGAAGACAATGAAGAAGACTTTCCCTTGCTTCTAAATCCACCCATTTCTTATATCCTTTGGACACCATTATGTTTTGCTTTGTTTGCCAGGGGTTTGTAAGCAAAATTATCTCAACAGATGTACAAGTAGCCCATGGGTTTTTCAAGAGGTTACGAAATAGCCTTGTTAACCCTCAGTGTACTAAGATGTTCCAAACACACAACTTCATGTTGTTCTAGGGGCTGGGATGGTAACAGCTGGCCCAACTGGCTTCTTAGTCCAGGGAGATTACAGTGAAGGGAAACAGAAAAATTGTCAGTGGCTCTGCATGTGACTTCTCCCTTCCCTAGTCATATACTTACCTCTCTTATAAATTTAATGCTCAAAAATATTTTTTTAGGCATTAAGGGTCCTGGAAAATATTCTAGATTCTGGGACAATTCAGAAAATGTCCCTGCTCTCATGGCTGTTGAGTTTGTGGCTGGGTGGGTGGAAGATAGACAATCAACAGACACATCGAGCTGTAAAACAATTCTAGATAATGATAAGCACATTTGAAGAAAAATAAAGGTAAGGAAGAAATCAGAGAGCAACTGAAAAGAAGTGGCTGAGGGACTAGGGCAAAGATTACGGTTAAGCTGAGGTGTTTAGGGAAGGTTTGAGGATGTGGAAGCTGCAGTTGAAACAGATGCTCTGGGAGAAAAGGAAGAAGAAGCAGAGTGGAGAGAGTGGGATTGCCTATGGAAGATTAGAGAGTGATAATTCCAGGGTCATGCAATTGTGTGGGAGAAGTAGAGAGAAGTAGCAGCAACTTACAAAAGAAACACAGAGACGAGCTTAGATAATCAAATATGTGCAGCTGTGTTTTGGTCTCAGTGTTTTCTTCTTACTCATAACAAATAAAGTTAGATTAATTTAGTAGCACATTTTCATCATCAGAATATTTCCCGCCCCCCCACTAACTCCCCGGTCCTTTCTTCCTTTCCTTCCAGAAGGTTGTATTGTTGGAGATGTTAATTTAACCAGAAAAGCTGAAACCGATAATGTGGAACTTTCATTCGCTTGCCATTGTGGCCCTGAATATTACAAACCCCATTTATGACAGGTCTAATATGTCTCTTTTTACTGGCAAATTATCATTTATCCTGCAAGGTGTGAGAACTTAATCCTTTGCATTTAAGGAGCTCATAGCTTGAGCACTGCAATTATCAACCCATTAATTCTTTTTCTTGAGAGACTAAAAAAAAGTGCTTAAAAAAAAAAGTGCTTAAAATGTGCCCGTGTCCTTTTCTTGGTGTCACCATAGTCTTAACTCTGCTGACTGAGGTTTAACCTACTCGTGGTATATTTTCTCTCTCGTCTTCTTGATGTTGCTACTGTGCTGGGCAGAGCTTTGCTCACTCAGCACCTTAATAAACCAAAACAAAATAGTTCACTTTGTATTTCCACAAGTTCAAATATTTTAGGAGGTGGCAGGAAATAGTAGAAAGATTAGGGATGTTTAGAATCAGACCATTTTGGGTTCTAACTGTACAGTGACATCATTTACTAGCTGTTTGAGCTTGAACAAGTCATTTTAACTCCCTGAGCCTCAGCTTCCTCTTACAAAAAATACAGCAATAAGTCCTACCTCGTTTGTTTGTATTAAGGACGATACAGAATATGGTACCTGGATGTCAGGCCCTGGGATGTGGTTAACTCATTCAGTTGGTATTAACCCATCCTTTAAAATTTAACGTTAATCAATATTAGTTTATTAACATCACCCGTTATACATTAAATAGGCCAGCATCCCTCCTGGTATCTTTCAGGATGTGAGTATTTGCATGTTTTACCTGAGCCCTTCTGGCCTTAATCCCTGGTTCTGCCTCACTGTTGACCTCAGATCTGCCTAACACTTTGTTCTGCTGCCCCCACTTTTTTCTGTTCTTACCTGGAGAAAATTAAAAACAAAAAAACAAAAACTTCATTATGCAGATCAACTTTCTCTGGTTTTGTTAAAGAATACTATATTAGTCTGTTCTCATACTCTTTAAAGAACTACCTGAGACTGGGTAATTTATGAAGAAAAGAGGTTTAATTGACTCACAGTTCCACATGGCTGAGAAGACCTCAGGAAACTTACAGTCATGGTGGAAGGCGAAGGGGAAGCAAGCCCCCTTTTTCACATAGTGGCAGGAGAGAGCGAGAGCAAAGGGGAAGGTGCCAAAACTTTTAAACAACCAGATCTCATGAGAACTCTATCATGAGACAGCACTACAGTTATGTTGCAAAACTGTTGGAAACTGCCTGTGTGATCCAATAACCTTCCACCAGGACCCTCCCCTGACATGTGGGGATTACAGTGTGAAATGAGATTTGGGTGGAGACACAACGCCAAACCATATCAAATACATTTTTCAAAAAGGTAAAAACTGTGTTTTTTTTCTCCCTAGGAGCCCATTCCTAGCTTATCCTGGCCACGCACAGACTATTTTCACAGTATCTAAATTGTTCATCAGTGACAGAGCATCACTAAATGGAGATCTATTCTTTCTTCCCAGAGGAATAATACTGCATCGTTCTTTCTCTTTTTCTGTCATGTCAAAATACTTGGCACTTTGTACACATTCAATAATTACTTCTTCCCCTTTACCCTTCCTGACTTGTTCTTCAATTCTCAGCTCAGATTCTATGGCTGTTACATGCTTTGCATTGTTTCCCTGAGCTAAAAGTATTCTTCCCACTCTGAATTTTCATGTCTTTGTACTGCAATTGCTCTATCACAACAATAAGAATGGTAAATGTCCTAAGAGATGCTGGTGCTTTACCTCCCCTACTTCTTGAAGCTACGTAAAGGACTACTTTTAGTGTCTCTAAGTAAGCAGTCTTCAAACTTTTTGGCACCAAGGACCGGTTTCATGAAAGACAGTTTTTCCACAGACTGGGGGCAGGAGATTGTTTTGGGATGATTCAAGCACATTACATTTATTGTGTACTTTATTTCTATTATTATTACATTGTTTTATATAATGAAATAATTATACAACTTACCATAATGTAGAATCAGTGTGAGCCCTGAGCTTGTTTTCCTGCAACTAGATTGTTCCCATCTGGGGGTGATAAGAGACAGTGACAGATCATCAGGCATTAGATTCTCATAGTGAGTGTGCAACCTAGATCCCTTGCGTGTGTGGTTCACAGTAGGGTTTATGCTCTATGAGATTCTAATGCCACTGCTGATCTGACAGGAGGTAGAGCTCAGGTGGTAATGCAAGCGATGGGGAGTGGCAGCAACTACAGAGGAAAATTCACTTCCTTACCTGCCACTCACCTCCTGCTGCGTGGCCCAGTTCCTAACAGGCCACAGATGGGTACCTGGGGGTTGGGAACTCCTGCTCTAAGTATCCTCACAGAATCTGCCACAGATAATTGAACTTATTTTGTTTGTATGCAAGGTTGAACTAACTTAAGGAAAATAGAGTGATAAAGTGAAATTATGGCTTCAGGTATATTTGTATTTTGATCATCCCTAAATCTCATTTTAGCATCAGAATGTGACTGAAAAAAATAGAGTCAATGGCATAGAATTTGAAAGGAAGCAGAGAGGATAAGACAAGAAGTCCTTCGAAATCTTTCTAATTATAGGTTTTGTTGAGAAGATAAAAATTACTTTTACTCAGGGCGTGAGATAAAGACAGGGAGGTTATTTAATTGCATTTCATAAAATAGAAAAAGAATCTTATTGTTTCTCAACCTATTCATCATTGTTATAATCAGTCATGTAGAACTGTATTTCTCAAAGTGGGTTTCATGGTCTACCTGCATTAAAATCATCTGAGGGCCTGTTAAAGTAGATTTTTAAAGTAGTTTTTTTTTTTTTTTTTTTTTGGCGTCATCCTCTTAAATCAGAATATCTGAGGGTGGGTTGGGGGTATATCTCTCAAGAGTCTGAATTTTTATTGCAGACCTCAGGTGATTTTTAGGCCTGCTGAAGTGTGAAAACTTGGCCATAGAAAATGCATTATTTTTTTACATTCAAGGAAAATGTTAGGGAACTCTTTCTAGTATGGCCAGAAGTAGTGCAGTTCAGTGAAAATAGCAGAAATTGCAGTGTCACAGCTTCTAGGAGACCTAGGGTTTGACCAGTGCTGCTGTTTTTTTTTTTTTTTTGGTGGGGGACGGAGTCGCACTCTGTCACGCAGGCTGGAGTGCAGTGGCGTCATCTCGGCTCACTGCAAGCTCCGCCTCCTGGGTTCATGCCATTCTGCCTCAGCCTCCCGAGTAGCTGGGACTACAGGCGCCCACCACCACACCCGGCTAATTTTTTGTATTTTTAGTAGAGACGGGGTTTCACCGTGTTAGCCAGGATGGTCTCCATCCCCTGACCTCATGATCCACCCACCTTGGCCTCCCAAAATGCTGAGATTACAGGCGTGAGCCACCCCGCCCGGCCTGATCAGTGCTTTTTCATGAACTAGCAGATCACTGGGTAAGTCTTCAAACCTCACTGACTTAAAATTTTTTGAGAGATGGTATTGAACTAAATGATCTCCATGTCTCTCCCAATCTTAAACTTGGTTTATTCTTTTCATAAGTAAGCATGAAGATAAACTTGTTCTTCTGATGATAATATGCTTAGAAGGTATTGTGTATTTTGTGGGGGGGGGGGGGTCATGAACATATTAAATTTCCTGCCCCCAGATGGCTACAGAAAAAGGCACTATGCAAGTTCGCTGATAGCATATGATGAACCATGAGTTATCTTGTTTTTTTTTCTCATGTGCTTGAGTTGTATGTGTGTTTGTTTTCTTTTGCTTAGATGTATGCAGCACACTTTTCTCCTGAAGGAACTAAGGCAGAAACACACTTCTGAGCTCCCTCCGCTGGGGGAATCTTATACCTGAAGCCTAAGAGAGAATTAAATAAGAGTGCAGGCACTCAGCATTATGGTCAATAAAAGCCCCATTGTTCTTTTAGAAATAGACTGAAAGGCAATGCTCACCCTCCTTTGTACTAGAGCTCAATTAATTTAGCTGGAATAATTTTTCTTCCTTTATTAACTGTCCTCTGTGCTTAATGGGACCAAAAGTGATATAGGAAGATGGAGTACTCAAGTATATATATGACTAATTTTAGTATCAGGGTTAGTTGCATGGGGCTTGGAGCCAGATGCATTTCAGTCTTAATGAGGTGACACCTCCTCGATGCTTTTGACCTTGTCCATTATAGGTGGGAATTTGTAGAAACCATTTAGACAGCTTAAAGTACGGTTGACAGAACTGTCTGCACCATTAATCCTTATCCCATTTTAGCAACACAAGAGCAGGCCAAGTGACATTTTCTGTAAGTAGAGAATAACATACATTTACTCAGTCATGGGACAGACACAAACATGAGTTGACAACTCTTCCTGGCTCTCCTGCCCAAAGTGAAATCAGCATTAATAAATCCCAAATGATCCTGATTTTGCTTAAGAGTCATACACTAGGTCAGCAGGTTTCTTACAGCACCATCAAACCTGCAGCCAACACCTGACAATAGAAAATAAAAAGTAAAAGTCATCTGAAGAAGCTATATGACTAGGGCAGTTTCCTCCAGCTAGGTTCTGATCATCCTCACCAGAATCATTTGTTAGACTAGGATCTCATTTGATGAATCAGAAAAACTAACGGAGTCATTTCTATCTGTAAATCCCTGTTTACTCACTTTTGTGGTGCACTGTCAAGCTTATTTTTAAGTGTACTGTGAGAAGAAAGATGATGGCTATCTTTGACCTTTGGTAATACTTGATTGGTCCTTCTCTTGAGTGCTCTTGAGAAATATTTTAACTAAGATGGCTACAGTTTCTAACAGCCTTCTGTTAGCCATTTATTTATTAAATCTACTTCCCCCCATTTATACCTCCCACACATTTTCAGTGACAGCTACCATTTTTATAACTCAAAAACAGTGAAATAAACAAACAGAAACCCCTCACAATTGTCATTATCTTTTCCTTACTGAGAAATTTCTTTGAAAGAGAACAGTATATAATCGGTACAACCCACTTCAACAGAAAAGCTCTTCAAGGGCACACAGGCTTTGTGTGTGATAAGTTCTCTCGAGATGAACATAAGTTAGGTTGAATAATTTCATGGTTTCTTGGTTACTGGGCTTAGGAGTACTCCATTGCTATAGCAATGATGTTAAAGACTTTCCAGTTTTGTTCAAAACATTTTGTTAATGTCTACATTTCCTTTGGAGAAAAAAAATTATTTCTCCTTCTTGGAAAATGTGTTAAAAATAGAATATCTTAGAATGGGAAGACATGTATCTAGTGACAGAGTTAGGACTAGCGTTCAGAAATGCCACACACAATTATTGGCTCATCAGTACATTCTAGTGTCATCAGTTTTCAAGATGTCAAGAAGCCTCTGCCTGCAAAATGCTTATACCATTGAAATAAGTGTGTATACTGGAAATATATGAGAGAAAACACAATTACATGCTTTATTTTTCTTTTGAAAGCTCTAAGTTTATTTTCCCAATTCTAATTCATGCTAAAGTTTCTAGACCACTATCCTTCTATTCTATTCTTTTACCTTTTAATCAATATTTCATTATTTGCTCCTCATAATTTCTTCCCTTCATGCATATCCATGCATGTCCCTAAAGCCTAAGAAATGCCTGGGTGCATGAGGAAAAGCACAGAATGGCATTGATAAAGGGAGTAATTTTATTTCTAGCACAGTGATTACATAATGTTGCCAAAAGAACACTGAGCTTAGAATCAGGACTGAGTTGCATTTTCTTAGTTGTCTTGAACAAGCTGTGTAACCATTGGTAAATTAAATATCTTGAGTTCAGCTGGGCATGGTGGCTCATGCTTGTAGTGCCAGCTACTTGGGAGGCTGAGGTGAGAGGATTGCTTGAGCCCAGGAGTTTGAGGCTGCGTGAGCCACGATCATGCCACTGTGCTGCACCCTGGGTAACAGAGCGAGACCCCAACTCTAATAAATAAGTATCCTGAGTTCAGTATTATTATCTGAAAAAGAAAATAGTAGTACCAGCCCTGTTTGATACATAGAATGGACATAAATATCAAATATGTTAATTTAGTTGAAAATATAAGTAGAGATCACTTCAGAAAAGAGTTAAAATCAAAAGAAAAAATAGTTAAGGACTTCTGTTATGAAAATAGCAATTTCAGCATGATTCAGGGTTCTTACATGTTGACAAAAGGTATAAAAACAACATACAAAAAAGAGGCGTATGTTTTTTTCTTTAGAAAATAGTAGTTTTCCCAATGTACCTTTCCTATAAGTTGTTCCTTCCTACCTTAAATGAGATTATGAAAATCCTTGGGACCCAAGGATTAACCAAACTGGAGTGACCGTTGAAACCCAGGAGTCTTGTAAAGCCAGAGACAGTGACAGTGTGAAGCCATAACAGACAGCACAACTGTACCTCCTTGCCATGTAGTCATGGTGGCCAACAAGATTGAAAAGAATCATCTGTACCTGAGGGCTGCTATGAAGACTGCAAAGGAACCACAGCAGTTACTGTAGTGCGCAGAATACTGAGCTCAGCACAGAATAACGCCGGGAGCCAAATGTGCACAGTACATCAGATAAAAATTAGTGTGGATTAGTGTGGTGGTTTTTCAGATTGGACAAAAACACTGCTCTTCCCTGCAACAATGTAATACAATGCATGGATGCACAAATTTAAAGAGACAGAGATGGATGAAAAGGGAAAGAGTGATGTAGCAGCAATTGCGGCTGCAGTGAAAGTGGAAAGTCTTAAATATTACTAAGTGGACTTAAACAAATGCAGTGATAGTCTGTACTGACCTTTTGGAGAGGGCTCTAGAAAATATTAGGACTGTATTAGAAAATTAGGTAAGGGTAATTATAGGATCTTAGTATAGATTGATGCCACATAAGACCATAACCAAGACTGAGATTTAGCAGTTCCTGGGGAAGGTGAGGATATAGCAGAAAGAAATCTATGTTTCATGTTAATGTAATAAGGCACACACCCTACCTTTTACTTCTAATTAAATCATTTGTTTTTATAGTTTCTATGTTTAAAAAAAATGAGTATCAATAGAACAGAAATGACCAAATTGGAGTGGACCCAACTAATATACAGACAAGTTTTAAATTCCTAAGAGATATTAACATTGGAAAACTCTGCAAAACCTATTATAGAAACATTGAAAATCCAGCTGGAACCAGAATAGGAAATATCTCAGGTGTGAGCATGTCAAAAAGGTCATAGAAAAGCTTGTTGGAAAGCCTAAGATGTGACAAAAATGCAAGGTTTTGTTACTAAAAATCACCACTTAACACACAAGAAAAGGATCTCCAGAGTAGGTCAGAAGCTGCCAGTTGCCTTTCATGTACCCATTCACTATGCTTCTCTTTCTGGGTCCCTAATGAAACGAAGGAGGTTAAATTTATTGGGAAGTACAAAAAGATAAGCACATAACTAGGATTATTGTTACAGCTTTCGTCTAAAATAGTCTTTGCCTACTAACTCTTTCTTGCCAATATAATCTCCTCTGTTGCTTTACTAGTTTGTTACTTGCTTGCTCAAGTGTTTATTCTTCATTCAACAACCATGACTCATCCTAGTAAGTACCAAGCACTGTGCTTTTACAGAGCTCTATTTGTTTAGCAAAACTAACAAATGCCCCACACCTCTTGAAGCTGATAGCATAATGAAGAGGTAGAAATTACATGTACTACTGCGTGTCTGTGGATGAAGGACACGCATATCATTATAAACTGTAGTTAAGTGTAAAGATCTGCAGAGGCCTATGAGAGCATAAAAGTCAGGGAATCTTGTTTAGATTGGAGGGTCATGGAAGGCCTCCCACATGGAGTGGCTCTTAATCTGGGACCTGAAGGATAGGTAGAAACAAGAGAATATTACTGTGGGGGCAAGAGTATTTTAAGCACAGAGACATGTGCAGATATCCCAACAAAGAATAGGCATATTTGAAAAACAGAGAAAGAAAATGTGACCTAAGTCTAGTAAATAAGAGAGGTGGCATGACAAAGGGAGGGTGAGGAGGAAGCCTGGGGTTGCATTGTGTTGCGGGAGGACCATGCTAAGCACTCGGATGTTTTCCCATGGGGATTCCCAGATTTCTGGACAGTCACTCTTCTCTTGATGGCATCTCTTAGCTCTGCTCCATTCTCTTCATGATTAATTCTGAATTTCTTGTTACCAGATTTTCCAAATAGCTCTATCCTCTGTTTTCTAGAAATTTCTACTTAGTGTTCATCCAAGCACATACAAGAGAAAGCAACCATGACTGAAATAACACCATGATAGAAAATGACACCCAAAGTAGCGAACAACTAGGACCAACACTGCACATAAAATGTCACTTGTATGTTCAAAAAGGAAGACTTTAGAGGTGGTATGGGGACTCCTTATACAGGGTAGCAGGGGTGGATGTGAGTGCAGTGCTTCCTGGAATGTGTGGAAGCTACAGCCTCAAGCAGCTGCAATCACTTTCCAAGTGTTCAAAGACAAAATGGACTAGAGGGAGATATAGTAGGGTACAGGGTACAGGTTTTAGTTTACTTCTAGTGAGAATGCAAGCTTATCCTTAGTTCATCACTCAGTGAATTTTTAAAAATTTTTCATTTTAATTTTGGGGGTATAGGTGTTTTTTTGTTACATGGATAAATTCTTTAGTGGTGATTTCTGGGATTTTATTTCACCTGTCACCTGAGCAGTGTACACTGTACCCCATATACAGTTTATTTATCTCTTACCCTGCTCCCAGTCTTCCCCCTCCTCAAGTCCCAGAAGTCCATTATATCATTCGTATGCCTTTGTATCCTCATAGCTTAGCTCTCATTTATAAGTGAGAACATAAGATATTTGGTTTTCCATTCCACTCAGATAATGAGTTCCAAAGCTCAACTTGTTGCTGGCAGCATTTATGGCTGTGATTCCCTGGCCAGAGCCCACCTATTCCATGACTACCTGAGAACTCTATCAGCTTTCTTCAGGAGACCTCCAGTTAGTTCTGCATGTCACAGAGGAAGTAGGCATATTTGAGGAAGACTTTCTCAAGGATTTTTTTCAGGTGGGTTTTCTCTTAATCTTTTAAATTCTGACCTTCCTCAATCACACCCTCATATACAGGAATGCAGATTCCTGAGGGGTGGAGAGTTGGGAAGGTGGGGAGGTGTTGAGGAATCGGGAGCTAGAGAGGAGAAAAAAAACTTTTTGCTTAAAGAAAATGTCAGCATTTTCCTTCTATGTTTTTAAATCTACAACTTTAAAAATACTCATTCTGAAAAAAATTATAGAATCCTAATAGCTAGCAATTTTTCAAATTGTTTAAAATGGTTAAATAAGTATTCAAAAATGAATTTATAGAGAAGAAAAAGCAATCTGAGGTGCCTAAATGCATTTTGATCTTGGAAGAATTTGCCTTAAAACAATAATCAACTGATGATTAATATTAATTTACTATTATTAATTTTTACTTTAGGAAAATATAATCTCAGCAATTTCTATAGCTTTTTATGGAGACTGTACCAGCAACTAATTTTCTTCTCTTGCCTGTCACTTGGTTATTTATGTCTAAGGTGGGAATAATAGTCAGTAAATCCTGTAGGGCACCAGCCATTAAAAATTATTCTTTAGATTTAAATATGTGAGTTTAAATACTGCTCCAGGTAAGACTCCTGGGTGCTTAGTAGCTGAAGAGAAAATACAGCCACCACTCATTCCATTTTGCATATCCATGTTACTGTCTTCCAAATATAACATGGGGTTCCCTAGAGATACTCTCATAGGAATAAAAAGAGAACTAATAAAAATAATGCTTAGTAATATTATTTTTAGGCAGCACTTTTCTCTAAACTTATAGGTCCACACCAAAAAGAATGGCAGACAGACAGCAGGAGGCAGTCCATGTGCAAGGAGAAATTAGCTACTAACCAGAATCCCTGGGAAGCAACCTTTCTGGGCTACAAATGTGCAGAATTGATCTAGTTAAATGGTCATTCTGCCTTATTTACATTTATTTTTTTTAATTAGGGATAATAATATTGGCTTGTTGCTTTCACAGGGAGTGGTTAACTATAGAGGGGAAAGAGTGTGGAGAAAAATAGGGTGAGTTAGCTTCTGGTTAGGTTTAGTGTTTGGGCTCACTCTAGAAAGTAAGATTGTCATAAATTCTAGAGACTGAAAGGCTTCGGAAAGCAGGTAATTTTCTGTCCTGTCATCCTCTTGTCCTGATTTTCCTTTCTATCTGCAATCTCTCTTGACGGAAGCATATACTAGGGATGGGCATATCTATCTCATAAAGTAGTGGTTTGGGAAGAGTTACTCTCCTTCTATGATGAAGTTTCTTATGTTTTGGATATGCTTTTACATGCTTCAATTTCTAAGATTGCCATGTCCTATAAATAAAATAATGCCGATATTCTTAAAGACTTATTATTTAAAATAGGTGACTATATAAAAAATACTTCATAAGGATTTTCTAGAAATTAAATAAAAATGAATAAACAAACCAGATTTAAAAAATACTTCAGTAGTCAAAGGAACTTTAGGAAGTTTGAACTATCAGGATTTATTTACCACCTGGGTATAGAAAGTCAAGGAAAGGAAAGCATTAGTGATATTCGATTGCATAGGTAGGTGGATCCCACTAACCAGTCATGGTAGGGTAGGTTACTATGTTCTAACAAGCAAGCTGCGAATCACAGAGCCTTAAAACGCTAATATTTATTTCTTTTTAAGTCAATTTGGCAGGGAGATTAGTGCATCACAGGCACTAAGTTACCCACGTAGAGAAAGGTTGCTACCAAGCCACCATTTCAAAATTTCCTTCCATGTAGTGAGTCTGAAAGAGACAGCATGGATAATTATGTACCAGTTCTTTAATCTGTTTGCATGAAAGCAACAGATACACATGAATCTGTTCATATTTTATAAGTGGCCAGACATAAGTGCAGAAGCTTACAGGATGGATATGTCAAGGGAGAAAAGAAGCAGAACAGGGATATACTTTGGAAAACTCCAGCACTTAGGTACAGCTAGAGAGAAATAGTCAAAAGAAAACCACAGTAAATAATAGTAATATGGGCTGTATAAAACATATGAAGCCAAATTAAAATAAAAAGTACAGATAGGTATGTTTATTTTCTTATTTACTCGGGTAAAAATAATGACCTAAACCATAGTTCTTATCGCTTGTCATTTCCAGCAAACATGCTGCACGTGGGTACATACAGTCCCTTGGAAGTCACCTTGAAACAATTCTGCCAATCAGTCAGCAGCAGAACAGAGCTAAAAGGAATTAAATAGCTCACACAGTGAGGAAAGCAATCTTGTTAAGTTGGGCTTCTAAGTGACCCCTGACTGACGTACCTCAAACTCGGAAAGTCTTTGGCTTTTATGTTGTAGAAACTGAAATGTAAAGAACAGCTTGTCTTTTTGGAGTCGTGATTACAAAACCTACTAGAAAAGTGAACTTTCAAAGTTAAGCCTGAAAGAGTCACCCAAAGTGGTCCTCACTGCTCTTGAGAGATGAGGACTCTGATGGGCTGAGGATGGGCAATGGAAGAGGTCACATGATCAGTAGGTAAAGTCAAAAGGTTCCAGATGCAAGAGAAGACGGAGGTTATTGGAACTGGGAAGCTTAGAAAAATCAGGCAATATGAGAAACCTATTATGTTTGTGACTCTTGGAGGATGGAGACTGCCATTTTGAAGAGGTCCTTAGTATGTAACAGGAAAACCTAAAGGACTCTAGGAGAACCAATCCAAGGTAAAATGCTTTGGGGCTATTTTCCCCAGCTCCCTCTCTTGGGCCTGTGAAAGAATGAATGACCTTCTTTTCCTTTTTTTGAAAATGGCTTGTTTTATTATGTACATAATTCTAATATTGAAAAAGTAGAGAAGTGTGAGGGTGAAGTGAAGCAGCGGACAGAAGGAAGGAGAGAGATGCCTGTGAGTGGTGGGTTTTCACACAGAGATTGAGAAGTGGGTGGTAACCAGAGTGGAATGAGCACCTCGATTTATTGTTGGGATCACTGATGATCAGTTATCTCTGCTCCATGAAGGTTATCCTTACACAGGGAGGAGAAACTTGGTGGGCACATTAAAAAGACGGGCTGCTTTGAAACTAGAGTTTATCCAGTTTTCCTCTGGTCATTGGAAGGTGTTGGCCTGAGGATGACAGCAGCACACAGGCATTCATGAGATTCACTTTAGATGGGAAATTGGAACCAAAGAGAGAGAAGGCAAACTTCAAAGAGAGAAAAGATCTCAAGAACAGACTGGTGACCAAATTCAGTGGAGGAAAAATGTCAACCACCACCTAATTTTTCTTATTTTCTGAACTTGCTTTTTCCAGGTCCTCATGGGTAAGCTGGTGATTTGTCCCCATCTGTGGATTAAAATACTAACCTAGTTTCATGGCTAGGTGTATTAGTCCATTCTCACACTGCTATAAAGAACTGTCATAGACTGGGTAATTAATAAAGGAAAGAGGTTTTATTGACTCACAGTTCCACATGGCTGGGGAGGCCTCAGGAAACTTACAATCATGGTGGAAGGCAAAGGGAAAGCAGACACCTTTTTCACAGGGCAGCAGGGCAGAATGAGTGCTGAGCAAAGGGGGAAGCCCCTTATAAAACCATAAGATCTCATGAATGAAAACTCACTCACTATCAGAAGAACAGCACAGGGGAAACCACCCCCATGATCCACTCACCTCCCAGTAGGCCTCTCTCTAGACACATAGGGATTATGAGATTACAATTCAAGATGAGATTTGGGTGGGGACACAAAGGCTAACCATATCGCCAGGTTGGTCAGAGATGGAGAGTGTAGTGGCAACCTTGGTACCTTTCTCATATGCCCCTGCTGGACACATGCACAGGAGCATAGAATAAGGCTTGGGCTCCGGGAGCCCAGTTATGATTGCTGGCTTCTCATCTTTCCCTTGGAGATGTTTTGCTGCCAAGAAAATGAGCCACCTGGTGTTTCTAAGTCCTGGGACACAGGGCTCACTCTAATTCACTGTGCTCCCACTTTTTGGGTTGGTTGAGCTTATATCCTGCTTTTCTCTATCTCTTAGGATGGACTAGGTTATGTTTAAGTAAAAAACTGCCCCCAAATCTCAGCAGTTTAGTAAAATATATATCTGTTTATTGTTCTCCTGGAGAACCCATTTCAGGTTGCTGGGAGCTCTGCTCCGTATCTTACTCAGATATGAATACCATAGACGCCTGTGCCATCTGAAATGTCATCAGTCACTGGGTCAGAGGAAGAAAAAAAATATATTGAATGATGCACTAGTATTTGTAGACTTATTCCGTGAAGTCCTGTGTCTGTCTCTTTTCTTCACGTTGCTTTTATTGGCCACAGCAAGACACATGGCCAGCATGACTTGAAGTCTGATGGGGTAATAGAATGCTGGTGTGTATCCAGAAGGAATAGAACTGGAAAAATTGGTGATCACTGCAAGTTTTATCTCAGCTGCTGCTCTAGATTTCTGCCAGACTCTTTCCTAGTGTGCTGGCTTATTTCAGGACAGCACCTCAACTGGGAGGCCTGTCAAGGATTAGAGTTTTTGCCCCTTGACGTTTCTTCCTGCCACTTTTGTGCATGTTAGCTAGCACATGATGAACTACCTGCAAAGAACTGCTTGGGTCTTTTGGCACTCTGTTCTGCTCACTATAGCAATGGCTTCCAAACCTCTGGTAGAAAATAGTGTCCCCATGAAAAGGTGCTCGGCCAACCTACTCACATCTCTGGAGTGAGCCTTTCATTGAATTGGATCTGCCCTTTTGAGTGAATCTTGAATCAGTTTCTACTTCCCTTCTCTTCATTTCCTTCTCACCTAGAATGACCTATAATGCCTTGTGTCTTTGTCATAAATTGAGCATGCCAGCTGGGCGCGGTGGCTCACGCCTATAATCCCAGCACTTTGGGAGGCCGAGGCGGGCAGATCACGAGGTCAGGAGATGGAAACCATCCTGGCTAACACGGTGAAACCCCGTCTCTACTAAAAATACAAAAAATTAGCTGGGCGTGGTGGTGGGTGCTTGTAGTCTCAGCTACTCGGGAGGCGGAGGCAGGAGAATGGCGTGAACCCAGGAGCCCAGGAGGCAGAGCTTGCAGTGAGCGGAGATCGCGCCACCGCACTCCAGCCTGGGTGACAGAGCGAGACTGTCTCAAAAAAAAAAAAAAAAAAAAAAAAGCATGCCTGCAAATCTCCTTCATGAACTCTCATGAGGACAGGTATTAACCTGCCTTGTCCTCCTTGCAGCATGAATCAATTTCTTGGTTTGCTGTCTCTGTTTCACTGCCATTTTCAGGAGATTTCATTTAACTGGACTTAAAGATTTTAACTTATTCTTCCGTGTGCCTCCCAATTTCCATCTGTTTGCTTGTGAAACATTGGGAACAAAAAGCATTGAAGACTCTGTCTCTAAAATTGCTGATTGAGATTTGGTATTTAGTAGCTATGAGCAATAAGATTAGATGTGGTTATGTTTTGTTGCTGCTATGCTGACTAGGTGTGATGGAGAAGCACTAGGATAGAAATCAGGGGACTTTTCTTCTTGCTGTTTTGTTTCATTTTGCACACACACACAACCAAAAAAAAAAAAAAACCAAAAAAAACAAACAAACAGTTTTTTCTTGAATTTGGGCAAACCAGCTTTTCTTGTCCAATCCTTACTGCCACTATTTCCCAGAACCTGCTTCGTCATTCCCATCTAAATCTCCTCTTTATTTTCTTTGCCTTATTTGATATTTTTGTTGAAATACATGTTGTGGTTTATCTAAGACTCATGGCTTGGCTCACTTATACTATTTGGATAATGTGTATAAGAGAATCCAATTTTCAGCAGGGATCCCCTCATTAATGCAGCCAGTCTAAAAACCTCTATCATCCTTTACTTGGCCATTGGCAGCCCAATCTCAGAGGTTTGGAACTTTTCTTTCAACGTCACCTGACTCCTTCATGGGAACGACAGCAACGATTCCAAAGAACTCGCCACTAGGATGTATTCTTCAACACTGGGACCAGTTTAAATGGAATGGGCTTAAGAAAAAACTGGTGTTTCTGTGTAATACTGTTTGGCCTTGGTATTATTTGGAAAAACAAGAGAAATGGCCTCCTACCATTAAATGTCCTTTAATACTATACTTTAACTTGATTTGTTTTGTAAGCAGGAGGGAAAATGGGATGAAATACCATATGTCCAAGCATTTTTCCTGCTCATTCAGGATAAAACCCTGCAGCAGGTGTGTGCATGTTTGATAAATGGAAAAGAATAAAAAGAGCTAGACATACTAGATGATCCTTTAATGCAAGCCCCCTTCCCCAATTCAGTGGGCAGTTTTGGGTGGAGCAAAACCTCCTCTGTCAGCTCTGAAGTTTCAGATGTGTCAGTCCTTTCTCCCTGTAGTTAACCTGAAAGTTCTATTGAGAACCCTTCATCCCCTCCTGCTTTACCCATCTAGTCCCACTCTATACCCACCACTCCCTGGGGAACTTAGCCAGCGAGTACTACTCTTAGTGGAGCCTCCTATCAACCTCCAAAGAAAAACCTTTGTACACTTAAAGAGGCAGCAAATGGGGAAGAAGGCACTGTGAAGAGTACATGTTCCCTGTTCTATGTCCAATTTGACTCTATGTAAAGAAAAGCTTGGTGGTTTCTCTGAAGATCCAGGAAAATTCACAGATGAGTTTGAGAAATTAATTCCAACCTATAGTTTAACTTGGCAGTATCTGCATGTTTTGTTGTATCTGTGTTGTACAGTGGAAGAGAAACAATGCATTTTGGGGACAGATAGGACCCATGCAGAGGAGGTATTGGCTCATAACCCGAACCATAATATATATCAGGCAGGAGGTACAGCAGTTCCAGATCAAGACCCAGAGTGGAACTATCAAAGGAGCAGTGAGGACTTGGGGAGGAGAGATCATAGGGTCACTTGTTTGTTGGAAGGGTTGAAGAAATGTATGCAAAAGCCTGTTAATTTTGAAAAGGTTAAGGAAGTTTCTCAGGGTACAAATGAGAATCCAGTTTTGTTTCAATAACATTTCCTTGAGGTAATGAGGAAATATACTAACAGTTTTCCTGCCTCAAGGGAAGGACAAATCCTTTTGGGAGTACATTTTATAATCCAGTCTGCTCCTGATATCTGTAGGAAACTACAAACAGCAGCTATGGGTCCCCAAACTCCTATGGAGCAGCTTTTGGATGTGGCATTTTTAGTTTTTAATAACAAGGACAAAACAGAGGAAGCAGAAAGAGCAAGAAGGACCTCCCACAAGGTGCAGCTCTTGGCTGCAGCCTTAAGCTCACCTCCCACATGGGGCTGCCCTCCTGGCCCTTGGCCTGAGCAAGGGAAGCTGAAAGGTGGGAAGCCCAAAGTTGAGTGTTTGAGTCACCATGCCTTGGGCATTAATCAGTGTGCACACTGTAGGAAAACTGGCCATTGGAAGAGGGATTGCCCAGCATTTTGAAGGGAGCCATCGGCACCCAAACCAATGATGGCTGAAATAGCCAGGCAAACCCAAGAGTGACGGGGCCCGAGACCTTCCACCACAGCTCCTGTGAGACAACTAGCCATATCTCTCAAGGAGACATGGGTAACCCTTGACATGGCAGGTAAGAATATTAACTTCCTTCTGGAATGCTTACTGTGTTTTGACCCATTATAATGGGTCTATTCACCCCAAAACTGTATGGTCAAGGGGATAGATGGACAAGCGCATATGTGCCATTTTACCTATCCTTTAAGGTGCTCTTCAGGGGCTTTGGTTTTTTCCTGAATGCCCCACCCCCTTGTTGGGAAGCGATTTGTTAACTTAGCTGCATACAGTAGTATCTTTTGGAAATCACAAGGTAGATGAGAAATTGCTCCTCCTCCTTTCCTGTGAATAAATATCAGGCTTTGTTGCTAGATGCTCCTGATATAATTCTTAAACTACGCCAGACTTTGAATCCAGCTACCTATTTGCCTGAACCCACAGGCACCCTAGATCATTCTTGTATACAAGTTATGGAGCAAGTTTACTCCAGCCATCCAGATTTAAATGATGAGCCTCTAGATAATCCTGGTTTACAGATGGAAGTAGCTTTGTGCACCAGGGAAACAGGGCAACAAACTGTTAATACAAGGTGCTAATCAGTGGAAAATAGTTCAGCATTTGCATGACTCTACCCATTTGGGAAGAGAGTCCCTGTTTCAATTAATGTCCCAGCTTTTTATAGGAAAAAGCTTACTTAAAACAGTGAAGCAGATAACTCGTGCCTGTGAACTATCTGCCCGGAATAACCCAAATAACCAATCTTTACCTCCTCCTCTCGTAAGGCCTGTTCAGCTTAGGGGAACTTACCCTGGTGGAGATTGGCAAGTAGACTATACTCAGATGGCCCCATGTAAAGGACTTAAATATTTGTTAGTATTTGTTGACTCCTTTGCCGGTTGGATTGAAGCTTTTCCTACCCGGTCTGAAAAGACAATTGAGGTTTCTAAACTCTTATTAAAGGAAATGCTTCCTAGATTTGGGCTGCCTAAAAGCTTACAGATCGATAATGGCCCATCTTTCACAGCGACAATTATCCAAAACACATCTTCAGCCCTAAGAATTCAGTACTGCCTTTACTCAGCATGGAGGCCACAGTCTTCAGGCCTCCTGAAGTAGTGATTAGCAGAAAGAGCTAATCAAACTCTAAAAAAGACTCTTGCCAAACTATGCCAAGAGACATCAGAAACCTGACTGTCTTTATTACCTGTGGCCTTATTATGGGTTCGAGTGGCCCCTAAAGGAAATCTGCAGCTCAGCCCTTTTGAAATTATGTGTGGAAGGCCTTTCTTAACTACAGACCTCCTAATAGACATAGTTACTTTCAAGCTACAGAATTATGTGATCAACTTAGGACAAGTGCAAAATAGACTCCTTGAATATGGAAATCAAAAACTCTCTTCCCCCACTAAGGAAGAGAATCTTGTTACAACACATCTGGGAGACTGGGTCCTATTAAAAACTTGGAAGGAAAGATCCCCAGAAGATTAACTTTCCCTAATATGGAAGGGACCTTATCAAGTTCTCCTTAGTACCCCAACTGCACTTAAACTTCTGGGAATAAATAGCTGGGTCCACTTATCTCAAATTAAACCTATCTCTTATGAAGTCCCACAGACCGATGGAACACCAGAGAATGATCCCATTTATTCCTGTGAGCCAATCAGTGACCTCCGACTCCTGTTCAGAAGAAATAAAAGGGATGCATAACATAAAGATATGGATTGACATTTTACTTTTAGGTATAAGCTGAAATCATGCAGAAAGTAACTTATTTACTGAATGGGCATAGACTTTAGCCTTGCTTCATAATCAGACAAACTGTTGGGTATGTGGAGAATTGCTACTTTCCTCCACTTCCGGGTTGCCCTGGCATATTCAACAAGCCAAACTAAGGTTGTGGGGATTTTATTATGATTGGGAAACTGAACATTATAAACATAGCCCCTCTTTTCCCATATATCATAGCCACCTTAGCCCGTTTCCTTCCTATGAAGAGACAAGAAGGCACCTTTTTAATCTAATTAGAAAACAGCTAAACTCCACCCCAACTTTAGGTTATGCTATATGTAATGAACTTGGGTGAATGACAGCTGTTCAAATGCAGGTATCAGGCAAAGCGCCTCTGTGTTTTGAAAGGCACAATAATAGTCACCACCAGACAGAAGCCCATGATATGAGATGGCTGTAATTTCAACAATGTAATCAGACCTTCTTCTAACAGACCAGATGTGGATGAGGTGGCAAGAAAATTTGCCAAAAATGAATGCCTACCCTTCTCCTTGGGAATGGTTATGGGCTTGTGGAACTCCTGGCTGGTCGTACTTACCTTATAACTGTACTGGAAGGCGTATATGAGGTTGTCCTTGTCTGCTGGGTTGTATCCTCACCTTATTGGACTCTATCCCGTTTAACTGTGAAATTGTAAAAGCTTGCCATAAGCGACAAAAGGGAGGATCTTGGTGGTTCTGTCTGATTGCTATATTTTCCCTACTGGCAGCTGCAGTCAGTATTGAGTTATGAGTTTAAGTCTTAGCCAAGGACATGGCTGTGGTTTTCAATAATACATCCCATGCCCTTACCTTCCTAACTGAGGAAACTTTTCAGATTAGGCAGGTAGCCTTACAAAACCCTATGACTTGGACATTTTAACAGTGGCCCAAGGGGGAACTTGTGCTTTGATCAAAACTGAATGTTGTGTGTATGTTCCCGACTATTCACATAATTTTACCCAGGCTATGAAAGCTTTAGACACTCACATCTCTGCCATTGATGCACTATCAGTTGACCGTATATAGGCTTGGTTCCAACAACTGCCCAGTGTTTGGAAAGCATTCCTGTTTAGTTTACTTGGAAGGATTTCACTTATTTTGCTTTGCTGTTGTGGAATATATTGTGGTTATACTCTTTGTGTAAGAATGCAAAACAAGCTCACTCAATGCTTTCTTAAATTGGACACTTATTAATCTTCCAGATATCACCTTTTGTCAGAACTCGGAGTTATGAATGACCTTCACCATACCAACGCTCTGACTGAGCTTTGCTCTACCCTGAATGCAAGAGACCCTAATAGTTAGGCAGGAATATCATTGCCCCTATTCAGCCTGAAGAAGTTACAGAAGATGGATGTTCATCCCTCTGCAACCCTTAGGATTAAGGGTCCTCTTGTAAAGGGAGGGGGGGATATGTCAGATGCGTTTGAACCAGAGCGACTCCATTTTGAGTGAGGGCCAGGAAAATGAGGCTGAGACTTGCTGGGCTGCATTCCCAGAAAGTTAGGTGTTCCTAGCCTCTAGATGTTGATGGTTAAAGGAAAAAATTAATAATGTTTACTAAAACAGGCCCAGACTTGGGAGTGTCCAGATATCCTGGTATCCGGAGAACAAAGGCATTCCTAATTTTGCTTTAAAGATAATAATATCGATTCTTGCAAAATATAGTAATTAAGAAAAGTAATCCTTTATCACACAACACATCTCCCCATATACAGCAGCATTGTACCTAGGGTAGACGCATTCCTTCTCTTACTTTCAGGAACATCCTACTCTGTCTATGGAGAAACTGTCCTTTCACCACTTTACTTTCTAATGAACTTGCTTTTGCTTTGCACTGTGGACTCGCCCTGAATTGTTTTTTGCACGAGATCCAAGAACCCTCTCTTGGGGTCTGAATCGGGGCCCCTTTTCCTGTAACAATGTAAGTCCTTGCCTCATTCTCTCCTTTGTCAAGGAAATCTAGCTAAGATAGTTTTGATCTTCATTCGTTCGCCTTTTCCAAGTTCAAGTGTTCTTCTCCCTTTTCTATCTTCTCTGGTAAAAAGCTTTGTGAAAAGAAAAATAATCAATTTATTTTAATAAACTCTTTAATAACAGTTTTGTATTTATGGAAAAATTGTGAAATTGCACAAAGAGTTCTCACAAACCTGTCAAATACCTGTTTCTGGACTGAACTGGGGTCCGCTCACTTGGCACAGTAAAATCAGACAACTACACTAAGGTTTTCAGCAATAGAAAAAAAAAGGCTTTCGCAGCAGGGTGCCAAGCAAGGAGAACCAGGCAGCTAATGCTCAAATCCTGACTTCCAAAATGGCTTGAAGGCAAGGATTTGTAAAGGTATGTATACATTTCAGGAAAGCAGAAACTACAGGCAAACTCATAAATCAATACATGGAGGTAACTCATTGATTTACACTCAAGAGGGTGGGATACCTTGAAATGGGGGTTACAAGTCAGAGATAAATTTAACAATTTTCTGATTTGCAATTGGTGAAGGAAGAGAAGATTGTTTACAAAATTTGGGGTAATATTTGCAGAAAAATGTTAACTGGGTAGAGGAAGTGACTTGCTCCAAGTCCCTCAGGAAGAAACTTTGAACGAAGAACAATGGTTAAAGTTCAGTCTTCATTGCCTGCTTACCTGGGGTTGAAGAGCTGGCCCATCTATTTGGTGGGGTTCCTAAGTGGGAGCCTCTGAAAGGCAACTAAGGGACATATGTTAAGATGTTATCTTCAGTTTCTATAGTGAAAGCAAACATCTATCTCTGCAGCTTTAACTTCCTTGGCTGTTGTTCTTCAGCTACTATTACCTTCTTGTTTAACAATTTACTTAATCACTTCTGGGGCTAGCTGGATGCCTGGAATTTTTCTTGAAAGAATTTCAGGATTTTTCTTTATTTTTATGCTTGGGATCCTTTCTCCATCTTATACCAATCCAGATTCTCCTATTATTTTATTAGTATGGTGCATTTTTTTGCTATTAATGAATGAATGAATATACATTACTATTAACTAAAGTCTTCAGTATATTGGGTATCTATAGTTTTTACCTAATACTCTCTCTGTTCCAGGATCCCAACCAAGATGCCTCACTACATTTAGTGGTCATTACACCTTAGACTCGTCAGATTTCTCCATTGTAACATTGCTTTTCTTCTCTGCTTTCTACACTTTGCTCTTTAGAAGGAAGTCATTATGCATAGCCCACATAGGAGGGATATGCTCCATCTCCTTGAGGCAAAACTATCTGGATAAATTATTTGAAATTCTTCTGACCAGGAGATTGGTCTATTCTGCCCCATTTGTTTATTTTAGTTATTTATTTATATTACTATGGACTCATGGACATTTATTATAGTTTGGGTTGTAATCCAGTATTACTTTATTTTCTTGCACAAGTGGTTTCTTCTTTGAGCATTGGAGCTCTTTCAGTTGTGTTCTGTGTCCTTTCCACACAACTCCATCATTGTGTGTTATATTACATTGTTACCTTACAAGATGTTCCAGTTTATCTTGTAAAGTTTCTGCCACAGTCTTAAAATCTGCTATTTCTCCAAGATGTCCTAGTTCTTTTTATTGGAAAGTGGTGGCAGAAATCAAGGTGTGGGTGTTAAAATGCTCTGAAAATCTTTTGAATTCCCTTATATTAATTCAAAAACTGGGTTCCTTTTGTCATTTGCTTTACCTGAGTCTGTCAATCATTCCTCCTTTCAGGGGATGCAGTATCTGTTCCAACTAGTTATCATCGGTTCTTAGGACCACTTGTTTCCTCCCTCATTCTCACCCTAACTACACTTAATTTTCCTATGAGTGTGCATTTTACCGGTTTGAGAAAATGGAACCAGATGTGCATAACCATGGAAATCACTGGTTCAACCCTACTCCGTATCACACAGAACTAGCTAGCTTTATGGAATATTGAAATAGGCTTCAAAAAGGTCAGTTAAAATGACAGCTTATTTACCTAATGGACATATATTGAACCTAGGCCAGCTGGAAAATCCAGCTCAGCTGATTGGCACAAAGCTCTCCAAACCCTATGTCTAGGAAAAGGAGGCTTTGGAGTTCTTCTTGGCATAAAAATCAGACTTGCTTCCCTCCCTGTCTGCAAAAGTAGAGACGTAGGCAGTTCCCTGTGAGCCATGTGAACACCTCCTGTAGGAGAGCTACTGTACCCAGTGCCTGAACCCACCCACGCCTGTTTTTCTTGCTGCCAGTATTTTCATAAATAAAAACTAAAAATTATATTTAAAAGAATAAAATGACAATTTAAGGACAAATTCTGTGGAGTTGGAGTGTTCTTCTCTAGGATTCAGTATATCCAACAAACCAATATCTTATCCTATGTCCCCATTAGGTAGGAACACAGCTCAAAGAACCAAAGGATGAAATTTGGATGGGTTCATCTTACAATAATTGTAAGTGATCCACTTGTGGAATTTATCTTTTTCATCCATGCAGCAACCTTAGGCATTGTTCGTTTGGAGGTTCTGGTTCCCAGAGAATAAAACATTTACATGAGGGGATGAATAAGGTTTTCCAGTGGGATGTTATTGACCCTGATTGTTATAAAGATCTAGCTTTGTTACTACATTTAGTGATGGGGAGGATTATCCAGGGAACTCAAAGGTACACTGGAGTGTCTTTTGGTGTTTTTCATGCTCAGTAAAAAGGATGAATGGACAACTGCAGTAAACATGGCCTGCTGAGTGTAGGGCAATTAGAAAATGAAACTTCTCAGGAAAAAAAGATGTGTGTTACCCTAACAGGAAAACATCTAGATCCACTGAAATTCTGGCTGAAGGCAAGGCACATTTGGAATGGATGGTGGAAATAGAGGATGATGAATTGAATCTAAGTTACAGATTTGGGACTAGTTGCCGTAGTAAAGACTAACTTGTTTAATCATTTCATATTGGGTCCTTTGTGAAGACTAAGCTTACTACCAACCTAAGGGCTCTGTGATGGCAAGAATCTATTTAGGGTGTAAACTTAGATTCAAGTGGCTCAAGGAATGGACTGTGTTAGACTTCTTTGATAGATTTCTTGGTTAGATTTCTGTCTCTGATGACCTCACTGAGCTTCAATTAAACAATGGATTTCTTGCTTACTCGCTAGGAACTTTCTGGTACTGTCATGTAGGATGCTTGAAGGAGCCCACTCAGCCTTCCTGGTGCATGATCAAACCTTGATCCAATTTGGCAATGGAGCTCCATTGAGTTTCTGGTTGGCAATTACGGCAATAGTATGTTTCAGAAGATCCCGGAAAAATCTAGTTCCCATTACACAGGGGTGACCCTGGTATCTCACCCTTATATTAGCTTTACCTCCTGCACTGTCTTACTCTGTCAGCTTCTCACTCTGCTTGGCTTACCTGCCACATAAACTGCCTGCTCAAATGCCCTGCATCATGTTCTGCTTTTGTGGTAATCCAAATTAAAACAGATGGGCAGATCTGCAGTGGCCTGAGGGAAAGAGATAGAAAATTTCATGAGTAAAGAACTTGACATTATAATAAAAAATCTCACTGTAGATTAAGCACTGGGTTCTAAATTTTTTTTTCCAAATTCCATTGTGTGGGTAGTTTTTTTCCTCCTTTTTTCTCATTCTTCCCTCCACAAATTTTTTAAGTTCCAATTAAAACTCAGGCACTATATAACAAAATCTGGGGAATAATGAACTTAATGAGCTTATGAGGTCTTGGTATGATTAAGAGACCTATGGAATGCTCTGTATGTGTGCATGTGTCTCCACAATGCATTCACTGCACCCACATGTACTGAGAGCTTGGTGATGGAAGTGGACAGTACCGGGAATCTTATTAGAGATGACTTTCAGATCTTCTCCCATATGCTCTTGGGTTCATATTAAAGGGCTAGGCATGATCACAAGGCAGCTGTGTGACAGCAAGAATTACTTGGCTGTTACTAAATTGCTCTCACCAGAGAGACTGAACCACTGAGACACACATGAGTTGAGGTATTCCCCATTATCCCTGATGAGACACCTGAGGCCTAACAATTCCCTCTGCCTTCCAAGCAGGCTCCCTGCAATCCCCTGCCCTGCCTAGATCACTTAGGCTCATTAGCCTCCAAAATGTGACCATGATGCAGAATCATCAGTGGCTTTGAAATAAACTAACAAGGAAATTATTCTTATGGTTTTCTATATTCTTCAGAGTCAGCAATTGACTTGCAATCAATCAACAGCATTAAGAACCAGCGTCAGATGCACTGACATTTAGCAAGTGGGAAGAAGCATTTGACCAACTGAAGGCATTTCCAGGGGTGCTGTGGCCATGTCAAAGCAGATGAACATGAAGATGCACACACATGTGGCAGAACATGCTTATGGATCTGCACACACACACATGTGTACCCACATGCACACACATACATTTTGCTTTCTGTTCTAGTGGGAGAGAGTATAGTGATGTGGAAAAGAGCATCAGCCCTGGGGAGAAAGTGCCTCGGTCTGAAAACTCATGTGACCCTTTAGTAGGTGAATTTGGAGATAATGTTAAATAAGTCACTGGTTTCTATGAGGATTAAAAAATATTATTTATAAAAGATACATTGTAGATGTAGATGCTTACAGGTGATAAATACTATTGTAACTGAATTGAAATGTGTTTCACACGTCACATGATGGTATAAAAAGATGGATGACAGGGAGAAAGATGAAATCTTGAAATAAATACAGTAAGTAAACCAGCAGAAGATGAGACACTTTTATCCAGAAACCCAGAGGTCTAGAGGAGAATTTCACCCAGTACCAGGTGCCAGGGAACCTAATTTTGTTTTTCATTTTGCCAACTGATAACATCTGTTGCGCTTTCTCAGGGTTTCAATTTTTCCTGAAAATGGGGACATTGTACCTTATGTTTTCCTCTTCTTATTTGTCTTTTCTATTCTAGTCTGGTTAGATGAATCCCATTTTCCTTAAAGCGCTGTTTCAAGTGTCTTGTTCTCTGAGAATTATTTCCCAGCTTGTGGCTCTCTGGGTCATTCCCCCTTTGACTTCCAGTAGCAGCTATGGCCTGCTCCACCACCCATGGAGCTCTTCTGTGGGTACTTCGTTAAGGCACATAAAGAAAAAAGGTCTCTCTAAGAAGGCTGTAAGCACGTAGAGGGCTGGATCTTATTTATCTTCACATCTCTTATGCTGAGTATAAGCCTTCATGTATAATAGGGACTTCATGAATGATTTATTTTGCTATTGATGATGATGATGATGGTATCTCCAAGATATATTGTGCTATTAACAACACCCTTTGAAGCCTTCTCAATGAAATCTCCATGGAGATGAGTAAAGGGCACACATCTACATTATTAACTGCCATTAATACAATAAAATTTCTTAGTTTTATATGGTACTTAATAGGATTTCTCTCATCTCACATAGTATCTCCAACAAAAACATTAATAATAAGCTCCTTAGATATCCCCATGAGGTAGAAAAAAAAGTTACGTTATTCCTATTGGACAGATAATAACTAACATTGAATGAGGGTTGACTGTATTCTGGGTGCCGTTTTAAATGTTTTTCATATGAAAACTCATTTAATCTTTATAACAACCTGATCAAATGGGTACTATTATTATGAGTTTTATTTTACAGATAGAGGAAGTCAGATGCAAGAGGTAGATTACATTTTGTACACAAGCATTTACCTCCTTTCATGTAAGAGGACCAGGGATCCCTGCCCTTTGCTGTTTGACTTGTTTATCCTTCATATGAAGGGAATATGCAGTCATGTGCCACTGATGAACTGCAACTAGGACAGTGGTCCCATAAGATTTTCATGAAGCTGAAAAATTCCTGTTGCCTAGTGCTGTCGTAGCCAACATAATGTGGTACTGTAATGTGTTACTCACATTTGTGGTGATGCTCATGTAGACAAACCTATTGCATTGCCAGTCTTATAAAAGTCTAGCACATGCAATTCTGTACAGTATGTAATTCTTGATAATGATAAAAAATGACTGTTACTGGCTTACATGTTTGCTATACTTGTTATCATTATGTTAGACTGTACCCTTTCAACTTATTGAAAAACAGTTATCTGTAAAACAGCCTCAGGCAGGTCCTTCAGGAGGTTTCTCAGAGGAAGGCATGGTTGTCAGAAGAGATGACAGCTCCATGTGTATTATTGTCCTGAGGACCTTCCAGAGGGACAAGAGGTGGAGGTGAAAGACAGGGATATTGATGATCCTGACCCTGTGTAGGCCTATGCTAATGTATATGTGGGTGTGTGTCTTAGTACTTAACAAAAAAAGTTTAAAAAGTAAAAAAAAAAAAAAAAAATTAAAACATAGAAAACGTTAAAAATAAGAATATAAAAGAAAGAAAACATTTTTTGTACTGTTGTACAACGTATTTGTGTTTTAAGGTAATTATTATTAGAAAACAGCCAAAAGGTTAAAAAAAAATTATAAAGTAAAAAAGTCATAGTAAGCTAAGGTTAATTTATAGAAGAAAGAAAAATATTTTTTATACATTTAGTGTAGCCTAAGTGTAGTGTTTGTAAATTCTATAGCAGTGTACAGTAATACCCTAGGCCTTCACATTCACTCACCCATTGCATTAGTCTGTTCTCACATTGCTATGAATGAGAGCTACCTGAGACTGGGTGATTTATGAAGAAAAGAGGTTTAATTTACTCACAGTTCTGCAGGCTGTACAGGAAGCATGGCTGAGGAGGCCTTAGGAGAGTTATGATCATGGCGGAAGGCACAGGGGAAGCAGGCACATCCTACATGGCTGGAGCAGGAGGAAGAGAGAGAAGAGGGAGATGCTACATACTTTTAAACCAGATCTCCTGAGAACTCATTAGCACAAGAACAACAAGGGGGAATTCTGCCCTCATGATCCCATCACCTCCCATCAGGCCCCTCTTCCAACAATGGGGATTACAATTCAACATGGGATTTGGGCAGGGACTCAAATCCAAATGATATCACTACTCATCCACTGACCCTCCCAGAGCAACTTGCACTCCTGCAAGCTCCATTCATGGTAAGTGCCCTGGACAGGTGTATTATTTTCTATCTCTTATACTGTACTTTTACTGTACCTTTTCTATGCTTAGATGAACAAATACTATTGTATTCCAATTGCCTACAATATTCAGTACAGTATCATGCTGCACAGGTTTGATAGGAGCAAAAGGCTCTACCATACAGCCTAGGTGTATAGTAGGCTACACCATTTACAGTTGTGTAAGTACACTCAGATGTTTGTACAATGACAAAATTGCCTAATGATGCATTTCTGAGAATATATCCTCATTGTTAAGTGACACCTGATGGTACTCCTTTGCATTTTGATATCACTGTTGAAGCCAATGAAATGTGAGTGGAAGAGATAATAGGCCCTTCTCAGCCAAATGCTGGAAGAGCCGTCACATGGCTGGACCTGGCTTTTTTACATCACACATCCGCTATGTGGCCAAGATGTAGGCTTTATCTCAGCTAAATTCCTCAATGAGGAAGATATGGGGAGCCAAGCCTCAGAGCTATAGGTATTCTATAGCCATAATGCAAATGAGTGAGAAATAAACCTTTATTGTGATAAGCACTGAGATTTTGTTGTTGTTATACAGGACAGGAAAGAATAAGCTACTTAATACAAAAACTTCAAGTAACTTGCCAAGGTTTCCTGGTGGCAAATCTTGGATTCAAAATTAAGCAATCCAGCTTGCAAAGTCACATATTTAACCATTGTGTAATACTGCTTCATAACACATAGACACATTGAGGCCTAGAGAGATAATCATGTTAGCTTGTCTCAATCATACATAAAACACTTGACCAAATTGGAACCATTACTCTATGCCCTGAACTCTTCCCATGACATAGGATTTTGACTTAAAAAAATTATTGCTACTGTGCCTGGAAGGTAGTACTCTGTTCTGTTTCTATCACACTAGAAAAGTTTGGAATTCATTCCTATGCTTCATGGCCTGGCTGCAAAATTATTCTCTGAGGTGGAGCTAGAGCTGGCTGTACCAAACTCTTCAGCATTCAGGCCCTTTCTCTGCGGCCATCCTCCTTCTTGGGGATTATTTATGAGGGATGAAGGAAGAAGGGGGGCTGTGCACAGTTATTTGTTTTCTGTGAAGCTAGGGGATTGGAAATGTTTTAGAAACATAACTGGTTGACACAAAGGATAAAAAGTTAAACATACAGAACCCAACATGTCCTCTCTCGGGACCCCTGTCTGGCTAACAGTGGGATTCACTCCGACAGTGTACTGCAGACTGAATGAGGAAAAGACAACCCCATTCAAACAAAGGCTGGAATACAATGGTTTTGAAGGCCTCATACTGAGTTCTGTGAGGGCGTTCAAGAGACAATGCAGTTTGAATGCTAGTTGGGGCCTAATGCAGAGAGAATCTGGCGGTCCGGGGTCACAACGCTTGAGAAATGAATTCAGGGGTTTCTTGCTGGGTTGCCTGTGTTCATAAGCATCACTAGGAATTGGAGAGGACTTTGCTTTGAGAAATGCCTACCTCCCCCTACCCCCACCAGAAACATGTACACACATTTCAGAGTAACACAATATAGAAAACACTACTGCAACAATTTGCTTCAAAACACTTTTCCATTTTTACCCTTTTGAGATGCTTACCAAAATAGCAAGATCTTGATAGTACTAGCTGTTTTATTTTCTATTGCCTTACAGATTGCAGAATCAGCAAAATGGCTCCTAGGGTATCCCATCTCTAACAGTAGAGATTTTGATCAGATGATATTTGTGGCCCAGAAATGTTCAGCGGACTTGCCTCAGAGTGTATTAAAGGTAACCAGCAAACTGGAACCAGTGTGAAGAAACCCAGGGCAATGAAACTTCTCAGAGGTATCTGTACCTCTGAGAAAGCAAAATCTGCACCTTGCCCTATTGGATAAATAATAATCACATCACATACCATAAATGGAAAGAAAAACCATTCTGCATCCTGAGATAAACTCAGAGCAGGAACACCCTACCTGGGACTGATCTCCCAGATAAATGAAGCCCTGTGGTCTAGTTAGTTCCTAACTCTCTGATATGGTTTGATTGTGTCCCCACCCAAATTGCATCCTGAATTGTAGTTCCCATAATCCCCACATGTTATGGGAGGGACCCAGTGGGAGGTAATTTAATCCTGGGGGCAGTCACCCTTGTGCTGTTTTCCTGATACTGAGTTATCATGAGATCTGATGGTTTCATAAGGGGCTTTTTCCTCTTTTGCTTGGCACTATCTCCTTGCTGTTGCTATGTGAAGAAGAACATGTTTGCTTCCCCTTCTGCCATGACTGTAGGTTTCCTGAGTCCTGGAAACCTACAGTCATGGCAGAAGGGGAGGCAAACATGTCCCCTTTAATTTGCTGTGAGTCAATTAAACCTTTTTCCCCTATAAATTACCCAGTCTCAGGGTTGTCTTTATTAGCAACGTTAGAATGGACTAATACACTGTCTAATGAAAACTCTTTCCCTGACTTTTTCAAACCTTCCTTTTGCAGTCATGTGATGACCCCTGTGTTTAGGATAACTATGTGAAGAAACTGATGTTTTTCCACCACCAACAGGCTTACGTGCCTTTGTGTGTTAGATCATTTCTCCCAAGAATCAGATATGAAAACAGGATTAGAGATGCCAGGTTTTTTTTTTTTTTTTTTTTTTTTTTTTTTTTTTTGTGGGGGGATGTCTGGAAAGAAATGTCAGGAAGAATCAAAAAGAGCCCTGAGACCACTATGCAGATTTGACACCTGTGAGAACAGGCAGAGAAGGAAGGAATGGCCAGAAATAGCCTCATATTGCAGTGCAGTTCTGTGAAAGTCTTGGCCAGACTGATGCAGAGTCTCAAGCCAAATCTACCCATTGGAAGAATTCCAGAGACAAAAATTGCTTGTTTCAAGTAATTCCTTATTCTCAGTGATTGGTGAGGAGCAGCTCAGGGAAGGATGTCCTGGTGTGAACACCACAGTAGATTAGAAGATGTGGCATTGGCTACCATTCCCTGCAGAAGGTTCTCTGGAACATCTGTATTT